>NC_000019.10:42695419-42998449 GCF_000001405.40 Homo sapiens | reverse complement strand
ATGTAGTCCCAGCTACTGGTGAGGCTGAGGTAGGAGAATGGTGTGAATCCAGGAGGTGGAGGTTGCAGTGAGCCGAGATCGCACCACTGCACTCCAGCCTGGGTGACAAAGCAAGACTCCATCTCAGAAAAAAAAAAAAATTATCAGCCAAGAATTTTGTATCCAGCAAAACTAAAGTTCATAAATAAAGGAAAGATAACAGTCTTTTTCAGACAAACAAATGCTCAGAGAATTTGCCACTACCAAGCCAGCACTACAATAACTGCTAAAAGGAACCCAAATCTTGAAACAAATCCTGGAAACACATCAAAACAGAACCTCTTTGAGCATGAATCTCACAGGACCTATAAAACAAAAATACAATAAATAAATGAATAAAACCAAGGTATTTAGGCAACAAATAGCAGGATGAATGGAACAGTACCTCACATCTCAATACTAACATTGAATGTAAGTGGTCTAAATGCTCCACTTAAAAGATATAGAATTGCAGAATTGATAATAATTCACCAAGCAAGTATCTGCTGCCCTCAAGAGACTCCCCTAACCCTAAAGTGTCACATAAACACTTTAAAGGGTTAAAGGGTAAGAAAAAGACACCCCATGCAAATGGCCACAAAAGTGAGCAGGAGTAACTATTCTTATATCAAAAAAACTAACTTTAAAGCAACAGCAGTTAAAAAAGACAAAGAGGGACATTATATAATAATAAAATATTATAATAAAAGGATTTATCCAACAGGAAAATATCACAATCCTAAATATATATGCACCTAACACTGGAGCTCCCAAATTTATATAGCTATTACTACTAGACCTAAGAAATGAGATAGACAGTAACACAATAATTGTGAGGGACTTCAGTACTCCACTGACAGCACTAGACTGGTCATCAAGACAGAAAGTCAAGGAAGAAACAATGGGTTTAAACTATGTCCTAGAGAAAATAGACTTGAGATATTTACAGACTATTCTACCCAACAACCACAAAATATACATTCTATTCATCAGCACATGGAACTTTCTTCAAGATAGGCCATATGATAGGCCACAAAACAAGTCTCAATAAATTTAAGAAAATTGAAATTATATGAAGTACTCTCTCAGACAACGGTAGAATAAAACTGGAAATCAACTCCAAAAGGAACTTTCAAAACCATGCAAACACATGGAAATTAAATAACTTGCTCCTGAATGATCATTGGGTCAAATATGAAATCAAGATGGAAGTTTAAAAATTCTTCGAACTGAACAATAGTGACGCACCCTATCAAAACATCTGGAATACAGCAAAGAGTGTGCTAAAAGTTTATAGCATTAAATGCCTACATCAAAAAGACTGAAAGAGCACAAATAGACAATCTAAGGTTACATTTCTAGAAACTCAAGAAACAAGAATGCACCAAACCCAAACCCAGCAGAAGAAAGAAAATAACCAACATCAGAGTAGAACTAAATGAAATTGAAACAAAATAATACAAAATATAAATAAAATGTAAAGCTGATTTTTGGGAATAATAAATAAAGTTGATAAACCATTGGCAAGATTAACCAAGAAAAGAAGAGAGAAGAGCCAAATAAGATCAATTAGAAATGAAATGGGAGCTATTACAACGAACATTGCATCACTGCACTTCAGCCTGGATGACAGAGCAAGACCCCTCTCAAAAAAGACAAAGAAAGAAAGAAATAGACAAAGCCCCATGCTGGCAGTGCTGTGGAACTAACATCTTAGGATTGATGGAGAGACTGGACTTAGCACTTGTGGAAAGAGCCATATTTCCTGGGGGCCACGAGGCCACATATGCCCTGTGAAGACTGACCAGGGAGTGTTGGGCTGCTACCCACATTTCATGTATTTGTCAGGCAAAAATGCTTTAAAGATCATTCCACTTGATTTTCCTTTAAATAAAAATAATGTGGGAATGGAATGGAATTGCCGAGTGGCATGGTGGGTGTATGCTGAAATTTTTAGAAGCTGCCAGACTGCTTTCCATAGATATTGTACCATCTTACATTCCCACCAGCAGCGTGAGCATTCCAGTGCCTCCACATCCTTGCCAAAACTTGGCGTGGTCATTCTTTTTAATCTTAGCCATTCTAATAGTTCTGTAGTGGTATCTTTTTGTGGTTTTATTCTGCATGTTTTTCTTGAGGCAGAGCCTCATTATGTTGCCCAGGCTGGAGTACAGTGGGCCCATCATAGCTCACTTTCTCTTCAGGAAACTCTTCCCTGATCTTTCAGTCTAGGTCAGAAGCCCAGTAATATACAGTCATGAGGCCCCATATTTATTCTTTTTGTGTTTTTTTTTTTGAGATGGATTTTTTTTTTTGGCACTCCAGACTGGAGTGCAATGGTGCAATCTTGGCTAACTGCAAGCTCCACCTCTTGAGTTCACACCATCCTTGTGCCTCCGCCTCCCAAATAGCTGGGATTACAGGCATGAGCCACCATACACAGCTAATTTTTAAATTTTTGGTAGAGACAGGGTATTAGCATGTTGCCCAGGCTGGTCTCGAACTCCTGACTTCATCGGCTTCCCAAAGTGCTGAGATTACAGGCATGAGCCACCGTGCCTGGCTCGAGGTTGACTCTTTTTTGTTTTGTTTTGTTTTTGAGATGATGTCTCACTCTTGTTCCCCAGGCTGGAGTGAAATGGCACAATCTTGGCTCACTGCAACTTCTACCTCCCGGGTTCAAGCCATTCTCCTGCCTCAGCCTCCTGAGTAGCTGGGATTACAGGCACACACCACCACGCCCGGCTAATTTTTGTATTTTTAGTAGAGACGGGGTTTCACTATGTTGGCCAGGCTGGTCTCTAACTCCTGACCTCAGGTGATCCACCCACCTCGGCCTCCCAAAGTGCTGGGATTATGGGCTTCAGCCACCATGCCCAGCCAAGTTTGACTCTTAAGACTAGAAGCTTGCTACTTCAGAGTTGGTCTGAGGACTGAAATATATCACCTCTTATCCATCAGGAAATAGCATCACTTCTCTGAGCTTCAGTGTCCTCATTTGAAAATGGTAAAAATTCCTGCCCTGCAGGTAGGCAAGAAAGTTCAGAAGTGGTGTGACTAAAGTACTTACCTAGCCAAGTAGTCTTGAGCTTGAAGGCCTGTCTTGTCATTCAGGGGCTGTGGAATGGTCTCAGTGTTGGAACAGGGAGTGGCATTTGATGCTTGGTGTCATCCTAACCCCCACAGTCCCTGTAGTAGTTTGCTAGGGCTGCCATGACAAAATACTGCAGAGGAATAGACAAGCAAGAGGAGTTTATTGTATCCCAGTTCTAGAAGCTGGAAGTCCATGCACTTTCCTCCTCTGTAAGAGGTCACAGCACTTCCCATGAGCTCATATATACGGCGGAGGGAGAAACAGAAGGAGCAGGTGCCATGGGAGTCTGAGTCACCCATTGGGTCACTGGTGCCCTGGGACCCGCTTGAGCCTGACCCCGTACACAGCTCTCCCTGGGATGCTGGAGGCTGCTGTGCACGCCCCAGGTAACTCAGATGTCACCAGGACATGATGTGCCACTCAGGTCCCAAAGCCCTTGGTGTCCTATGGTCAGGTATTCGAATTCCACTAAGCCCAGGGATAAGCCAAGAGCTGCTTCCTGAATGAAGAGTTACCTGCAGGAGGAGGCGTGGTCTTTCTCTAGAACCTCCAGTTCTGCACAGTGAATCTTTTGGAGCTTGTGAAAACCTGCATAAAATAATACACTGCATTTGGAACATAGATGCTCTTACATTCGTTGATTTCTTATTTTTTTTTTTTTTTTTTTTTTGGTTGAGACGGAGTTTCACTCTGTCGTCCAGAATGGAGTGCAGTGGCGCCATCTTGGCTCACTGCAATCTCCACCTCCTGGGTTCAAGCGATTCTCCTCCCTCAGCCTACCGAATAGCTGGGATTACAGGCGCCTGCCACCATGCCTGGGTAATTTTTGTATTTTTAGTAGAGACAGTGTTTCACCATATTGGCCAGGCTGCTCTGAAACTCCTAACCTCAGGTGATCTGCCCGTCTAGGCCTCCCAAAGTGCTGGAATTAGAGGTGTGAGCCACCGCACCCAGCCTCACTAATTTCTTAATAGGCTCTTCCAGGAGTTATTGAGAAGAATATTTTACAATTCTAAGTGGAATATTTTAGCAGGAAGGACCGTGGTTTATTTCTACGATAATTCTGTTGTGGCTTAAACAGTTTGTTCTTTTGTAATTTGGGGTATTCCCTCTATCACCTATTGTTGACTTTCGACCTTTGATATTTACCCTATGCAAATTCATCAACCCCTGATTTTACTTCTTCAAAGCCAGCATGAGGCTAGTCAAGCCTGGTTTCCTCTCACAGGAAGTAAGGCTTTTGCCCCATGGTATTTGTGTAACCAGGTTACAAGATTTAAAAATCTATCGCAAGTGACAGTAATTAAAAACAAATATCAAATGTGGGCTACTCTGGAAGAAGAAAGCATTGGAATGTAGATTTTATTTGTTTATTTGCAGAGACATGAACCAGCTTATACTCTTGATTTCTACATTATTCATGGAGAGTCTAATGTCAATTTCTGGGAACAAAAAACCAACTTGAAAAGCTGTTTAAATTCTATTAGTGGGACTTCCAAAGGTACAAGGGTTAAGAAAAAGAGAGGAGAAAAGAGAAAAGAGGGGTAGGGAGAAAGGAAGACGTGACAGGAATGTGAGCCAGACAATAGAGATGGAGAAAAAGCAGTCAAGAGGGACAGAGGGCGCGGTGGAGGTCTGCAGGATCTGAAGATCCACCTCCCTTCTCCGGACGCTGACCTCTTACCTGATCCCAGAAACAGACTGAGCTTTAACTCTGACCACATACTCCTCAGGGTGACAGAGAGTGGGGCCACCTGCACCCTGCCAGCCTTCCACAGCCCCTCTGCATGGGCTCTGCCCCGCACCCTACACGTGCTCTGAGGCCTCTTATTGCAACAAATGACTTCCTCGGGCTTCCGTTCCCTCCACCGCCCCTTTCCTCTCGGTCAAGCATCTTCAATGGTCTGGATACGTTCCTTTGCTTCCATTTGTCACCTTCCACTCACTGGTCCACGTCCACTTCCATCCTCCCCTTTCTCTAACATTGCTTGTACTGAGATCAGAAACATCCTGCTTTATTGCTAAACCTGCCAGGAACTCACAGGTTAGTTTTGCATCCTTTGACACTGAGGGCCACTTCTTTTCCTGGAATAATCTCTGTGAGGCAAATATACATTCTAAAAATTTTGTTTAGCCTGTTGCAAAAAGATAAAGAGACTCTCCTCTTTTCACTCAGAGCATTTTCTATTCATTCATTCATTTATTGACAGAGCCTCCCTCTGTCACCCAGGCTGGAGGGCAGTGGTGCCATCCCTGTCACCCAGGCTGGAGTGCAGTGGTGCCATCCAAGCTTACTGCAGCCTTAACTTCCTGGGCTCAGGTGATCCTCCCTCCTTAGCCTCCTGAGTAGCTGGGACTACATGCACACCCCACTATGCCCAGCAAATTTATTATTATTATTGTGTGTGTGGAGATAAGATCTTGCTATGTTGCCTAGGCTGGACTTTGAGAGCATTTTTTTTTTTAGAAGAGGTGTAATTGAAAATTCTTTCTCTGTCCCTTGAAGATGTATGTAAAGCTTTCTAAACATACATAAGCATCTTGCCTGCCTCACAACCCAGAACTATCCTCCTCAAGGCCATAGGAGCCATCTCTTTGAAAGGCAGGCATCTGGCCAGAAAGCGCCCCTGTCTCCCAGTTTCTGTGAGAAGGAAGGAACCTCAGTTCTGGGGGCATCTCATTCCCAGTTGCAAAACTACCTCCTGTCATAGATAAGAGAGGTTTGTTTTTCCTGTGGATAAAGCCAATTAACCTCACAGAGAACCAACACAGTTACTGGGTGAATTTAGGATGAACTATGTGTGACAAATGGGGCCATTGAGTCCTCTCAACTGGGAACTAGTCACCATCTATCTGGAGACCATATGTGTAACGGGTTGCACCTGCTTGGCTGGATACAAAGGTGGGATTTCTTTCTGTCTTTGTCATCTCTTAGCAGATTGCATCACATTTTGGCTTAATGGTTACTCAATCATAACACAGGTTTCTTTTACTTCTACGGATGTGACAGGGGTTTCTGGACTGAGCAGAAATTTCTTTCTTAATTATATTTTTCCAGCACCCCCCACACAAACCTACCCCACCTTCTCTGAAGCTACTTCCCCCAGGCTTTAAAGGCGGCTGCTCCCCGGGGTTCCTCCCGGGCCCTGCCTCTCCTGGTTCATCTGATCTCCCACCCTCAAGGCATCGTAGCTTTCCTCCCTTCCATGTGGTGATGCCTTTCGGATCTCTAACTCTAGGCAGAAACCGGCTTCTCAGTTCCTCAGCTCAAATACCCACCTTGGGACGGGTGTCTGCACCGGGACAACCCGCCAGAAACTCTCCTGGTGGAACACGGTGCATGTTCTCTGGCTGCCCTGCAGTTTTTAAATGCCACCAGTACACATGGGGAATGTTCTGCCTTCCCAAGGAGGAAGCCAGAAATTTCATTGTCCCAGCACTCCTTGCAGGAGGGACACCAACACAGGTCCAGGCTTTCCCCATCAGGTGCTCCCATGAAAGACTCAGGATCCAGAACAGCACCAGGAAACAGAGTGTGCATGGCACCGATTTGCTTTTTGTTTTTAATTTTTTGAGGGGGATGGGGGACCAAAGGTTCTGGTGCAGAAGCTTCTGGACTCCAGGGCTAGCCTCAGCAGTGCAGGGTGTAGGGTGTGGTTTCTGCCTCCTGCAGTAGCCAGAAGATCTTGGCCGGAGCTGTCCTGTGCCTGTGGTTTGGTCCTTGCCCTGGGCCCTGTGGCCTACAAGCTGGATTCATGAGGGCCCTTGGAGCTTGGTGACCTTCCTACCCTGTCCTTTAACCAGTCCCTTTTCTGCTTCTTGCTGGAGTGAGCTGGGTGGTTTTCTCTGAATCTGCTCCTATCCTGGGTTCTCCCTTAGGGATGGGCACCCTGGGAACCTGATCCCTCCACCAGATGCCCAGCAGATGTTCTCATGCTTCCACTTTCCTTGCCCCTTTATGTCCGGTGGTCACTCCTTTCTGTCCCTTCCATGTCCTACATCACTCTCTGCTGTGTCCTGTCTTCTGCACCCTGTGGCCTCCACCCAAGTTTGCATCACCACCCATTCCTCCTTGAGTGAATACTGTTGTCTCCCTGGGTCTCCCTGTCTCCACAGTGGCCACAAGCATCTGAGCCAGCTTCTTCTCTGTGGCAGAGATGATCTTTTTCAGGCCTCCTCCGGCCATGGCCCTCTCCTGCTCCTCTTTCCAGAGCTCCCAAGTCCCTGGGATGTGCTCCAGCAGCTAAGAGAGGCCTCGAAGGTTGCGTGATGTGGCCTCCACTGTCCTGAGCAGCCACCCCACCTACCCTCATCCTTCACCTCCATAACATTTCCTTTTTCTGTTTGATTTTTTGAATAGGTGTTGTATTTAGATGGCTTAGAAATTTGCATCTGTGTGTATCCGTATATATGTGCAGGCATGAAGAGCCTGTGTCTCATCCCTGTTCCCTGTGCAACCAGGTCCTAGCCCCACACCAGCCCCAGTGGCCAGCTGTGCTGTTCATGACCTGCAAAGCTTTCTACAGCTGTTTTATGCAAAACAATAGGAATTATTGTAAATTCTGATAAAATATATATAACATATAATTCACCATTTTAACCAATTTTTCTTTTCTTTTTTCTTTTTTTTATTATTATTTTTTTTTGAGAAGGGGTCTCATTCTGTCACCCAGGCTGGAATGCAATGCCGTGATCTCAGCTCACTGCAACCTTCACCTCCCGGGTTCAACCGCTTCTCTTGCTTCAGCCTCCTGAGTAGCTGGGACTACAGGTGCATGCGACCACACCCAGCTAATTTTTTGTATTTTTAGTAGAGAGTGGATTTCATCTTGTTATCCAGGATGGTCTCGATCTCCTGACCTTGTGATCTGCCCACCTCGACCTCCCAAAGTGCTGGGATTAGATGTAAGCCACCTCGCCCGGCCCATTTTAACCACTTTTAAGTGTACATCCAATGGCAGGAAGTACATTTAGGTTGTTGTTCAACCACCACCACTGTCCATCCCCACCCAGAACTTTTTCATATTCCCGAACTGGAATTCTATACCCATTAAACGCCAACTCCTCTTTCCCCCTCCCTCCAGCCACTGACAACCACCTGTTCATTTTCCGTCTATGCATTTCATGACGTTAGGCACCTCTGTCAAGTGGAATCATGTAATATTTGTCTTTCTGAGTCTGATTATTTCACTTAGCAGAAAGAACTCAAGGCTTGATCATGTTGAAGCACGCGTCAGAACCACCCTTCTTGTTACAGCTGAATCCCATTCATTTGCACGTATAGACCACATTTTGTTTATTCATTCACGATGGATGGACACTGGGCTTGTTTCCAACTTTTAGCTATTATAAATAATGCTGCTATGAACAAACACAGGCAAATATCTGCTGGGGTCCCTGCTTTCCATTCTTTTTGGAATACACCAAAAGCTGAATTGCTGCATTTTGTGGTAAGTCTATGATTAATTTTTTGAGAAACGATGACAGTGGGTGCGCCATATTACATACCCACAAACACTACACAAGCGTTCCAACTCCTCCTTGTCAACATTTTTCTTTTCTGTTTTTCTTTTTTTTTTTTTTTTTGAGAACAACCATCATAATGGATGTAAGGTGGTATCCCACTGTAGTTGTGATTTTTATTTTCCTAATGATTAGTGATGTTGAGCATCGTTTCATGTGCTTATTGGCCATTTGTAAATTAGTTTTACATTTCCTCCTTTGTAATGCAAGAGGTAGCACACCGTGCATTGTTCTGCTTCTTGTTTTTCTCACTGTGCAGTGTATCTTGGAAACCTTTCCCGGTGCACAGACAGAAGGATACCTCATTCTTTGCCACAGCTGCACAGTATCCATGATGAGGATCATGGCTCATTACCTAGTTCCCTACGGATAAACATCAGGGTCGTTCCTGGTCTGTGGCCATCAAAAACACTGCTGTGACTAGTCTAGAATGGGTGCCATTTCATGCATTTGCAATTCCCAGAAGTACACTGGTTAGTCAGCAGGTGAGTGCATTGGTGAGAGGATGTGACTCCAGTCTCAGGAAATACGGAAACCTTCTTCCCTTTCTAGCTGCAGCACCCCCAGTCTGGACAGCATATGGAAAGCACCCATGATCATTTGAAAATCACAAAATAACTCTAAATTTCTGCACAAGTAAGTCATCTACCACTTGTCATTCTAATCCCACACTAGGCACTTTAAGAACATGCACCCCTGGGCTTTTGCTATACCCTTTTCTTATGTTGGTACCCACCTTGTGGTGACTGAGGGTACTCTTAATATCCCCAAGTCTGAGGAAACTGAGGCACAATTCGATTATCCACTTATGAAGTGGTGAAGCTGTGGATTAAACTTATAAGACATATCCACTTCACACTCCAGAAAACTTCATCATTCCCAACATTATTGTCTTCCACCATTGGGAAAGAAATACTTTTCTTGGTAATTAGAGGAGAAAAGGTGTTTGGTGTTTCATTGTCAATTTCCTGGTGTAGACCAGATACTTGCGGGTCTTTCCTAGGGCCAGTGAGTCCTAACATGTTTGAACATCTACCCATGCTATTTAAGGCAGCACACCAAACACATTCCTGCTTCAACTGCAGTGCCTGTTTCATCAAGAAGAGTATTTTCCTTAAATAAGTTTCAGGTGCCTATTACTTGGGGAAATACTAAGCCTTTGGTATGCTTCTGCTCATCTAGGCATGAGACAGCTCCCTCATTACTTTGGTCTTCAGTTTTCTGAATCTGCTTCTGGAAAACTCTGCAAAATGTCATTTTTGAGAACTGCTGCTTTGCAAATACTTTTCATGCCTATGTGATGTGCTGTTATTCTCTCTCATTTCCTTGCTAACATACAGTCATGTTTATGAAACAAGTTATGAGCCAGTTAAGGCTGGAGCTGAGTCAGCTAGATTTGCATGCATTTTCAGCTCCAGGGCAGTTTCCTAAAAGTCATCACATGTCTAGTCTCAAAGTTCTTATAGAATACCATCTGATTATTAAGTAGATTTTTAAGGCCTCTCAAGGATAAAGATCCGAGGTGTTATATCCATTGCTTTCCTCCCTCACACTGTTTTTGACTTTTAATTCTTCCCTTTCTCCACTTTAATTTCTAGTCTCCCACTGCTAATTCTCCATATGACCCATCCCCACCACCACCACCCTCAACAGCCACCAGTGAGAATTCTTACTACCTGAACTTCGCTGTGACAAAAATCAACCTTGGAACTGTGGGCTAAATTGTTCCAAGAGTCCTGATGACGTTCTCAGATGCAGGCAAATCTAGGTCTCCTGATACCCTGTCTTAGTCAGTTTTGCATTGCTATAAAGGAATACCTGAGTGAGGCTGGATAATTTATAAAGAAAGGAGGTTTATTTGGCTCACAGCTCTGCAGGCTGTACAAGAAGCATTGCACCAGCATCTGCTTCTGGTGAGGCCTCAGGGAGCTTGCACTCATGGTGGAATGAGAAGGGGAGCTGTTGTGTGCACAGATGACATGGTGAGAGAAGAAGCAGGAGAAAGAGAAAGAGGAGAGGAAGGTGCCAGGCTCTTTCTAACAATCAGCTCTTGCAGGATTGAGTAGAGAACCCACTCATTACCATGAGGGCAGCACCAAGCCATTCATGAGGGAGCCACCCCCATGACCCAAACACCCCCTTGTAAATCCCCATCTCCAACACTGGGGATCAAATTTCAACGTGGGGTTTGCATTTTCCTGCAAACTCATGTGCTGTGCACTCCCTCACATCATCTATGAATGATCACCTGCCCCAGGACTTCCTTGAAGGAATAGCTCAAATCATATTCTAACAGTTCTGGGGGTAGAAAAGCAAAAAAATAACTCTACTGACTCCCTTGTTTGTCTCCCAGTGTTTATGGAGGGTGACCGGTGTCCACAGCCCTCTGCCAGGCATCGCAGATTCAGAGGTCAAGGAGATAGACATAGCCCTGCCCCTGTGGAACTTGTAATATAACTGGGGAGACATATGAAACCCTTGCTTATGTAAAGGTCTGACTGCCAATTATTACACAGGCTAGCAAGGGAAAGAACAGAGTCAATGACAGAACGACTCTGGCACCTAACTTAATTCAGGTCTTGTAAGGCCAAGGAGTGGGCCTCACTACAGAAATGGCGTGGAAGGTGAAATTAGGAAGCAGTAGAAGCCCAGTTTCTGAAAAGTTAGAACACACATTCATCATACAACCCAGCAATTCTACTCTTTGATATCTACTCCCCCCCAAAAAATGAAAACATATGTCCACCCAGAAACTTGTACATGCATGTTCACAGCAGCCCTATTGATAGTAAAAGGAGGAAATGACAAGAAACTACCGAAAGAGAACAATGTGAAGGGCTGGGTGGAAGTTGGTTCTTCAATGAAATCTCACAAATTCCAGTATTTCTAGTACTTCTTACCAACACTTACATGTATTCGCCCTAATTAGCTCATGTGAAAAGGATCTTCCTGTATTTCTAAGAAGTGTAATTATTTGGAGAGTAGATAGATCTCAGGTGAGGACTTTGGAGCGTGCCAAATGAATTAATGGACTCAGTCCATTTTCTAACTTGACATCACTGGCTTACTTAGCAATACGTGATGTTGGTGAGAAGAACCAGCAGAGGACACAGGAAGTAGAAGAGGAGCTCACATCTGTCCATGATTTATATTGCATTTCAGTTTGTGTTGTCATTGGAGACTCAGTTTGTGAAGGTACGCCAATCCTTGCTTTGAGGAAAATATACATCTTTAGGGGAAGATGGGTTTTACTAGATGAAAAGATAATAAATGAAAAGAGGGAGAAGGGAATGCATGGTGGCCCTGAGAAGCCAGAGAAGACAATTACATGAACATGGACATCAACCACCAAACGTATAGGTCAAAAAAGAAAAGCAAAGACTGGAGACCAAGCAGAAGGGCTCACACCCCTACCCCAGCTACTCAGGAAGATGAGGTCGGAGGATCTTTTGAGCCCAACAGTTTGAGACAAACCTAGGTAACAGAGTGAGACCCCTGTCTCAAAAAAAAAAAAAAAAAAAACAGAGAGAGACTGGGAAGTAGAAGCTGAGATGATACGAGGGTCACCTGTGGCTCGGACAAGATTAATGCAGGGACCATTGGAGATCAGAGACAAACTGGAGAAGGTTGCACTGAAGAAGTGGAGATCATGAATGTAGAAAGCTTGAGAAGTTTTTCCAGTCAGGAAAGCGAAGACATGGGGCTGTCACTACAGGGCAAAACAGAGCCTGCAGGGAATCATGCAAAAGTATTTGTCTCTTTTGAAGTTTGGTGTGACATGAGGGATTCAAAGAGAGTTGATAGAGGAGAGGAAGCTTTTAAACTCCAGATGATGAAAGACCTCAGAAAGGAATCTTAACTTTCTTCCAAAGAAGATGAGATGGACAGGGTTTAAATTTCTCTTTCAAAAAATGATGCCTTCAAGGGAACAATAAGAGGAGAGCAGGCTAAGAGGTCAGCCAGGCGGACGAAAAGCATGTTTTTTCACTTAAATGTGTGTAGTCCTGCAAGTGTAACATGGCCAGATAATTCCATAGCTCCTGGGTCACTGTTCCATCTTCTCAGCCCCCACTCTGCAGAAGAGATGTTTGTTTATGGCTCTGCCCAGGAAGCAACTGCAAGCTCCTATGACTTCAGCATCTGAAAAGTATTTCAGATCCAAACTCTCGCTTCCTACCCTGAACGGAGCTCATCCCAAATCCCCTATCACTCTGCATAAGATTCCAGGGTCACATTGTCAGATGTGGTCATTAATCTCCTCTTAAAAATGCAAATCTCCTCAGAACATGACTCTGCTCATAGCCTGTTTAATCAGATCCCTTCCTTCTCATTTGTAGCTGAGAAGTGCTTTGAAGAGGGAAGCAGGGAAGAGGGCAAGGAAAGAAGGTGAGGATGAGAAGCAAAGCACTTTTGAAGAAGCAGCACAGCAGGGGAGGAAATAGGTTTGAGTGGGTACTTGTTAGGATGCTGGAGAGGTTGAGTGTAACAGGCCAGAAAGAAAGAGGGAGCTAAGAACAGGGGTGTCAAGAGATGGGGAGAGGGGGTCTTAGGAAGGGGATGACAGTAGACAGCATGACGTCCTGAGCACTCATGTCTGTTATTCAGTTCTTGGGTGGAGGAGGTAAATGTGCATGTGGGAAGACAGGATTAGAAAACTACCATCTGAGCTGTTGGGGGCCTTTCTTGAATATCAGAGGAGCCTGGTACCATTCTTAAAAGTAGAACACTGCATGCATGCTACAAAATTCAAGCACTTATTTTCCTTGCACAATTCAGGGCCTGCTGTCTTCTTTGAAAACTCAGTGGCACCACTACTGTGGGCAGCACAAATGTAGCAAGATCAGGTTTGGAGAGGAGCATGCCCTGTACTCTCCAGGGAAGAGTGTCCAGTGTCTGGAGGCAAATCACTGTGACCTTTTTTTGTCCCCCTGCCCTTTCCTGGGACACTTCCCCAGGGCAGCTTTTCCATGTGTGAAGAGCCCTGTAGTAGCAGGCACTTGGCTGGCTCTTTTCTATGGTGGGCACAGATTGGATGGGAGTATCCTGTCCTGAACCAGCTCCTAGAGCAGACCCCCAGCTCCGGGTAGGCACAGGTGCCCAGACATGAGGGTCTGCATATGAGGGTGATGTTGTGTGGGTCCAGCTTTCCAGGGGAAGCAGAATTGGGGCCCAAGTTCATAAAGAATCCCACCCCCACACCAGTGCCCAGGGTGGGGATGCAGGCCAAGGGGCTGACCACGGGTGCTGGGAGAGTTCCTCCATGCTGAATTTTCAGCCTTTGTTTGGATAGACAGTTATATGAAAATGGCAGATGTCTGTGTGATGGTCCCTTAACTGTGAAGGTCAGAGGTGGTGAACTCACAGAAAGAAACCCAAAATTCTGTGTTTTAGGATGGGAATGGTTAATATTCCTCCTCCTAACCCAACCATGTTATGGCCTGGAGGGCATATTTAAACATTATTCTGTGCCATTTTCTGCACTGATTGGAGTCTGCATTTCTCCCGAAGAATGTCAATATTATGCCCCCAAATTAGACACTCACTCATAGCAGCATCCATAAAGATAAAGTTTTGAACTCAACACTGGATAGTCATTTCCAAACCAGCATTGTTATACATTATTTAAAGAAAGTCTTTGCACTCCCATTAGGCTGCTCAGGCAGCCATAACAAAGTCCCACATATGGGAATGCTTAAACAGCAACAATTGTTCTTACAGTTCTAGAAGCTAGAGGTCTGAGATCAAGGTGTCAGCAGGGATGGTGCCTCCTGAGGCCTCTCTCCTGGGCTTGTAGATGGTGTCTTCTCCCTGTATCCTCACAGGGTCATCTATCTGTGTGTGTCTGTGTCCTCATCTCCTCTTCTTATAAGGACACCAGTCCTATTGGATTAGGGCCCACCCATGTGACCTCATTTTACTTTAATTTACTCCTTAATGACCCATCTCCAAATACAATCACATTCCAGGTACTGGGTGTTAGGATTTCAACATAAGAGTTTTGGGGTAGGTGTGGCACAATTCAGTCTGTAACATTTCTTTTATATAATGCAATTGTAAATATCAGATTAATTTTCAGGTAAAGCTTGTTGATGGTTGCTTCAAATCTGCCTTTCTTTTAAAAATATCTGTTGTGAATATTCAAAGGAAAACCTTCCTTCATTAGAAATGAAGGGACACACCTGTAATCCCAGCACTTTGGGAGGCCAGGGCAGAAGATCGCTGAGCTGAAAAGTTAAAGGCCAGCATGGGAAACATAGGGAAACCCAATCAATACAAAAAAAACTTAAAAATTAGCGGGGCGTGGTGGCAAACACCTACAGTCCCAGCTACTCAGGAGACTGACGCAGGAGCATCACTTGAGCCCAGGAGTTCAAGGCTGCAGTGAGCTATGATTGTGCCACTATACTCCAGCCTGGGCATCAGAGCAATACTCCATCAATAAATAAATAAATAAATACAGAAATAGACCCCATCTCTAAATAAATAAATGCATACATAAGTGAATGAATGAAATGAAGGAACAATCTGAGGAAAGAACAATATTCATCTCAATGGGATCTTGAGCTCCGAGTAAACCTAGGATTTTCTTCCATCCTTTAAATGTATGACTTTTTTTCGTATAATTTCCTTTTTGTTGTGTTAATATAAGTATATGGTAACATGAAGTGACTAAGTAATATGTATTCATTTCTTCCCAATGACAGTGGTATGAGTTTTGAGAATAATATTGGTCTATTTATCAATTTTGAACTTTTTTTCCCTACCCATTACACTATACCACTGGGAAGAATCCCTGTTCTTTTTAAACCTTTTAGTTTGTTTATGTTGGTCAAATGCTACAAGCAAGAGGTATCAAAACTAATGTCTTTCTGTAATTTCTCAGAAATCTACACACTTCACCTAATTTTAATTATTTTTAAAGACTATATTAAGCATCATGAAAATGAAAAGAACCCCCTATGTGTTCACTGCTGGGGGCTCTGAGGGTGATTTATACAACAAATTGGAATCCTCTGTCGTGTATCGCCAGCCTAAGTCACATAGCCCAGATGGATGCTCCCTAATATTTCATGTAAATATCTGCTAGGCTCACCTGGGCCAAATGTCTGCTGCACTCATCTGGGCCAACATTTTGCGAACTCCCAGCTCCTCATCCTCATTAATAGCATTTTTGCATACTCTGTCCTTATATAGCATTAAAACTGCCATCATTAGACTGGTAAAATTTTCTGTGCCTTATACCTGTGACTTTTTGGATTTGAGTAGATTGGACATTCCCTTCAGTGCTCCCCTCACCCCATGAGATTCACTGGAAAGAAACAAAAAGGAATGAATTTGAAAGAAGGAATTTATCTTTTCTTTTCAAATGGTAGTATAAATATATTTTTGTCTGATTTCCTTTATGAAACCAATCCAAAGCAAACAAGAGAAGAAGAAACAAACAAATGTTATCTTGGATGAAGCTACAGATCCCCTATAACACTGGATTACAGTAGATGCAGGAAGAAAGCCAAGTGTATGAGAAGTGGATGGAGGTATTTGGGAACTCCAAGAGAAGGTATCTTTCTATGTCTGACTCAGGCAGAGTGGACCCAGCTCATAGTTATCCAAAGTGGATGGGTGGCACACATTGAAAGGAAATGTGTCTATCCCATGCTTAGAAAGTTAAGATCAAGGTTCATGGCCTGGTTTTGGAAGCCTACATCATGTTTCAATCATGGCATAGGATAGAAGGAAGAGTCAATAAGATAAAAGCTACCTGGCCGTCTTTGCCCAAAGCTGCCTGGTGAAGATAAGTCAAGGTAAAATAATCACATTAAAATGTTCTGTAAAATGCACAGCCTCCTTGTGAGCCTGGAAGATATCCTGCTATGCTAGAACAGATAACCCACAGGCCAAGTCCAGCTGAGAAACATCCTAGAGATAACAGACTGAAACCCAATCTTCCCACTTGTTTGGCACATTCTTCTTCCCCTTTCCCCAGAACTTTGCCCAAAATTCTAGTCCAAAAAGATGAGGAACAATGCTACTTAAAAAGGGTGGAGCCAGCCGGGGGCCTTATAATGATGCTGAAATGAAAAAAGAAGAACAGAACATGATTTATGAAGATGAGAAACGGAAAGATTATATACCACAACGCAGCCAAAAACCATGAACAAGGTTATTTCTAAGGAATCAATTAAAGACAATATTGTTTCTCTGAAATGAGAATTTAAAGAAGCAATATAAGGCTTTAAGGAAGAACTGATAATACATTAGGTTATATGGGAATGAAAAGTGAGTGGATAAAGCCTCAGAAATAAATTAGTAATAAATGAGAATGAAAAAGGAGTATACAGAGTCTTAGAAACAATTAGAAACAAATGAGAATAAAAACGGAATAGGCAGAGCCTCAGAATCTCAGAGAGAGAGAGACACACAAAAAGAGACCAAAATCAAAGGTCATGATAGAAGCAGCAAAAGGGAGATGAGACACCACTGAAGGAATTCGAAGGATGGTTTTGAGAAGAAAAAATGAGCATGTGAGATGGAAAAGAACGAAAAGTAAAAGATGGAAGACAGAGATAGAGAAAAAGAGGGGGATGGGAGGGAGTGGTAGGGAAGAGATCAAATATCATTAACACTAAATGCCTTGCATGGGTTAAAAAATGAATGGAACATGAAAACAAATTTTCAAAGATACAATTCAAGGTGAAATTCCTGAAATACAGTGAAATTTGAATCTGCAGACAGAAATAGCCCAAGAATTACAAGGCTGTGTTTATATTGAATAATTAACAAATACCCCAATAAATTCCTGGTATTTGAAGTTATGGAAAGAATTCTGTGGATATTCAGAAAAAAAAAAAAACCTAGGAGACTAAGATTTCTTTATGGGACACATGAAATGCTAGAAGACAGTGGGGCAAGATATAAAAAGTCCTGTCCCTTTTGTGTTGCTATAAAGAATACCCGAGGCTGGATAATTTATAAAGGCAAAGGGATGATTTGGCTTATGATTCTGGTGGCTGGAAAGTTCAAAATTGGGCATCTTCGTCTGGTGATGGCCACAGTCTGCTCCCACTCATGGCAGAAGAGAAGGGGAAGCCAGCATGTGCAGAGATTACATGAGCGAGGAAGCAAGAGAGAAACCGGGGAGGTGGCCCGCTCTTTTAACAACCAGGTCTTGCAGGAACTAATAGAGGAAGAATTCATTCACCATCAGGAGAGGACATTAATCTATTCAATGGGGGGGATCTGTCCCCATGACCCAAACACCTTGTATTAGGCCCAGCCTCCAATATTGGGGACTAAATTTCAACATGAGCTTTGGAAGGGTCAAATATCCTAACCTTAACAGTCATCAGGGAAAGAAAATGTGCCCCAAGAATGCAACCAAACAAACTTCCATAAACTTCAAAGGCTACAAATAGCTATGTACAAACATACAACTCAGGAAATACATATTCATGAAGAAAACAAATGAGTAAAAGTTGGATCCTCAGCAACTGAGAGGAGCTGTGTCTAAAAGATTTCTTGTAATCTTTAAGGATGTATTATGGTTAAATCTGTGCAAATTATGGTCACAGAGAAGTAAACAAATACCATCAACTGTGACAATGTACAGATAATGTAAGTAACCAATTAAAAATAAAATAGCAAGTGCAGTTTGAACTGAAATTGACATCAAGGGGACACTGATTTTCTCATTTTTAGTTCCAAGATTCCAATATACGTTGTTTTAAAACTTGTATCAGGCAAAACTGCACGTACAGCATGTGTATTCATTTCAGAAAAATAATTGCATAAGTGGTTAATGACACCAGGAAACCTAATTTTTGCAGACTATATATATATTACCTCAAAATAAGAATATTATAGCATTATATTCATTTTAAGAATATTTAGTAGTAAACCTATATGTATCTTATAAAAAGTTATAGTCTATTTTGTTCCAATACAATAAAAATTATTGATATTAAGCAACTTCTATAGAGAAGGTGAGTAGTTTTCAACTGTGAGTCTGTTTTGTCTTAAGGAAGTTAATATCCCTTAACCCAAACTTCCAAAATAGTGTTCAAGGAACAGGAATGTTATTCTTAAGTTGAAAATACTTCACCCATACACATAATCTAGTTGTATCCAAAAAGAGATTGTGGTATTTTGATACCTAATAATTTCTTTATTAAAAAAGAATTTATCCCCTAATAAAATTAAAAATAACTCTCTATGAAGATAGAGAACTAGATCTGCTGATGTTAAAAATGAAAAACTCAGTTGGATGTTGCAGGTTTTCATGAGCAGCAGAGTGTCAGACCATTGGACATGAGCTGTTTCACTTTGCATTTCATAGCCCTGAGTCCAGAAACTTGATTTTGAAGATTAGAAAAAGTGGGGAGCAGAGGGCGGTATGGGCCAGTCATGTAAATGTTGCAGTTCTGCATAGATAGATTATTAGATAGATACACAATAGATAGATCCTAGATGCATAATTATGATGATGAAGATAGATAGATACATACATATATACATACATACGTAGATGCATGGATGGACAGATTTGTTTTTGTAAAAATTAAAATTATAAGAAACATCCACAAGACTCTACAATAATTATTAGAACTAAATCTCTAAGAGATGTATGTCTTGACATTCCAGGCCAGAAATGATATTTTTCTTCTTTTTTAAATACCTTTCCTAGAAAGAGTTGAATGATGAATACTTCTTGAGGATACTGTTGAAAAAAATCGGCCGGGTGCAGTGGCTCACACGTGTAATCCCAGCACTTTGGGAGGCCGAGGCGGGCGGATCACGAGGTCAGCAGATCGAGACCATCCTGGCTAAAATGGTGAAACCCTGTCTCTACTAAAAATACAAAAAATTAGCCAGGCGTGGTGGCAGGCGCCTATAGTCCCAGCTACTCGGGAAGCTGAGTCAGGAGAATGGCGTGAATCCGGGAGGCAGAGCTTGCAGTGAGCCAAGATTGCACCACTGCACTCCAGCCTGGGCGACAGAGCGAGATTCCATCTCAAAAAAAAAAACAAAACAACAACAAAAAAAAAAAAACAAAAAAAGAAACAAAAAAAAGAAAAAATTCTCCACATAGAAGTTTGAACTTTTCATGTAAAAAAAGTACATGTGTGAATCCAGAAAGCACATTTGTGTTACTCAGTATCACCACTTATATCAGTTGGGATGGTTCAACTTCAAGTTACATAATACCTGAGTCAGATTGGCTGAATCAACATGGACATGGCTGTCTCAAGTTAAGGAAAGGTCCAAGGTAGGGCTGGTGCCCTGCTTTGTCTTGTCCCATCCATACCCTTTATTCCAAATATCTCTCTTCCACCCTA
Organism: Homo sapiens; assembly: GCF_000001405.40. Lineage (NCBI taxonomy): Eukaryota > Metazoa > Chordata > Mammalia > Primates > Hominidae > Homo > Homo sapiens. Next base: position 42,978,481 of record NC_000019.10, on the reverse strand, counting down.
CCCTAACCCATAGCCAGCAAACTGTAATATGTCCTCAAATGTTTCTTAAAATATTCTTCTCAACTTCTGTCCTTAATTAAAACTAGGTTGTCCTCTGAGGACCCTGACTCTGTTCCTATCTGTCATTGCTTAGGGCTTAGGTGGGTCATAGACATGACTGCTGCTTCAGGACCATCTCCCTTCCTTTCACCTTGAAAAGTCCTGTCTCTTGACAAGTCATGCTATTCTGCTCTATTGGCATTCACCCCTCTCTCTTTGCTGTCTTCTATCAATCTGCTGGTCACACCCCAATACTTATTGACAATTGAAGCTCTGGGGTTCACATGATACTTTCCACCTCACTCTTAGCAGTACATTGGCTTGGTTCAGCATCCATGTTGATGCCCTCCCTCCACTCCAGTTGTTCTTCCCTGAGCTTTGTCATCACCACTTTTGGCACCCCCTTTAAAATCCCAATGTACCAATTCTCTCCAACCCCTAGACCATGAGCTCTAGGGAGCCAGGAACTATATGTTCCTTACATTCACCCAATCCACACCCCACACTCAGCCCCTGCCACATAGGACATGCTCAACAGATATTTGTTGAACAAATTAATGCCAAAATCAATTTTCCTGTCTTTTACAAATTCATTATTAAATGAAAACTTTAGACTTATTCTCAAGTTTCAGACAGAAAGTCTCTTTTTGGAGGTTGAGAAGATATTTATTTTTAATTAAGGCATAATTTACATTTAATAAAAATGCATAACTCTATTACTCAAGGTTCTCTAGATGGACAGAAGTAGTAGCATAGATGTATATATAAAGGGGAGTTTGTTAAGGAGCATTGACTCACATGATCACAAGGTGAGGTCCCACAATAAGTCATCTGCAAGCTGAGGATCCAGGAAGTCAGTCCAAGTCCCAAAGCCTCAAAACTAGGGAAGCCGACAGTGCAGGCTTCAGTCTGTGTTCAAAGGTCCGAGTCCCAAAGTTGAAGAACTTGGAGTCTGATTTTCGAGGGCAGGAAGCATCCAGCTGGGAGAAAGATGTAGGCCAGAAGACTAAGCCCATCTAGTCCTCTCACGTTCCTCTGCCTGCTTTTATCCTACCACGCTGGCAGCTGATTAGATGGTGCACACCCAAATTGAGGAAGGGGCTGCCTCTCCCAGTCCACTGACTCAAATATTAATCTCCTTTGACAATACCCTTGTAGACACACCCAGGAGCAATACTTATATCCTTTCAATCCAATCAAGTTGACACTCAATATTAACCATCACAATAACTTTTTGTGGTTTTTTAAAATTTTATTTTGAGTTGTAGAATCTTTTTATATATTCTGATGAGTTTACACAAATATATTCACCTGTGAAAACATCATCCGAATAAAAATATAGAATATTTCCATCACTCCAGAAAATTTCCTCATATCGCCAAACCACAAAACTTCAGGCAACTGCTGTTCTTATTACCATGACTTTCACGTTGTCTCTTCTAGAACTTTATATAAATGGAATCATGCAACATATTCTCTTTCGTATCTGGCCTATTTAACAACGTACTATTTCTGACATTTATATGTGTTTCCATTGCAGGTAACAATAGTTATTCCTTTTATTATCTGTTAGTATTATGTCATTATATGAATATGTAACAGTATGTTTATCCATTCATCCTTTGGTAAGCATTTGGGTTCTGCTCCGATTGAAGTTATCATGAATAACGCTACAATGAATATCTGTGTACAGGTCTTTGTGTGGATGAATATATGCTTTCATATCTCTTTGGTATATATCTATAAGTGGAATTGTTGAGCCATAGGGTAGTTATTAAAAGTGTTTGCACCATTTTATATTCTCACCTCAATACATGAGCATTCCAATTGCTCCACATCCTCAGCAAAACTTAGTACTGTCAGTCGTTTTAACTGTAGCCATTCTAATGGGTATGAGTATCTCATGGTTTTACTTTTTATTTCCTTGATAACTAATAATATTGAGCATCTTTTCCTGTGATTGCTAGCTATTTGCATTTCCTTTTTTGGGAGCCTTTTGTCCAAATAATTTGCTTATTTTCTATCTTTTTTTATTTTTTGCATGTGTTTTTGTTTTATTTTTGTCTTTTTATGTTGAGTTTTAGAATTCCTTTACATATTCTGAACAGAAACACTTGGTCTCAAAGTCAGTGAATTGCCTTTTCATCTATCTTGAAGAGCAGATGTATTTTTGATGAGCACAATTTATGATTTTTTAATGTTTAGTGCCAGGTATTTGTAGAAGGAGTCTTTGTCTAGCTTTGTTTTATTGTAAAAGCTTCACAATTTTAGATTTTACATTCAGATCAAATCTCAGTTAATCTTAATTTAATGCTTGTGCAGAGTATGGAGTAAGGGATCAAAGTTCATTTTTATCCATATAGGTATCCAGTTTTTCCAATTCCATGTGTTGAAAAAGACTATTCTTTTCCCATTGACTTGCATTGCCAGCTTTGTTTAAAATCCATGGACTGCGTAAGTGGCAGGCAGTTGTTTTTTTTAATATAACTGAGCCTTTAAAAAGGCCAATCTTTGTTAAAAGTTAAACAAAAGTTAAAAGTGATGATGACAAAGGCCTAACTGGCTGTCCTTGTGGCTTTAAAGCAGATGATGGAACAGTGGAGCGAGTTTAGCGTGGAAGGGTGAAGCAAACTTTAGGGACACTCATCATTACGTCTCAGGGGAAAGCTGAGACTTTATTTATACCCAGAGATATATGTCAGCCAATTCTGTTAAGGTTGCATTGCCTCTGATGTCAGTGTCTGAGCGTTACCTATTACATCTGTCAGAGACATTTGAACAAGAACAACTCCATCTTGAATAAAGGCTGGGTAAAATGAGGCTGAGACCCACTGGGTTGCATTCCCAGACACTTAAGGCGTTCTAAGTCACAGGATGAGACAGGAGGTCGGCACAATATACAGGTCATAAAGACCTTGCTGATAAAACAGGTTGCACAGAAGCCAGTGAAACTCCACCAAAGCCAAGATGACAACAAGAGTGACCTCTAGTCATCCTCACTACTACCTTCCCACCAGCGCCATGACAGTTTACAAATGCCATGGCAACATCAGGAAGTTACCCTATATGGACTAAAAAGGGGAGGTATGAATAATACACCCCTCGTTTAGCATATCATCAAGAAATAACCATAAAAATGGGTAAGCAGCAGCCCTCACGGCTGCTCTGTCTATGGAGTAGCCATTCTTTTATTCCTTTACTTTCTTCATAAACTTGCTTTCATTTTATGGACTCGACCTGAATTCTTTCTTGGTGAAATCCAAGAACCCTCTCTTGGGGTCTGGATCTGGACCACTTTCCTGTAACACATCCACCCTAATTATTTTATTTTTGGCAAAATAATGTTAGAGCCAGTAACGTCTGAGAGGCCAACGTTCCATGGCCTCTCGCATATGAGGAAGCGCAGTTTACAGAGGGACTGTCACCCGGTGTCACGTTGTCAGTGTGTGCCAGAGCCAGAACTGTGCCCAAGCTAGAGAGTGGCCTCCCCTCTCTTCAAGCATGTTCCAGAATGTGTGTTTTGCATACTGTTCATCCCACAAGATGGCCTGAGCAGGGGCTGTGCAGGTCTGGGATGCGGGGTGCCATGCCATTCTCCTGGAAATACTCTAAGCTTTTCAGCATGGTTAAGGATTTGAGAAGCTTCCAACACAGAACACTGTTTGATTTTGTTTAACTCAGCTTCCCCATTCTCATTTCATCACAGAAGCCTTTTATCAAGTAGCTTGCATTAACTTGCTTCAAAACATTCCCCAAGAGATGTGGGTCTAGCACACCATGGGGCAGGTCATGTTAGTTTTGTCGTTATCCTTGTCATCTGGATGGCAAACATTTACATGGGCTATCAATACTAGGTTGTGTCGGCCGCCATCAATCTAAAACCCCTGGTAGGTCTTGGTATTTCCTAAAGATGATTTACTTAGATTCCTATAGCAGAGTAAAATGAGAAGGAAAGATAGAAATAGCCAGTGTTTTGGTGAGGACAGACATAATGATTTTTTAAAAATACACCTGATTCTGCATTCTGAATCCTCCAGCCTCCTCAGCATGGGGATGGAGAATTGGAATGGGGCAAGACACACACATGCACACACACACACACACACACACACACAAGCAGACACACACCCACAGAAATAGTCCTCTGAGGATTCATTTAAGATTGGCTTAGAAGAGCTTCAGAAAAAAAAGTCAACCTTTCTGAAACTCTCAATGCCTCAAAATTAATCTTTGTTGAAATAACATTTTCAAGACCCTTTTTAGGAGCCTGCTCCCAGTCTCCAACATCCCTCCAGCCAATGAGTGTTGGGTAAAGTGAATGAGATCAAATTGCCAGTTAAGAATCTAAATGAAGGCTATTGATTTACTCCATGGCAATGAACAGATTATCCCCAGAAGGTGGACTGTGAAATGCTTCACTGAATTCCACAAATAAATAAGGGAATTTCTCCTCACCACTGTAATCCCTCAAGTGCCAGTGTCTGCAGGGATATTTTTGTTTACAGCATACTAAATGAAAATCTATCAGGAGACTGAAATAGGCACTAATAAGTGAGCATTTCTCACCTCTATCACCTTGGGCTTGGGGAATGCCCTTGATACGTTCGATTCCTCCCCTTACATGGGGTTTGCCTGGGAAGTCTCTATTACTTAAATTGTATCTTTTCCATATGTCGTTATTTAAGCGACCACTTTCCTCAAAACAAAGACTGAGAACCACCATTAGAACTCTGCTGTTATGAGCTGAGTCGAGGCCCCCTCACCCAATCCATCCATGGAAGTCCTAGCCCCCAAGACCTCAGAATGTGACTGTATTTGTAGGTAGGGCCTTTAAAGAAGTGATTAAGGCAAAGGAGTCCAATCTTTTGGCTTCCCTGGGCCACAATGGAAGAAGAAGAATTGTTGTGGGCCAAACATAAAATACACTAACAATAGCTGATGAGCGAAAAAACAGGTCCGTGTATAAATCTCATGTTTTAAAAAAGTACGTATTTGTGTTGGGCAACATTCAAAGCTGTCCTGGGCTGCATGTGGCCCTAGGGCTGCAGAATGGACAAGATTGGATTAAGGTAAAACGAGGTCACTAGAGTGGGCCCTAATCCAACAGGACTGGTGTCCTTATAAGAAGAGGAGATGAGGACATAGACCTACACAGAGAGGAACCACCATGGGAGAACACAGGGAGAAGACAGCATCTCCAAGCCCAGGAGAGAGGCCTCAGGAGGAACCAGCCCCGCTCACACCTTGTCTCAGATTTCCAGCCTCCAGGACTGCGAGAGAATCAATGTCTGTGGTAAGCAGCCCCTTTAAGGAAAGCCTTATTTCCTGGCTCAACATGGTGGCATCCCATTCAAATGGAAACCATCTTCTATATCCAGAGAAGCTCTAAAAAATAATTCCATTGTTTCTCCAGTGTCTCGAATAGGCACACACTAGAACCTCTTAAGCTCATATTCCCCCAACTGGTCTCCTCATTATCTCTCCAGCATGTCAGACGTCCACAAACCCTCCTTCCTCCTCACTTGCCCCAATCTCCCTTTCTCTCTCTCTCTCTCATTCTTCCTGCATCCTCCTTCCAGTACTATTCCTTTTTTTTCCCCTAAGATAAATTCCTGGATCTTTAAAAAAAATTCTCCCAATCTTTCCTAAATTTTTCATGTTACATCTGAACTCATTATCATTGCAGAGGCCAAGGTAAAACCTTCCTTTTTGCTCTGAAGTTTTGCTGGAAAATAAACTCATGAAAGGCAAAATTAATTGGAGAAAAGTCAAACAAATATACTCTCCTGAACACAGGGAGCATCGTAGGGTAACTCATAGGGTGATTACCCAACCCCATGCCCCGGATGGAGTGCAGAAGATTTCACACCATCTTGAGGTTGAAGAATGGAGGCTCGCATTGTGGCAACACAGGCTATGGGAGAAAGAGAAGAAGAGGCCAAGCTAGCCGAGGTGGTCTTGTCATATAGATGAAACCTCCCGGGTAGCAGGCCTCAGAGAGAATAGATGGCGAATGTTTCTTTCAGACCTTTAAAGATGTCAGACTCTCTGTCCATCTTTCCTACAGTAGGACGAGGGAGGATGGCCTCTGAGAAAGCCTGGCTGCATCCGTGCAGAATTTATCTGCAGATGCAAATCGCCCCATACAAGACAGCTTTGCAGGGCCCCTCCTGTTTGCTGGCTTTCTGAACAGCCATCTCAAACTATATCATAGAAATACATTTTGAAGTAAAAGAGTTTTATTTTCTTCATCCTGATAAACATAACAGCTGCCTCCTAAATTGACCAGGTGGATATGTTACAGGAAAGGGGTCCCGATCCAGACCCCAAGAGAGGGTTCTTAGGTCTTGGGCAAGAAAATTCAGGGCAAGTCCACAGTGCAAAGTGAAAGCAAGTTTATTAAAAGAGTAAAGTGGTGAAAGTACAGCGACTCCATAGACAGAGTAGGGCATTCCAGAAAGTAAGAGAAGGAACACACCAACCCCTAGGTACAGTGCTTGTTTATATAGAGAATTTAAAAAGATCATGGGGAGATGTGCTCTGCTACAAGGGTTTGTGATAAAGGATTAATTTTTTAAATTACTATATTTTTCAAGAATCAACGTTATTATCTTTAAAGCAAAATTAGGAATGCTTCTGTTCTCAAGATATCGGGATATCAGGACACTCCCAATTCTGGGTCTGTTTAGTGAATGTTATCAATCTATTCCCTTAACTGTAAACATCTAGAGGCTAGGAACACCTAACTTTCTGGGAATGCCGACCAGCAAGTTCAAGCCTCGTTTTCCTAGCCCTCACTCAAGATGGAGCCACTCTGGTTCAAATGCCTCTGACAGATACAACATCCTTCTTGGAAAGGGAGGGAGGAAGGAAGGCCATGGAGAACCAGCAAGTTAGCATTCATTAGCATTTTTGCATTTATCAATAAATACAATCTCAAAGGAGACCACACTCTCATTGTGTTCCATGGGAATCAACCACATCGCCATTGCAGAAATGAAAAACACGTGACCTGATCTATAAACAATGAATTTTTGTTTTCTTTAGCTTTTTGCAACAGTTGGTTTTCTCCAAAATGCATTAAGATATCAAAACGTCGTTCATTCAACTCCTCGAATTTTTCTTTGATTTAGACCCAATACACCAAAGGTGTGCTGGTCATGAGAGACATTCGGGATTATGAGTAAAATTACAATCATATATTATTTTCCTTATTTATAATTGTGTTTGCTTGGTGACGACCAAAAGATAAAATGAATAGTTCTTTTACAGGAAAGGGGTCCAGATCCAGACCCCAAGAGAGGGTTCTTGGATCTCACCAAGAAAGAATTCAGGTCGAGTCCATAAAGTGAAAGCAAGTTTATTAAGAAAGCAAAGGAATAAAAGAATGGCTACTCCATAGACAGAGGAGCCCCAAGGGCTGCTGCTTGCCCATTTTATGGTTATTTCCTGACAATATGCTAAACAAGGGGTGGATTATTCATGCCTCCCCTTTTTAGACCATATAAGGTAACTTTCTGACGTTGCCACGGCATTTGTAAACTGTCATGGTGCTGGTGAGAGTGTAGCAATGAGGACCCCCAGAGGTCACTCTTGTGGCCATCTTGGTTTTGGTGGGTTTTAGCCAGCTTCTTTACTGCAAACTGTTTTATCAGCAAGGTCTTTATGACCTGTATCTTGTGCCGATCTCCTATCTCATCCTGTGACTTAGAAGGCCTTAACTGTCTGGGAATGCAGCGCAGTAGGTCTCAGCCTCATTTTACCCTGCTCCTATTCAAGATGCAGTTGCTCTGGTTCAAACACCTCTGACAATTCCACATGGGCTTATGTTACTTCTGTTTTGGGGGAAAACATTGGGTGGGTTTGTACCACTCATCAGGCTTTGGTGTGTATGCCGGTTGGCATGAGTAAAGTAGATCATATATAACATCCAATTCTAGGAAGAACTCTGAGAAATCTCAGCTGCTAGGAGAAAAGAAAGACTTGTTTTTTCTGCTGATGCACAGCAGGTAAAATGAAATCTATTCTCACTTCCCACAGTCCTACCAGCAAAAGCTGTTTTAACAGCAGGAAAACTGAAAGCAACATTGCAACTGGAACATAGAACCAAGAACTTGCAATTTGCTCTGTCCCATTCCCCATTGCAATGGGATGTGTGGCCTGAGAAGAGAAGTTTGACAATAAATAATATCTCAGGATGCTGCTGTCATGAGCTGTGAAATACACAGACTTTATGGTCATAACAGCCTTTAAAGCAAGGACCTTTGTTTATTCACCGGTTCCCTCACCCTTCCTGAAATAGAGTGAATAGAAGGGCCTTTGAGGGGACCTAAAGAATGTGGTGCATTCGATATGTTTAATTGCAGAAAAAATGCTCTCCTGGCTACTCAGAAACTAACAACATCTATGCAACAATATAACATGAAAATGTGTAAGTGCAATGCCTTAGGCTTCGACTCTGTGTGCAGTGGCAGCTAATAGTGGAGGGTTTCGGCCAGTGGGGTGAAGCTCTGTGACTTTTCTTCAAAAAGAATGTTTGCTGTAAGGTCAAGTCAAGAGCCAGGTTATCAATTAGGGGGTCATTGCAGAAGTTGAAGCGCAAGGTGATGGTGCATGGGACCACAGCCATACCACGGCAGGTGGTGGAAAGTACTGGATTCTCACAGATGGATCTTGTACATGGAAACAATATCCTGGACCCCTGTGGAACTGGAGTCTCAAGGTCTGGGGTTGTGACCAGCTAAACACCACGTCTTTGCTTGCATGAGAATTATTCCCAACATTGGCTCCAGTGTTCCTCTGCCCACAGTCTTGACCTCCCCACTGTCCAGCACCCAAAAAGATACTTCCTTCCAGTGCTCCATGAGCAGAGAAAAGACCCTTCTTACCCCTGCTCTCATCTTAATCACAGCATCCTGGCCTCCGTGGCATTAGGGTCACTGAACCTCGTGTGGGCTGGAGGTCATGGGGAAAGGTATAGACCACTCTCTAATACTGTATGAATCCTGAAGTTCAGGAAGGGTCTCAGATCTGCATATGATAAATGCGGATCCCATTATTGAAATGGGTGGGGTCGGGAGGACTTTATCTTATGCTACTCAATCTCTTTTCCTGTCCCTACCCAACAAAGGTGTATGACAGGTCTATGGGTGAGAGCATTCCCAAGTGGCCCATGTGGAAGTCACAGTTTGATAGTTAAAAAATAGAGATTCTTATATGAACTTCCCCCATGACCTGAATACTGGTTCTAGGTCTAAGGCTCAGAAAGCAGTACCCCAAAATCAAAGCCTCAGAAGTTCACCACACCTTAAACTCCTGGCCTCAAGCAATCCTCCCGCCTCAGCCTCTCAAGTAGTTAGGACTGCAGGTTCATGCCACATACCAGGCTATTTTTTCAAAATTTTTTGCAGAGATGGAGTCTTGAAATGTTACCCAGGCTGGTCTGGAACTCCTGAGCTCAAGGAATCCTTCTGAAAGAGCCTCAGAAGCAAAACTTTCTCTCTGAGCTTCTTCTGCCTTCCTGTCTCTGAGTCCCATTCTCCCTGGAGGCACCTTAGAAACTAGAATCCCTCTTCCCCATGACGGGTCCTAGAAACCAGAACCCCTTTTCCCCAAAGCCATAAAACCTAAAAATCGGACTCTAAATTTCCCTCTACCTTTCTGTGTAAAAACTGGCCATACAGAAATTATCTGGGTTGGGTGTGGTGGCTCAAATCTGTAATTTCAACACTTTGGGAGGCAAAGGCAGGAGGATTGCTTGAGCCCAGGAGTTTAAGACCATCCTGGGTAATACTGCAAGACTCCATCTCTGCAAAAATTTTTAAAAATTAGTCTGGTATGTTGGCACACACCTGTAGTCATACCTACTTCAGAGGCTGAGACTGGCAGATTGCTTGAGTCCAGGAATTTGAGGCTGTGGTGAACCATGGATCAGGCCACTGCACTTCACCCTGGGTGACAGAATCAGACCCTGCCTCTTGAAAAGAGAAAACAAAAGAAGAAATGACCTGACCTACTTTGTTTGACTGTAGATCCTAAGACCCCCTTTCCAGAAAGTTGGTTATTCATTGGTCCTCTCACCCTTCCTGAAATAGAGTGAATAGAGGGGACTTTGAAGGGACCTAAGGAATATGGTGAATTTTTCCCACACCCAGAAGGAAGAAGCACTGCTCAGAGAGGCCAAGAAGAATCCAACCCTATTTCTACATGGCTGTCCATACTTTGTTGAACCTAGGCATAAAAATGGACGGTTTCCTCTGTATCTTTGGGTCTTCATTCTAAAGGCTCTCATGTCATATACAACTGTGATCAAATAAATATTTAAGCTTTTTCTCCTGTGAATCTTCCTTTTGTCAGTTGGTTATCAGCAAACCTTCAGAGGGTGAAGGGGAAGCTTTCCCTTGGCCCATATACAGACAAGAATTTTGAATGCCTTATTTAATTTTTGCTTTCTCAGTACTAAGCAGAGTAAGAGTGAATTCCATATATTCTGTGTCATCCCAGAGAACAGAAACAAGACCAGGGAGTGAGTAAAAGTTATCCAAAGACAGATTTTGATTTCATATTAGAAAACACTATAAACACTATTAGAAAGTGATGTTAGTTATTATTGCAGTGTTGCAATTTGTTGAATCTTGACTTCCGGTTCCTGGCCATATTCTAACCTAACTAAAGGCTCCAGGTTGTGTTAAATGCCTTGAGGTTGCCTAAAATACTCCTCTGTTGTGCTTCATCCTGTTTCTAGAATTTTCTAGATAAGATTAATCTCTAATTTTTTGGCTGTCTTCCACACTAGTTTTCATCGTTTTAGGGACAGAGATTAATAATGTCTGACTCATCTTTGTATTTCCAGCATCTAATACAGTTTTGAATACATAAAGTTACTGAAAATATAACCCTTGAATTAGGAACTGAGGAGTGGTGGAGGTAATTGTATTGACTGAGAGATAGTATTCGATTCATTTTAAAATCCTGCTACATTTGAAGATTCACCAAGTCTGCCCCTACCAAAAGATTCTATTACTCATTCATCATTACCAAATTAGATGCTACGAATTGGCACCCTATTAGATTGAGTGCATTCACTCCTACTTTCCAACCTCCAAATTCTGGGTTCATGTTGTGACCACACATTCATGAAATTGATATGGACAGGAGACAGGGAAATACTGGGTAAAGAAGGTAGTTCCCCAGCAAAGGCCCCACCCTCAAGCCTGGAGACCCGTGGCCCTAAGTGGGAAAAGTTGCCTTCTTGCCTGCCATGTCCCTCTATCCTGTACCCATATAAACCCCAAACCCCAGGCTCCAGAAGCAGATGAGGAGATGAGGAGACAAGCAGACAAACAACAGATGACACAGCAGAGAAAGAGAGAAGGGAAGGAACGTGTGAATGCCAGGAGTTAAACTGGGGGTGGTCAGAGGGGAGTTTGGCTGCTGGATGACCAAACTCCAGGGGAAGATCATCTTCTCACTCCATTCCCCCTTCCAGCTCCCCATCCATCCTGCTGAGAGCCACCTCCACCATTCAATAAAATCCCACATTCATCCTTCAAGCCTGTGTGTGTGACCCGATTCTTCTAGAACACTGGGCAAAAGCTGGGAATACAGAAAGCTGTCACACTGGCCCTCTGCCCTTGTGAAAAGGCAGAGGGTCTATTGAGCCGGTTAACACTTAAGCCATTTGCAGACAGCAAGACTAAAGAGACTTGGGCTGCAGGAACACCCTCTCCCCAGACACTACTGCCAGGCTGGAGCCCAAAGCACTCACTCCAGCCCCTGCACCTGCCCATCTGTGTGCTCCATCTCCCATCAGGGGTTTGAGCAACCAAGCGGGCGAGCCACACGCCTGTTGCACATCATGTGAGATGGATCAGGGAACTCTCCTCCTTCAAAATGGCTAGTGGTAGATATGGAGTATAGATTACAGCTTACATACCAGGGCCAGCACTCTGTTTTAATCACTTTTAGCTCACCGGAGACACTCAGCAAAGCTGACAAAACACAACTTATTCCCATGACAAGAGATCCCCCAAATCAGTATTCCCAAATTACCACATTTGCTGCAGAATCATAGCATGGAAAACCAGCCTATGCTTGCTATTCTAATTATTTTTCTTCTAATTTCATCTCTGGTTGTTGGTCTATTCCCTTGAAGTTGATATTGGATTGATTAGATCCCAGATTCTAGGAGTAGAACTTTTTAAAAAGTCACTCAATTTTATTCCCTGGAAAACCAGTCCAAATCTCAGTCATCATTTTTCAGGACCACTGAATGACATGTGTGATTTTCTATGCCAAGTCTCACCAAAAAAAGGAAGCTTTTGTTAGCACTGGGTCAGAGCATTCACTGTGGTATTATTTTTAACTTCCTGTACCTAGACACATCTTGAAAACTAATCAGGAGTAAGCCTTTTGAATTCTACTTTTATTTTATTCTTTCAGCATTTAATGGAATTAGTCACTGAATTCTATATCCTCTTGATAAATCAGTCTCCAATTACAGAAATGAAGAAAAAAATTAAGAGTGAACTTAATGCTACTCACATAGGGAGGAAATTACACCCCCCCCACTACCATCAGACACTTCTATTTTATTCTCACAAATGATCTTTCTCCATATTGCTGAATGGACAATACTTTTAACAGAAGAAAATGCCTTTGAGATCAACAGAGGACATTACGTTTCTGATGAGTTAGGAGCAGGACTCCTGTAGAATAACTCTATACATCCAGGGCAACCCATTTGCAGAGAGAATTCAAGAGAGTTCCACGGTGCACTCAGGTCTGAGTGGCATCGTCTCGAGCCAACCTGTAACGTGTGCACCATCGACTTTGCACGTTGGCACATACACGTAGTCCACTCACTGTTGTGCTTCTGCAGGTTTAAAGTCCTCTCAGTGAGAGAATGAGAGGATCCCTTTTCTTCCTAATCTAATCCCTTCCCATCACCCACCCTGCCTTGCTGGGATCAGCAGCTACTCTAACCATGACTCTGCCAAGCGGAATGAATACCTTTCATCTGAATGTGCGGTAGTGACTCTCTCAGCAAAGCACTATCTGTATCCTTGTGGAGCCAAGGGGATCTTTGTAAAGAGAGAGCTATCAGGAACATGTGTCCAGGGGCTAAAGATTTGAGGCTTTAGAGGAGAAATGCTTATTAGTTTCCAAAGATAAAACCTCAGCAGCTTGCTAATAATCTTTATGTGGCACCTAAGTGCCAAAAGCTCAAAGCTTTTTTCTCCTATAATCATATAACTGGGCTGGCATCCAAACATGTCTCCAGAATGGCTCAGGGGTATCTATTATCCCCATTTTCTCACAAAGGAAACCAAGATAAAAGGTTTAAATGGTTTTGCCCAGAGGGACAGAGAAGACATTGGAAGTAGGGTCAGAAATAGAAGAGAATCACTCAATTTTTACTCTGATGGTGTTATACAACTCTCTGAAATAAATAAATGCTTTGATGTGCATATTTATATACACAAATCATACACACTTCTATTCTCCAACTGATACAGTTTCTTGATCTTGTAGTATTTCTTTCAAAACATAAATTATCTCAATGAAAATACCTTAATGCTAGTGCAAATGCTAACCTTGATATGAGCCACAGGTTCATAAATCAGACCATAGCAATCAAGTCTTTTCTATGGATGTTGTTTCCAGAAGGTAGGTGCCTACTCAGTTTCTTTTGAACTTATGTTTAGTTCTTGAGCCCTTGAAGGATCCAAGAAATTGCTCTAGAGGATGTTAAAGTGAACATGCTCTGACGAGGAAAGCTATGGATAGAAACCAAGGTGGGAGAGCAATGTATAAATGCTACCGGGCAGTTGCAGGGGTGCTGCCTGCTCCCCACACCCTTTCTGCCCCAGGCATTTTCTTGTCTTCATGCTGATAGAAAGTCCCCTGGTAATGGCATGAGCATGGTGATGTGCATAAGTAAATGGCTGGTGACTGGAGGAAAGAATGGCAAACAAGCTATGCTTTCATGAGGGAAGGAAGGAGGGAGGGAGAGAGGGAGGGAGTGAGGGAGGGAGAAAAGGAGGAGAGAAGGCAGGAAATGACAGAGTCAGCATACAGTACAATGTTGGGTATTTTCCACTACCAGACACAGTGTACAAATTCTGTTTGTCATCCTGCACCCTCTGTTACTATCTTAAATCTCTAAACGAAATCCAGAACCAAGTGGGCTACTTCCTAACTGATAACCATGATTTCATGGAGAGAAGATTCTGTTGTTTTGCAAGCAACAAAACTGGTGGGAAGTAACGATATCGGAAGATAGCTAGGCAGTTCATCTCACTATCATGAGGACGTCCTCATTGTCTGCAATTGGCCTTGTCTCTCATGGGTTCTTAAAAACAAGAGGCAGAAAGGTACTCGATATCTCTACAATTCAGTTAATTAATAATCATGGTAGCAATCAAATCCAAAGGGCACATTTGCCCAATCATTATCAACCCGAGAAGTTTCTAATGAAGAGCCTTTAGAACCTGGGTTGAAAATAGTAATTGATAGCTGAATGGCCAAGGCTTGGCACTGGTTTTGTTGAAGACATTTAATCAGATCCGACTCCAGGTTCTCTGTCATAACAGTGCTCACCCTGTTGGATTGTGCTGTGCTGTATTGAATAAAGGAAAGGGTCAGAGTGAGAAACTGTCATCCTGTACCCATGGGGGGATGTCAGGAAGGCTGGGCTGGGCACATTGCTGAGGACAGTGGGCTTCAGTCTTGGTTGCACGTTAAATGAGCCTGGGGAGATTCCAAACATCCTGATGTCCAGATCTCACCCCATAGCATTACATCAGAATCTTGGTGGGTGGGATTCAGCATGGGTATCTTTCAAAGTTCCCCAGGCAGTTCTGGTGGGTGGCTAAGTTTGAGAAACACTGCTGCAAGGACTTTACTCTGCTCTTTGTCTCTATGGGCATCTTTTGGATGCAGATTTATGGACATTGAATCACATGAGTCAAAAACTGTGTCTCCCATAAGAGGCTCTGCACATCTGCTGACAGACCAGTGTATCACGTTTAAGACTTTTAAAGGGGCTGTTCATAACAATCTGCCCTTGGATTCAGAACCCTTGGTGCAGCATCCGCAGTGGTGCAGTGTCCATAGTGAATGCGTAACATGGTGTGTGGCCAAGATGGTAGAGAGTCTTGGAAATCAAGCCCCGTGAAGAATGGATGAAGATGCGGAGAGTCTTGGGCTCTAGGGACAGAAGATTTGGGTAGAATGACTGTTCCAGGATATTGAAGTGATGCTTCATGAAACAGGGATGGATTAGCCTTCTCCTACACTAGATGTGAGCAATTTGAGGTATTTTCTGATTGCTCTAAAAGTGCCAGTGGGTCCTCACCAGATACGTCTTAAGTGACTATTCCAGGAAAGACTGCTAGGATGAATTGTGGCTGTGACAGTGTATTGACTTGCATGAATGTTTACTCAGCCTTTTTGGTAGACACTGGGGAGGGAGGAGAGCAAAGACAAAATTCAATATGACTGTTTTCATTATTCCAAACATTGGAACCTTCATTCAATGACATATTAAAATTTGACCTTGGGACATCCAAGGACACAATTCTTCTAGCTTGAATTCTGCACCTCTGGAATGTTTTCTTTTTTATTTAGATATGGTTTTCTTTCTTTTTTTATTATACTTTAAGTTCTAGGGTACATGAGCACAACACGCAGGTTTGTTGCATATGTATACATGTGCCATGTTGTTGTGCTGCAGCCATTAACTCATCATAGATATTGTTTTCACTATTTACCCCAAATAAAGTTCAAGGGACATGCAGCTCTCATATCTAGCTCCACTCCAAAAGTAGGTAACATCACCAAACCAATGATGCTGCTAATAATAATAATTAAAAAAACAGTGCATTCTATGCTCACATTCGTCCTTCATCATAAAGTTCCTTGCTATATTGATTTGTATTCCTCAGAATCTGTTTTATGCAATCTTTCCATTCTTTCTGTATGGCCACAGAATTAATTGGTCTTTTCTGAACACTGTTAAAATAACACCACCTTCATTGTACCCCAGATTAACTAGTAGATGATGCATGTTTTCTTCAAACTACCTTAGCTTTTCTTTTGAATCAAAAACACTTTTTACCCTCTGAAGTATCTGCCTACCCTTCACCTCACTGCTTCCCTACTTTCCTAAATCCTTAAAATTGTCTCATGTCCCTCATGACTTATGATCGTAACACTGTATTCCTTTGATTCATAGGAAGAATATACCAACTAAACAAAGTTCTCTAGAAGGCAACTTCGGAGACAATTTGATACCCGACATTTACATAACATAAATATTTTCATTTCTATCTGTAGTAGATATTTGTTGGCCATTCCAAGTGTTTTCTTTGACATTGCATTTTTCTAAAGGTGTTTATTTCATATGTGATAGAGATTATATTTTTCTTAATCAGGTCAGAAATGATTTTATAAAAATCTCTGTCTTATTACTTTCAAGTACTCCTATTTCAGTATCTACTTTTATCTCAACAATTCCATGAAACCACACATTAGAAAATGTAAATAGTTAAGTAGTAAATTTTATTTTTGCTTAACTGGTGTTTGACTACATTGTAAACCTCCCAACAAGCATTCAAGTAGTTTTACTCCTTCTAAATTTTTATACTTACTGCTCCAAATGCTATTTTCAATGTTTCATGACCACAATGTCAGATTATTTGGACAAAAACCTTTGAACGCAGGACTTTTCCTTAGGCAGAATGTATTTCTTGATTGTCGTCTTAAGGCATGGGTTCAGTTTATTTCATTTTAAAGCATGGGTTATGGTAAAGAGAGAATGCCATTTGAATGATGTCTATGTCTATGTCCCCATTAGTTACTCTGGGCACAGAATTAGCAAGAAACACCCTTATAAGTAAAGCAGTTAGGAAAGCATTTTCCTACTTCCAGAGAAAAATCAGACATTGAAAAATATTTCTTTGAATGCCAGTGGCCTGGGCTATAGAGAAAGAATGTGCCCTGCCATAGCCATCCTGGTGTTGACCACCGAGGAGCACCACCTGTTCCTGGGTGTTTATGTGTTGTGCAAAGATCATGCAAATATTAGTTTAACTAAATTTAAGTTGTGCCAACACTAAGGCAGTATCAGCTAAGATAAACTCCTGACTTAGAGGTGATTCACCAACCTTGGGATTATATGGAAAAGAGAGCGCATTAAAAAAAATTTTTTTGGCCGGGTGCGGTGGTTCATGCCTGTAATGCCAGTGCTTTGAGTGGCCGAGGCAGGCTGATCACAAGGTCAGGAGATTGAGACCATCCTGGCTAACATGGGGAAGCCCCGTCTCTACTAAAAATACAACAAAAATTAGCCGGGTGTGGTGGTGGGTGCCTGTAGTCCCAGCTACTCCAAAGGCTGAGACAGGAGAATGGTGGATCTTACCATGAGCCAATAGCGCACCATTGCACTCCAGCCTGGGCAACAGAGCAAGACTCTGTCTCAAAAAAGAAAAACAATTTTTTTTTGGTTTAGCATCCTTTGAAATTTCATCATCCATAATAAAGCCCTTGTGTACCTATTAGACTTTGGAATTTGTATAGTTTTCTTGGGGTTTCAAAGAATAAGATAATCGGTAATGAATGATGAAAATCCCCACAATCCTTTTACATTAGGCAGCAGCATGATGACCTTCATTTAATAGAGGACAGAGATTAAAGGACTAATCCCAAAGTCTGTCTGTGTCATCAGTCGTGGAGCTGGCAGCAGGACTTGGACTTCTGTGCCTGTTTTGGTGCCAAATGATTTGCCTGCACAGGAAATACGAGGAATGATTTAAGCTAAGTCCCCACTTGCAGTGCTCATATGGCTGGATCTGGTGAAATTATCAGGGGAGAAGTAGCAAAGTGGCATCTTCAGAGATGCCTCATCACTCAATATAACTGAGTAGACAAAGGGAGTTCACTGAGCTATATTGTCCCAACACACCACTTGTGTCATGCACTCTGTGTGTGTGTCAGAAACTGCTGGTGTTTTACTTATATTGCATCATTTAACCCTAACTGTGATAACTGGGGGCAAACCAGCTCAAGTTCCACATAGAACTGATATTTACAGGGTTTTTGAATAAACATAGAAATTGACCCATCTGGTCTTAAAACTTGAAACTTAACATTTGTCAGTCATCTGAGTTAGGAAACGGACCTTCAGGCAAGAGACTGAAACTCACCACATCACCATCAGACAATGAGACACCAGACTCCTCATTTATCATGATTGCTTCCTTAGCCCTCCTTAATTGCTGTTTTCCCTGCAGGTAGTTACTTCCCTTCCAAGCTATATAAACCATCCAATTTGAGTTGGCTGGAGAGATGAATTTAAGACTGATCTCCCACCTCCTTGGCTGCAGCAGCCAAATAAAGCCTTCTTCCCTGGCAATGTTCATTGTCTCAGTGGTTGGCTTTCTGTGCAGCAAGCAATGGGACCTAGCCCCAACCCCTGGTGTTTCAGTAGCATGAGGAAACCAAGGCATGTTGTTGTCTCACAGAGCCAGGATTTGAACCTCAGATTCTGGACCTAGTGTCTTCTTGCCTGGCCACTGTGCCATTGTCTATTTTTCTGCTTACTTGCTCCTTGAAGGTGATTCTGCATGTTAGAATCACCTTTTTCCAGTGGAAGGTCTCCCTTTCCACCTGTTCTTGTGTCAGTCTCATGTGTAGCCTGCTCACTGTCATCAGGCTGAAATTCTTTAGCAGAGAGCAGTCACACCATGTTCTTGCTCCTGGATCCTTTGTGGCTTCACACTGAATTTTGGAAAAGGCATTCAACCTCAGCCATGATTGAAACCAAACACACATTCTAATACCTCATACAACTTCTTGTGAAATCAATGGCCCAGCATTAGTGAAACATCACTGGTATTCAAGGATTGCCTTCTCTACCTAAACAACAGAAAAAAAAAATCAACCCAATTTAACAAAATAGGCAGACGACCTGAATAAACATTTCTCCAAAGAAGATGTACAAATGGCCAGCAAGCATAGAAAATATTGATCAATATCACTAATCATTAAGGAAATGAAAATATAAACCACAGTGAAATTATACCTTATGCCAATTTAAATGGCTACTCTCAAACACAAAGCAAAAACCCCAGAAAATAATAAGTTTTAATGAGACTGTGGAAAAATTGGAACCCCTGTGCACTATTCATAAGAATTAAAATGGTGCAGCCACTGTGAAAAACATTATGGTGGTTCCTCAGAAAACTAAAACTAGAGGTACTGTATGACTTGGCCATTCCACTCCTGGGTATAAACCCAAAATAATTGAAAGCAGAGACCCAAACAGATATTGGTACCTCCATGTTTATAGCAGCATTATTTACAATAGCCAAAAAGTGAAGGCAACCCAAGTGTCCATGGATAGATGAATGGATAAACAAAATGTGGTCTATCCATACAATGAAATATTATTCAGCCTTCAAAAGGAAAAAAATTCTCACATATGTTACAACATGGATGAACCTTGAGGACATTATGCTAAGTGAAATCAGCCAGTCACAAAAAGATACACAGTGTATGATCTCATTTATATAAGTCCCTAGAGCAGTCAAAATCATAGAGACACTGGAATAGTGGTTACCTGGGGTGGGGAGGAGGAAGAATGAGGAGTTAGTGTTTCATGGATATGAATTTTCCCTGTTACAAGATGAAAAATATTCTCTGAAGATGGGTGGCGCTGATGGTTGCACAATGCAAATGTATTTCTGAACTGTGCACTTAAAAATTTTTAAGATGGGGTCAGGTGCAGTGGCTCATACCTGTAGTCCCAGCACTTTGGGGCTAAGGCAGGAGGATCATTTGAGTCCAGGAGTTCAAGACCAGCCTGGGCAACATAGGAAGACCTTGTCACTCCCAAAAATATAAAAATTAGCTGGGCATGGTGGTATATGCTTGTGGTCCCAGCTACTCAGGGGGATGATGTACGAGGATTGCTTGAGCCCAGGAGGTGGAGGCTACAGTAAGCCATGATTGAGCTACTGCACTCCAGCCTGGGCAACAGAGCCAGACACTGTCTCCAAAATAATAATAATAATATGGCAAATTTTGATGTGTGTTTTATAATACCACCATTAAAAAATTAAAACTGCTCACCCTTGCCTCACTTCTGTACCTCTGCTCACTTTCACTCTTCCTGCTTCCATATCCTTGCTTTTAAATTCTACCAACTTTTAAAGGTCTAGTCCAACGTGACCTCCTCCATGAAATAGTCCTTCTTGCAAACTGTGAAATGGAACTCTACCTTCTCTGAACAGCAATCAGTTTACTTAGGTTTTGATAGCCCTTGACTCACAAGTCCATACTTAGCCCTGCTCCAGGCAGGTCACACCACCACCCCTAGTGGCCCCCACAAGACTGTGAGTTCCCTAGGGGTAGAAGTCATATTTCCAGCCTCTCTTCATCTGACAACTGACTTATACATACATAATAAGCATTCGAGTTGAAGAATTTGATAGTTATTTTCCTTTTTGTCAGAACTTTAGGGAAGATACTGGAATTGTCGCCTGTGCTTCTAAGGCTTTGCATTCTTTCATCATTGGACTATATATAGTTTCTCATATAGCAATTTACATTTTGCAGAAAGACCTCAAACTAACCTAAAGCTCTTTGAATGAATCCAGATAAGCTGCTTCCTAAAGAAAGAACCTCCTGACTTCCTAATACTCCTTTCATACCCTAATCTTTAAACAATGTTTCTAGCAATAATTCCATTTTCCACATACGTAGCAGAAGATCTGAGTATCATCTAAATATAAAATCACTATTTTTCAAATTTTATTAGTTTTCCGCTTAAAGGAGAATTATTGCTGTCAGTACATCAGATCTAAACATATGGTCATTTAAAGGAATAAAAGGCAAACTTTTCATTATGATCTTTATGTTGTGGTAAGTTGTATATGTTTGTATAGAAAATTTTGGGAAATGAGCAAAGTGTTTGGGTTGGATCAACTATTTCATATCAGTCTTTGTTTGTAAGCCACGTTATTGTTAAGGAATCAGTCAGAACCACCTTTTTTGGTAATTTTACCTGGCTCATACTTGGCAGATTTAGCTGTGAGCAGGGTTTAAAATTGGCTTACTATATGGAATTATTTTTAGGACACCTTCAATGCACTCTACACTGAGCTAAAACAAAAAAAAATGAGGCTTAGCTCCTGACTCTGGACAATCTAAGTCTACATTTGCTACATCCAAAGCAAATAATTTCATTTATTTATTTATTATTACATAAGGAGTTCATTCTTATTATAAAAAGCATGAAAGCAGCAAGAGCGGTGGCTCACACCTGTAATCCCTGCACTTTGGGAAGCCAAGGCGGGTGGATAACTTGAGTCCAGGAGTTCAAAACAAGCCTCAACAACATGGTAAAAGCCCATCTCTACAAAAAATACAAACATTAAGCATGCATGGTGGTGTGTGCCTGTAGTCCCAGCTACTCAGGAGAGCGAGGTGGGAGGACGGCTTGAGCCTGGGAGGCACAGGTTGCAGTGAGCTGAGATTGTGCCACTGCACTCCAGCCTAGGCAACAGAGTGAGACCCTATCTCAAAAATTAATTGGCTAAAATCCTTGCTGTCTTTATTATTTATTCCTTCTCCTCTTTTTTTTTCCATGACAGCTGCTTCAGGATAAGAAAGTTCTTTTGGTCTCTCAGTTGGGGCCCCTGTCAGCGTCATGACTGGAGTACTGGCTGGAGTTACTCCCTTTCTTATACCAAACTCTTATCAGAGTTTTAGCAATAGTCATTTTACATGTTGGTCATTCACAGATAGTTGTTTTGATTCTTCCTGAAAGCATCTGCAATCACCTACAGTCCAAAATTGCTTCTATTTCAAAAGATTTATGGAAAAGATACTGACAAGTACTCTTGCATACAAGTTTCTGAGCAGTTCAAGATTATATCACTGGACCGTCTATAGACTTCCAAAACTTTAACAAACAGGATGATGCCTTCATGAAATATGCCAACCTAGACCAAGCAGAACAAAAATAATTTCATTGAAATAAATAATGTGGATAATGTTTTTATAATTTTTATTTGAAAATTTGCTGATTCATTAAATGATTTTTTCCAGATTTATGTAATTTTTCTTCTTTTAAGCTAGCTATATCTAAAGCAATTTGGCAAAGTATACTTTTGGAAACAATAATTGAAGCCCATTGATTTTTGCTCTTTACCTAACTGTCCCAGGATTGGGAAACTATTCATGAGTATTCATATGATTATGATGATACAGTTATTTGCACTAGTAAGAATCTTCTCTCTTTACAAAAGGACACATTTCAAAACATTGGTTATATTACCAAGGCTTTGACTAAGATGTTATATTTGAGAATATACATAGAATGGACCCATAAGTACTGCAGGCAAAGTCTGAAGATGGCTTTCATTTGGCTTCCTCATCTCAAGAGGTTTGTAAAAGCTTAATCTGAGACTACTTATAAAAATTTCTAGCGAACCAAACTTTAGGAAGAGCCTCTGTGGTCCATTGCTACTCTTGATGCACTTATGTAAAGAATCCCGGCAAAGTTTCATAAGACTAAACCTACTTTGTAAACAAATTTGTCCTACTGGGATTGTCTTTGGTAAAAATAGATATGCCTATAGAGAGAAAAATAATGTTGAAAATAAAAAGTGTAGTATACCTGCTATGAAATTGCAGCTCTGTTCATTGTTTTCGAGTTTTTATTATTCACCGGTAGACTGGACTAGACCCTGAATTCTTCTAGTTCCTCCCATCCAGTTTTTTCTTATTGAATCAGTAAGAACAAAATCTGCTCTGTTACTGAAGTCCTATAAGCTGGAGGTGGAAAGCTCAATGTAAATTTCACAGGAAAACCCTCGTGCCTGAAGTATGAGTCACTCGGAGCTCACCAATATGTTTGACACCATAACTACAGACACTCAAACTTAAAACCAGGATAAGAAGTTGACAACTTCACACTGTGAAAAGCTTTTCCTAAGTTGCCAGAACAAGTCTTCACATCAAAATCAGGCTCTTACCCCTCTTAATTTGTCCATGCTTATGCCTGCCTCTTTCACTTGGCAGGATGATGGTATCATTAGAATCTCACGTGAAGTAGCTTCTGAGAGTAGCGTAACAGAGTGACAGATATATCATGTCACCCTCAAATTTTTACATAAGATATCATTTAGTCCACCCAATGGCTGACATTAGCAGCATTTTTAACACAATTGTTTCTTCAAATGTACAGTGGTCCCTTTTAAAGTTACATTTTCAGACTCACTTGTTCTCACTCCCTGTTTTAATTTAATGAGCCATTGAATGCTACATAATAAAATTGTTCCCTACCAGCTAAAGAGGGAGGAGCCTGTGCAGTTTCTGACACTGACTGTTGCACATAAACAAATATATCGAGTATAATAATGACTCAATCACAGAAGTTACCAAACATACTACTTGGTTAAAATTGCTAGACAATTCTGGCTCATTCTTTGACCTATTCTATTTTAGTTGGTTTGCATCTTGCCTAAAGTGCATACTCCAAACTTTTGGTGTTATCCTCCTAATAGTCATATTAGTAGCCTCTCTGGTGTGATAAATTCTATAGGTTTTTAAATTCTACATTTTGGTGTGGTGAATTCTACAAAAGTTTTTAAAAAGTTTTGTGTGCAGCCATCAACAAATACCAAAGGGTCTCTCTTTGGCTGAAATGACAAAAACTCAAAGAAATGTGTGATCAGGAAGACATCATAAACCTATAAATGATGGAAGCCCAATATGATGGTTACTGAGATGAATGCCAATGCTTTAAATTTTGGTCACACTCTCACCTAAGTGAGAGCCTAGAGACTCCAAAATAGAACCACTCATGCTAAATGCTACAGTCTACAACTGAAATTTTAATGAAGCAAAGAGATACCAGAACAGACTTTTGTTTTTTGTTGAAAACAGGAGGTTCCACTCTACCTGAGACAGCAGAATAAAAGTTTCCTCTGCTTTAACTTTTACAGAAAAGAGACCTGAAGTTCACCAATTTATTTATTTATATGGCTTTGTTTACCAGTTCCCACTTGACAAAACCCACTGTTTTGTTATTGTATAGCCCAGGGAGGGCTGTCACTATATTTGTAGAGTGAGAGCTGCCTCAAATAATAAATGAAAAATAAAATCTATAACTACATTAGTTGTAATTTTGTCTTTTGATGCATGCTCACACCCAGCATTGGCCAGTGGAGTTTCACAGGCTCATCATTCTCACATGGATGCCCCTGCTTTTCTTTGTCACTTACAAGGACACTTCTGATTACAATGGGCCCACCCAGATAATCTAGAACAACGTCCACATCTTAAGATTTTAATTTTATCACCCCTGCACTGTGTTTTTACCAAGAAAAGTAAATGCACAGGTTCTGGAGCTAGGGTGCAAACATTTTAGGAGTCCATTATTCTGCCAACACAGGTAACTTTCATAAGTGTCACCAACAGCATAAACTTGCTTTGCCTTCCTTCTGTGTCTCACTTTTCTGTCTGTGCACAAACATCAAGGTGAAACACACAAGCTCTATGAAGTAGCTGGATGACTCTAGACCACTCATTTGAGCTCCCTCATCCTCTTTTCTCATCTTCAGCAGAAGGGTGACCCTTTGTGCATCAGAAAATGAAAGTGGAAGAGTAAATCAAAATGTGTAAGACATTAGTCACAGAGCCAGGTACCAGATGAGCCCTTGGGTAAACTTTTTTTTTTTTTTTTGAGATGGAGTCTCACTCTGTCACCCAGGCTGGAGTGCAATGCTGCGTTCTCAGGTCACTGCTACCTCCGCATCCCAAGTTCAAGTGATTCTCCTGCCTTCAGCCTCCTGAGTAGCTGGGATTACAGGTGCATGCCACCACGCCCGGCTAATTTTTGTATTTTTAGTAGAGATGGGGTTTCACCATATTGGTCAGGCTGGTCTCAAACTCCTGACCTCATGATCTGCCCACCTCAGCCTCCCAAAGTGCTGGGATTACAGGTGTGAGCCACCATGTCCAGCCGGTAAACATTTTTATCAGACCTTTCCTTTCACCATTCCATTTCTGTCACCCTCACCCATCTTCTCCTCTGACTTTTTTCTCTTCAGTGACTTACTCAGTCTAATACGCTGTTTAGCATCAAAAGCCACACTACAAATTCTTTTTTCACTCTCTTGGAATGTTTCTGTGATTCCCAGAACCTTGGAAGCCTAAGCCTTACATCAGTGTGCCCTGAATATGAGATATGGGGTCAAAGGAGATTATTTTGGAGCTTTAAATTTTAAAGACTGTGCTGCAAGCTTTCAGACTTTCATGGGGCCTGTATCCTATTTCCTTCAGCCTAATTCTTCCCTTTGGAATGGGAGTATTTACCCAATGCCTATACCTCCATTGTGTCTTGAAAGTAACTAACTTGTTTTTGAATTTACAGGCTCATAGGTAAAAGGAACTTGCTTTGTCTCAGATGAAACTTGCTATTTTGGGCTTTTGAGTTAATGCTGAATGAGTTAAGACTCTAGAGACTGTTGGGAAGCCATCCTCATATTATTAAATGTGAGAAAGATGTGAGATTTGGGAGGGACCATGGAAATAATAATAATTTTTTGGACCTTTACCCCCACCCAAATCTCATGTCAAATTGTAATCTCCAAAGTTGGAGGTGGAGCCTGGTTGAATGTGATTGGATAATGGAGGTGGTTTCTCATACTTTAAGACCATTCTTCTTGGTGCTGTTGTAGCAAAAGTGAGTTTTTACCTGTTTGTTTACCAGTGTGCAACCCTTGCTCTCTTCCTCCAGCTCCCATTATATAAGATGTCTTCCTCCACCACTGGCTTACTCCGTGATTGCAAGTTTCTGAGGCCTCTTCGAAAGCTGAGCAGATGCCAGAATGATGCTTACTCTACAACCTGCTGAATCATGAGACCATTCAATCTTTTTTCTTAGATTTACCAAGGTAGCCCCCGACAAGGAGGAGCTAATTTTAGGGAGGGACTATTATCATCCTTGCTTCAAAGTTAAACTATAAATTCCTCCCATGCTTACCCTGGCCTATGCCCAGGAATCAAAGAGAGCAAGTTTGAGGCTAGAGGTGAGATGCGGTCAGCCAAGCTAGCTTCCTCTCACCATCATATGCTTTGCAAAGGTGGTTTCACTTTCTACATGGACTCACCAGGGGGTCAGAGGCAGAAGGACAGATCTGCAGTTTCCAAAGCCCGTGGGCTCATTTCACCCATTTCACTCATGACTCCATCCTCAACCTGCTGTGGGGCTCATATCCTCCTGTCATGCCCTAGAGACTTCGAATTTCCATCAGGCATGTAAGTAGCTTAAAAATTTTCACTCAGTTCTAACAACAAGTAAAAAGCTGAACAAACTGAAAAATCAACAACTCGTTTAGATTTCTCAGGAAGCAAGGTCTCAGTGCTAACTGGCCCACATATTGGAGAGACCCACAGGCAAATACAGAGCAGCGCACCGTACCTGAGCAGAAACACAGGCACAGAAACCCCAGCGGGAACCAGTGCTGGGGTTCAGAAAACCTGAACTGTAATTCAGGAAATTCTGGAGGCTCAGTGTGGACACAGCGCAGAGATAAACAAACCAGAGGATGGATTAGTCTTGGGAGTAGGGGGACAGTTTTATGACTTTTAGCTCCTGGAGCTCTACCAGGTTCTCACAGTCAATATCAAAAAAGAATCCACATCCTTCTTCTTGGAAGAAGGGAAAAAAACACTTGGAAAGTTGTCAGTGATTTATATTCTTCTTGGTAAGACCTACATTTAAGAGAAACTATTTCACTGCAGCCTAATTAGCTGCGGTTTGATAGGAGCTTAACTGGCCAGAGGGAGGGGAAGTATCCAACTCCAGCCTCCTCAAGTCATCATATCCCACCTAATGGAAAGAAAAACCTGAGGGGCACTTGTGACATTCACAGCCCAGGACACAGACCTCATCCAGAACCACAGAACCCTTCCCTCCCCACACTCACCACCGTGTCACTGAATGCCTGCCCACTCAAGTCCCTTTTACCCAGTACATCATGTGTGGTTTTCAAAAAAATACAAGACAGACTATGGCAAAAAAAAAAAAATGCAGTTTGAAAGACAGAGCAAGGATTGGAACCAGACACAGATGTGGTAAGGATGTTGAAATTATCAGACTGGAAATTTAAAACAACTCTGGTTAAGGATTATGATTTTAAAAGGAGACACCTTTCAGGAATAGATGGGTGATTTAAACAGAGATGGCTATTCTAAGAAAGAAGCAAAAGAAATGCTAGAGATTAAAAACACTTTAAGAGAAATAAAGAATGCCCTCCATGGGCTTACTCGTAGGCTGCACACAGCTGAGGAAAGAATCTCTAGCTTAAGTGTGTGTCAATAGAAACTTCCAAAACTGAAACAGCAAAGTTTAACAAGAGTGAGAAAAAGTGGAACAACATATTCAGCTTCATATTCAATGTTTTGTATTGACAGTAGCATATTTTATATTCTGTGATTGTATTTTATATTTTGTAGCCTAAAAAGCTGTAACATACACATAATGGGAATACTGGTGGTTCTTAGGACCAGGTGGAGCTGGCCAGGTGGGTGCTGTCTGATTTACTGCCTGTTTCATTCACACCTGTGTATTCATAATAACAACAGTGTTATAAGGTGGGGTCCTTCAGTTGGGGAGATGCATGAGCCACTGCTGCCTCACTTGGACTCTTCTCAATTTAAACAAAGTTAATCAAACTCTAATTGTTTGACCCTGCTCAATTCACACTTCACCAATATTGCTGCTCGATCCACACTTCAGAAGTCTGTGCATCTTGCACACAGAGCAGGTGGCCCCATGGCCTCTGAGCCCTCAGATCATCATGCATCCATCTGTCTTTTGACACACAGACCTGCTGTGGGCTTTTAAGGACTTGGATTGGCTGAGAGGTGGGAGATGTCAACTCTTATTGGAAAACGCTCATGGAGAAATCAATGATGCCACACAGGGGAATCTTCTCTGTTATCTGCACAGCCAATCTGCCCAAGCCCTATGTCACCAGCAACTCCGCAGAGGATGAGGAGGCTGTGGTCTTAACCTGTGAACCTGAGACTCATGGCACAATCTACATGTGGTGGGTAAATAGTCATAGACTCACACTCAGTCCCAGGCTAAAGATGTCCAATGATAACAGGATCCTTGCTCTACTCAGTGTCACAAGGAGTGACAAAGGACTCTATGAACGTCAAAGGAAGAATATAGTGAGCACCAGCCACAGTGACCCAGTCTCCTGGATGTTCTCTGTGAGTATCCTCTTTTCCTTCATGGACAAGGCTGCCAGCCCAAATCCACATAACATGAGGCCAGGCCTCTCAGTCCCTCTCAGGTCCAAGTATGAAGACACTTACCCCTGGACCCCCAAGCTGGCCATGACTTCCTGTCCCAGGCAAACCTGGGTAGGCCCAGGAAGGGAGGGGCTTCTCCGGTCTTAGGGGACTCTGGTTCCATAGCTTGCGATGGGAGAAACAGGTGAATGTCGTTGACTCCTCCAGTTCAGTGAACACAGAGGAAGTTTTGGCTGGGACTTCGGGGTTGTGACTTGGCAAAAAGGAACACTATGCCCCTTTCACAGACCAGGAGCTTCCCATTCCCTCTGATAACATTACCTGTGGCTTTATTCTCTTTGCTCCAGATGGCCCAGATGAACCCACAACTTATTCTTCAGACACCTGTTACTATCCAGGGTCAAACCTCAACCTCTCCTGCCTCACGGGCTCTAATCCATCAGCAGAGTATTCTTGGCTGCTGAATGGGAATAACCAACAAATAGGACAAGAGCTCTTTATCCCCCAAGTCACTACTGAAAATAGTGGGGACTATCTGTGTTATGTCCATAACCCAGTCACTAATGGCAAAAACTTCGCAACCAAGAAAATCAGAGTCCCTTGTAAGTGGATCACTGGAGCATTGGCAATATGCTTTCAGGTGAAGCCTATCTGGCTTTCCAAGAAAGAGCCAGGAAAACATTTTTATTCTCAGCCTGTGTCCCATGCACAAAAGTAAATCCCAAATTTTTCTCCTGAACACTCCCAATTCATATCTACAGATTCTCTTCCCTTTGTTTTCCGGATTTCTGGTGGATGACCTTGGGTCCAGCCTGAGAAATGTAGGGAAATGGCTTTATCAGCCCCAAGCACTATGCAGTATAAGGGCCTTCACAGAGGGAGAAAGAGGAGGGTCCTCATGGTCAAGCTGTTTCTGTCACCAAAACATCCCTTCTGTCTCCTTTGTGTGTGTGTCTGTGTGTGTGTACACCATGAGCTGCAATGAACATCAGAGGCTTCAAAACAAGCCCACACTTTTCCCCAAATGAGAGGAGGAAGCCCCTTGGGTGAGGGAGAAGCAGCTCGGACACTGCTCCCTGCATTGCTGTGGGCTCACCCAGTGACTGCCCCTGCCCTGACTCCACCCGGGCTGGGGCCAGGGCATGTGGATAAGGTGCCTCGGTGGCCTGTTCTGAATCTGGCTAAATCGAGTGGCCAGTAGAAGCCAAGCCTCCCATGGGTAAGGCTTTAAAAAATGGGAATAGGACTGTGTCCTGGCTCTGAAGTCACTGCCTGTCTGAGTCTGTGGACACAGCTCCTGGAACACAGCACAGAGGACAGTGAGTGATGGACACTTGGAGAAATAGGGAGATTAACTCACAGAAGCTCCCTATGGCAGGGGAGGAACAGCGACAAAAAGTGTGTATTTATAGAGAAGGTAAGAGTACCAGACACTATACATCTAAGATTTACTATTAACTGTTTCTAAGCGTGCAATTTAGTGTTGTGTTACTATCAACACTATCTATTTCCAGAGCTTTTTTTATCCTACTATACTAAACCTCTGAACCCAATAAATGATAACTCTCATTCCTCCTCCCCTTAACCCCTGGTAATCACCATTCTAATTTCTGTCTCTAAGTAACTGACTATTCTAACTATCTTACATAAATGGAAGTATATAATAATTATGCTTTTGTGTCTGGCTTATTTCACTTTGCATAATGTCTTCATGGTTCATCCATTTTGCACCATGTGTCAGAATTTTATACCTTGCTAAGATTGAAGAACATTCCAAAGTATGGATATTGCTTTTTGTTCATCCACTTATCTTTCAATAGACTTTTTGGTTGTTTCCACCCATTGGCTATTGTGAGTGATGCTGCTGTGAACATCGGTGTACAAATACCTGTTTAAATATTTTTCAATACTTTTGGCTGTATGTCCAGAAGTAGAATTGCTGGTTCAAGTGGTAATGCTTTAATTTATTTAAGAAACTGACATACCATTTTCTTTTCTGTTGTTGATGTTGAGACCGGGTCTTCCTCTGTCACCCAGACTGGAGTGCAATGGTGCAATCGTGGCTCGCTGCAACCTCCACCTCCAAGGTTCAAGTGATTCTCATGCCTCAGCGTCCTGAGTAGCTGGGATTACAGGCGCATGCCACCATACCCAGCTAATTTTTGTATTTTTAGTAGAGATGGGGTTTCACCATGCTTGCCGGGCTGTTCTCAAACTCCTGACCTCAAGAGATCCACCCATCTCAGCTCCCAAAGTGCTGGGATTACAGGCATGAGCCGGCCGTGCCATGCCATTTTTTCCACAGTGGCTATAACACTTCCCATTCCCATCAGCAATACACAAAGAGCTTCATTTTTTCTGCATACTTGAAAACACTTGTTTTGTGATGTTGTTCATGTTGTTTTTATCAAAGCCATCCTAATGTGTGTGAGGTCATGTATCACCGTGGTTTTGCTTTGCAAATCTCTAAATATTAGTAATATTGAGAATCCTTGCATGTCCTCATTGGCCATTTGTATATCTTCTTTAATAAAATCTCTCTTTCAGTCCTTTGTCCATTTTTTAATTGGGCTTTTGTATTTTTGCTGTTTTTGATTTGTAGTGTTCTTCATGTATTCTGGAAATTAATCCCTTATCAGATATATGATTTTCAGATATTTTCCCTATGTCATAGTTTGCCTTTTTACATTCTTGATAATGGCCTTTCATACATAAAAGTTTTTAATTTTCATGAAGTCCAATTTATCCCTTTTTGTTGCCTATGCTTTTGTAGTTATAACTAATAAATCATTCTGAAATTCAATATCATGAAGCTTTTTCCTTATGTTTTCTTCTAAGAGTCTGGTAGTCTTCACTATTCCATTTAGGTCTTTGATCCATTGTGGGTTCATTTTTTGTATATGGTGTGAGGTAAAGGTTCAACTCATACTTGTCCATGGATAGCCAGCTTTCCCAGTATCACTTGTTAAAAAGACTGTCCTTTCCCCATGGAATGGTCTTGGCACTCTTGACAAAAATCATTTGGCCATATATGCAAGCTTTTTTTCTGGGTTCTCTATTCCATGTCATTCATTTCTATGTCCTCCTTTATGCCAGTACCACACTGTATTGATTACTGTAGCTTTGCAGTAGATGCTGAAATCTGAAAGTGTGAATCCTCCAGCTTCCTTTTTCCTTTTCAAGATTGAAGTTTTTAATTCCATCTTGGACATGCTGCACTCAGATATTTTTGAAAATTTTGGGATATGAGAAAGGCTGATTGCTGTTTTCTATGACTTTAGAACTTTTCACCTTTTCATAGTTGCATCTTTCTCTCGGTGTCTCAGTTGTGGCAGCCATGAATGGCCTCCATGGCAAGGACTTGACTGACAGAGGGCCCAGGTCAGGGCATTCCAAATTCACCTTATATATGATAAATCTATAGTGTATATACTTATTTATATATGATAAAATTGGCATTTATATTACATATGAGAATTTTATATATAAATGGCCTAGTGTTTATGTGTTACCTTTTTTCATAGATATGGAAATATGTATATATCTTAAATTGTTATATATTCTATATTTTTATATTATTATATATTGTATATAAATATACACAGAGAAATATGTATATGCTTTTTCCATATATATATAGAAACAGAGAACACATAAAACACTAGGAGGCTGCGGACACAGCACATGGGACACAGCACAGAGGACAGTGAGTGACACAAACTTGGAGAAATAGGGAGATTTGGCCATGGGAGCTCTACATGGGAAGGAAGGAAGGGGCAGTGATAGAAAGTGTGTATTTATAAAGAGGGTAAGACTACCAGACACTACATACATATATAACTTATGTCAATTTTATTATACGTAAATGTCCTGGTGTTTTATGTGTTACCTCTTTTTCCATATACATATATGGAAAATGTGTATATGTTTTACATTATTATACATTTTATATTACACATTTTATTATATATATTACATATAAATAAGTATATGGAAACATATTTTTTCCCTATAAACATGAAAAAAGAGGTAACACATAAAACACTAGGACATGGTTACTGGCTACATGTGGGAGAGACAGAAAAAAGCTAAGTGCAAAAAAATCAAGCCTGGTATGTTAGTTTATGCCCACTGAGATGCATCCAAGATGAGATTAGACATGCAGGATAATGTATTAGGAAAAATGTCTGTGAGGGAAGGTGGGGCAGGCTTAAAAATCTGGGGAGCTTTGGGACCACTATGCAAATCTGATTCCTGCGAAGGAGAAAGAGACAGAAGATTTAGCTACAGTTCAAAGAGAGCATGGGAAGACTGATGGGGAGTCTTCCCACCAGTCACCCAGGAGAATAAAACAGAGTCTCATAGAACTGGGCTTGCTTTCATATCCCTGCTGGGAGCTTCAGGAAAGTGAGGACCCTATGCAAAGTAGGTTGTCAGTCTGGAATGCACTGATTTGGGCCTTCTGTCAATCAAGTCAATTGATTATTAATTAATCAATTATTAGCTGGGAGTGCTGGAATTACCTAGGGACATTTTTCAACATACATAAGCCTATACTTTCTCGGTCCTATTCATTAATGTGCTCCACCAAGAACTCAGTAATCCTCTTGAGAAACACAAGCTGCCATGGAGACCTGACAGAGTCTTATTCATGCCTACCACAACTGACACACTGAGAAAAAGATGCAACCATAAAAGGGTACAAAGTTCTAATGACACAGAAAATAGCAGTCAGCCTTTCTCACATCATAAAGCCTTCAAAAATATCTGAGTGCAGCATGGTCAGGATGAAATTGACAGAAGACTGATCACTAACCTAGAAACACATTGAGATAGAAAAAAACTGCAAGAATATAGTTGGCTAATCATCTACCAGCAACCCTCCCACAAAATTAATGTAATCCCCGAAGGAAAAAGTAGATTCCTAGAAATTAAATATGTTATCAGCCATAATGTCATGTACCACAGAAGTAACTAACTTTTTATGTGAGCTGTGTTATCATAATGAATTCTCATCAGAGTTTTAACCATAGTCATTCAAAATCTTTGTCATTCACAGATGTTGTTTTTGTTCTTCCTCAAAGCATTTCCAATCAGCTACAGTCCAAAATTGCTTCCTTTTCAAGGAGATTTATGGAAAAGATGCTGACAAGTACTCTCTAATACAAGTTTCTGATAATTTTCACATTATACCACCGGACTGTCTAAGAACTTCCAAAACTTTAAGAAACAGGCTGATATCTTCATAAAATTCTCAGCCTAGACCAAGCAGGAAAAACATTGATTTCATTGAAAGAATTGATAATAATGAGGATAATGTTTTTATGATTTTTATTTGAAAATTTGCTGATTCTTTAAATGGTTTGTTTTCTAGATTTATGGAATTTTTTTTCTTTAATCTATCTATAGCTCACAGCAGTTCAATAAACTATACTTCTGGGAACAATAATTCAAATATTTACTTTTGCTCTCTACCTGACTGCCCCAGAATTGGGCAACTATTCCTGAGTGTTGACATGTTTATGGTAATACAGATATTTACACAAGTACAGTAACAATCTTCTCTCTTTTTAACAGGACACATTTGAAATCATTGGTTATATTACCAAGGCTTTGACTGGGATGTTATATTAAGAATATAGATAGAATGAACCAGTATGAACTGCAGGCAAAGTCTGAAATCAGCCTTGGTTTGGCTTCCTATTCTCAAGAGGTTTGTAAAATTTAATCTCAGATTCCTTAAAAAAACTTAGAGCAAAGAAAACTTTAAAAGAGAGCCTACATGGTCCATTGCTACTCTTGCTGCGCTTATGTAAACAATCAGACCAAGTTTGAAGAAACTCAACCTATTTTGCAAACAAACATATTCTACTGAAATTATCATTGGTAAAACTAGAGATGCCCATAGAGAGAAAAATTATGTGGAAAATAATACTGTAGTACACCTGTTATGAGATTGCAGCTCTGTTCATTGTTTCTGTGTTTTTATTATCCACCTGTAGACTGGACATTACCCTGAATTCTACTAGTTCCTCCAATTCCATCTTCTCCCATGGAACCTCAAAGAGCAAGACCCACTCTGTTCCAGAAGCCCTATAAGCCAGAGTTGGACAACTCAATGTAAATTTCATGGGAAAATCCTTGTACCTGATGTCTGAGCCACTCAGAACTCACCAAAATGTTCAACACCATAACAACAGCTGCTCAAACTGTAAACAAGGAAAACAAGTTGATGACTTCACACGTGGACAGTTTTTCCCAAGATGTCAGAATAAGACTCCCCATCATGATGAGGCTCTCACCCCTCTTAGCTGTCCTTGCTTGTGCCTGCCTCTTTCACTTGGCAGGATAATGCAGTCATTAGAATTTCACATGTAGTAGCTTCTGAGGGTAACAACAGAGTGTCAGATATGTCATCTCAACCTCAAACTTTTACATAACATCTCAAGGGAAATGTGGCACTCTCCACCTCACCTCACATACAGGGCTCCCAATAGAAATGAACAGAGATATTTCCTGTGTGTTTGCAGAGAAGATGGTTTCTATAAAGAGTAGGAAAGCTGAAATTATAGTAGAGTCCCCTTTAAATCCACATTGTGTGGATGACTCTCACCATTTCCTAAGAGATACATTGTAAAATATGACAGCAAGACTGATTCTAGCAGAATAAAACATGTACCACATTTGCTAATACTGTTCTCTTAAAATAATTTTAATAGAATGGGGTGGGCCCTCCCATGTGTCCAGGCCAGGTCTCTGAACACAATCCTCCATCTGCAGTAACAATGCCTGAGAAGATGACATGGACTTGGTCCTGATATGCAGCCATTCCTGTGTACCCTTCCCCTGCTGCAGGGCCGTACCAGCCCAGGGCCGAAATCTTCAGCTGCAGAGCTGAGAGAGAACATGGGATACCCGGCATCCCTTACCTTCTTCCAGTCCACTGCAGTGGCTACTGGCATGGCCCATGTACCCCTGAGGACACCCATCAGCTGACCCACAGTTTCAAAGAGTCAGACTTTCCTGTCTTCTCTGAGCCCCAGCTACTTTCACTCTGCTGAACCCTTCTCCTCCCCACAGGTGTCATTGCCTTAGCAGACACCTCTTTCAGCTGCAGCGAACAGCTAAGCCAAGACCCAGACACCAGAGGATAAACAAGGATTTTAAAACCTACTGTGTCCAACGGAGATGCCCACTTCTGGGC
Organism: Homo sapiens; assembly: GCF_000001405.40. Classification (NCBI taxonomy): domain Eukaryota; kingdom Metazoa; phylum Chordata; class Mammalia; order Primates; family Hominidae; genus Homo; species Homo sapiens. The sequence continues at coordinate 42,942,900 of NC_000019.10, read as the reverse complement.
ACCAAGCCACCAAGGTGCTGAGGCAAGAGACTGAGGGCACGAGCTGCTCCATTATCATAGAATATAAAAGAAGAATAGTTATACCAGATATAGATCTTAGATATGATTATATACGAATATCATTAATCATTAGTTGGCAGCAATTTCTCTTTGTTCCAATTTATAATAATCCTCGCTCTATAATCATAACCTAGGAAAAGCCAGGCTATACAGAGATAGGAGCTGGGGAGACATAGTGAGAAGTGACCAGAAGACAAGAGTGCGAGCCTTCTGTTATGCCCAGACAGGGCCACTAGAGGGATCTTTCGTGTAGCGGTAACACCAGCGTCTGGGAAGATGCAGGTTGCCAGGCGAACCATGAAGTAGTGATTGTCTCAGTGTCAAGGAAAAACACCTGCTACTTAACCGACCAGGAATGGGAGTCTCCCTTTCCCCGAGGGAGTTGAGAGAAGACTCTACTCCTTCACCTCTTGTGGAGAGCTTGACATTAGTCAGGTCGACCCGCAGTTATCAAGAGGCCTAACCGTCTCCCTATGGTGCTGTGCTTAAGTGGTCACACTCCTAGTCCGCCTTCATAGTCCATCCTGTACAACTGGCTCTGCTGTTTAGTTAGCAGTAGCAAATTAGTGAAAGTACTAAAAGTCTCTAATAAGCAGAAATAATGGTGTAAGCTCTCTCTCTCTTTCTTCTCTCTTTCTCTGCTTCAGCTGCCAGGCAGGGAAGGGCCCCCTGTCCAGTGGACACATGACCCATGTGACCTTACCTATCATTGGAGATGGCTCACACTGCTTATCCTGCCCCTTTGTCTTCTTTCCAATAAATATCAGCACAGCCTGGCATTCGGGGCCACTACCTATCTCTGCATCTTGGTGGTAGTGGTCCCCCAGGCTCAGCTGTCTTTTATCTTTTTGTCTTGCGTCTTTATTTCTACAATCTCACGTCTCTGCACACAGGGAGAAAAACCCACTGACCCTATGGAGCTGCTCCCTACACCCACTGTACAGAGACATAAAGAAGTTGAGATGTGTACAACTCCCCCAACAACACTGTATCCCAAAACAATGTCCTCTCTGCCCCTCATCATGGAATTCACTGTCTCTCACCACCTGGGCAGGTGCTTCCAGGGTCTCATAATTCTTCCACAAGAGGCAATGCACACTTTAACATAGCACTTCAGCAAATAAAGTGGTGACAGTTTACCTGCTTAGGTAAAGTTTCTTAAAGGTTCTCCCAAATTTCCCCCTGAAGAAGACAGAAAAGGCTTTCCCAATTGTGAAACATTGGCCTACCCACCTCTCAAAAAAGTACCCCTGAATAGCCAAAAGAATCTTGCCAAAATAAATTGTAGGACTTGAACTTTCTTATTTGAAATCTCACAAAGGAGTACAATTATTAAAACACAAGTTGCTGGCAAAAGAATAGACATAAAGACAAATGGGATAGAATTGAGAGTCTAGAAATAAACCCTCACACTTATGGCCAATTACACTTTGAAGAGGGTGTCAAGACAGTTTAATGGAGGAACAATTCTCCTTTCAAATCATAGTGCAGAAACCACTAGATAACCACATGCAAAACAGTGAATTTAGATAACCCTACCTCTCACCTTATCAAACAATTCCGTAAAAAATTGATCAGTGAGTTAAATATCAGATATATAACCATAAAAACATCTTAAAATAGACATAGAGGTAAATATTGATGACCTCAAGTATCCAGTGGATTCCTAGATATGATACGAAAGCATGAGAAACAAGAAAAACAAGATAAATTGGGCTTTATCAAGATGTGAGCTTTTTGTGCATCAAAGGAAATTATCAAGAAAATAATTAATATACACAGATGAGAGAAAATATTTGCAAACCACATATAGACAGGTTTCATGTCCAGATAATATAAAAAACTAGCTACAACTCAATAACAAAAGGAGAAAGCATCCAATTTATAAATGGGCAAAAGACTCATATAGACATTTCTTCAAAGAAGATATACCAAGAGTCAAGAAGGACATGAAAAGATACTCAACATCATTAGTCATTAGGAAAATACAAAGTCAAAGCTGCAATGAGACACCACATCACACCTACAAAACTGGCTACCATTCTTTTAAAATGTTAAATAACAAGTAGCAGCATTATGTAGAATTTGGAATCCTCATACGTTGCTGGTGAGAATATGAAAAGGTACAGCCGCTAAGAGAAAAAGCTTTGCTGTTCCTCAAAAAGCTAATCATAGAATTCTCATTTGAAACAACATCCATTCCTAAGTATGTACCCAAAGAATTAAATCCAGGGACTCAAACAGGTACTTGCATGGGAATGTTCATTGCAGCATTATTCACAAAAGATAAAATATGAAAACAATCCAAGTGTTCATCAACACATGAATAAACAAATATGGTGACACATACAACAGAATGATAATCTGCCATAAAGAGGAAGGAAGCTCTGACACCCACTGGAACATGCATAGACTTGGGAAACATTATGCTAAGTGAAATATGTCAGAAACAAAATAACATAATTGTATAATTCCATTTATATGAAACATCAAGAATAGGCAAATTCATAGAGACAGAGTAGAGGTGATCAAGGCCTAGGGTGGAACATACAGGGAGTTATTGTTTAAAAGATACAAAGTTTCAGTTTAAAATGATAACAATTTTCTAGGAAAAATAGTGGTGAGGGTAATTTAACACTGTGTATGTGGTTAATTTCACCTGATTGTGCATTTTAAAGTGGTTAGAATAGCACATTATTCACAGAACTGTGAAAAACAGATTTCTATTATTTAATTCACCCAGGCTAAGGTGTTTGTTATGGCAGCTGAAGCCCATGAATACATCATCTGACCCAGTGTTTCAATGAAAGACATCAGGTTTTCAATCAAGTTAGCTGGAAGCTCCTGTCCCCAAGAGAACCAGAGGTCCCAAAACAAGAGCTCCAGCAGGGGCTCAACCAGCACAGGTCCCATAGGGCAGCCTCAATATCAGGCCCTGGATGGCATGTGAGGCTACAATGATACAACCAGAACGTGAAAATATAAGTATTTTTACTACTTACAGACACTAGGGAGCACTCGGCGCACCTGGAGGCCACAGACACAGTGTTCAGTGAGCCCAGGCAGGGAGGAGAGAAGAGACCGGTAAGCCAATGGCTTTATTAGGTCCAGGGTGTTATCTGACAGGTTTCAGGCAGGGAGCTTTAATGGATGTGTTCAAAGCAAGCAGCAAACACTGGGACCAAGAGCTCAAGCTGTGACTGAGAGATGGTCACTTTAAATGTGAGGGCAAATGTCAGAATTATCAGTTTAAAGAAAGCAGCTGGAGAGAGGGGAACCCAGCACACCAAGCAGGAGAGATGCCTCTAAGATTTTATCTCTGGACACCAACTGGAGCCACTTGAACCAGACACAGTATTGAAAACGGCCATGGTGTACAAGCCCTGCCTCTGATTTGAGGCCAATAAACTTACACCTTAAAAAGTGAATGCCAAGGCAACATGACACTATGAGCATCATGATATCCAGGGACACAAGCAGGGTGTGGTACTCTGCCCTGGAGTCAGAATCCTGGGTTCTGGTCCCTGGGAGTGAGAAAATGAAAATGACTTGTCCCTGCCCCCCTGACGTTGATCTTCCCACCCTGCTGCTCCCTCTTCTGCTCCCAAGCCCACGTGCACTGCTCAGCCCCAGACATCACTGCCCCCAGGGTATACACAGTGCCGCCTACTGCACACAAACACAAACTCACAGAAGGTGACAAAAATCTGCGTTTGGGACATCTGATTGTGAAAGAGGGAGAACAGTGAACGTAGAGCCACAGAGACTGGGACTCACGGGGCTGGAAGGTGAAGGAGCTGTAACATAACATATGTGTGATCTCGTGTGAAGTGTGCAGATCCACATGGAATAAAACATGCAGCCTGGCCTGGGATTGCTGCCGTTCACACTTCCCTCCCTGTCCAACAGAGGGTGACAGAGTCCCTCCCAGCCTGGAGCCTTCCCAGGGGATGCCAACCTCCCTCAGCGGAACCCACAGCCCAGCAGGGTCCACCCTCACCGGGGTCACTTCGGCTCAAGTCCTCAGCGCGCCCTCCATGTTCCCCACATGGACTCTGTCAGCTCCTCCCTGACCTGGCAGCCACCAACCTAACACCACTCCCCCTGCAGGTAGCTCCTCCCCGCACACCTGCTCCTTCCCTGGGCCCAGCTAAAGGCATCTCCCAGGGCAGCTCTGGTGCACGCAACGCCACACTGGGCGCTTTCCCCTCGTGAACTCCCTCCATCCTCATCAACTCTTTCTGTCACTGCTCCCTAAATGCCCACCCCTGCTCCATCTGTCCTGTTCTCTGGGGCTTCGCAGGTGAAGCCTAGAGCTGACACAGATCAGCGGCTGCCTAAGGGCCCACAGCCTCCCCGGGAATCAGCCAGGCACCCTGTGACCTGCCTGCCCGCTGAACCCCTGGTGGCTTAGATCGTGTGTGATGGTCACACACAGGCACCATCTGGGATGTGGCCACCTACCCCCAGCTGTCCCTTGGGAAGACAGTCCTCTCCTGTGTGCTTGCGGGGAAAGGGGGGTGTTATTGCTCTTTGCACACAGAACACAACCCACCCCCACCCACCATCTCAGGCGTGAGCAACGTCCCTGCAGACAGGATCTCTGGCCACTGCCTGTTCCTCCTCTACACACAGCAGCTTGGCCAGGTCAAAACCCTCAGGACAGACCCCTGGGTATGTCGGCACATGGAGGGCTGAGCCCATCATGGCCACGGAGTAAGTCAGGATGAATCTCTCCAGCTCTGAACCCCTGCTCTGTCCCAGGCTCCCCCTCCTGTGTCTCAACGAGCCATGTCCCGCGGGTTTCCTGGGTAACTCTTCACTGCCACCTGCACCACCACAGGGAAGGTGTGGTGACCACAGGACAATCAGCTGGGCACATAAGAGAGGACATCAAAGATGGTCAGGAAGAACACGAGAAATCCTGAGCTCCAGCTCAGCCGCCAGACCCCAGGGAGCCAAAGAGTGACCGAGAACTCTCTCTTTGACTATGGGACTTACAGCCCCCACTGAGCAATCAGCACAGGCCTCTCCTCCCAAGAGGCATGAGAGATTCACCCTGCACACCTCTAGGAAGGACAGTTTCCTCTGGGACACCCAGGTCCTGAACGTCCATCCTTGGAAGCTGCAGCCAAGCTAGATACGATTAGAGAAAGGAAGGGTCCCTCTCACCAGGAAACACACAGTTCACACACAGCACAATGGGGCATCACTGTGACAGGGACCTGGTGCAGCTTCAGCCTCCTGCACTGCAGGGGAGAGCCAGATGGGGATGAAAGAGGCCAAAGGGCGTGAATGTGCACCCCTAACCAGAGCCATGCGGAGAGCAGGAGGCTGAGGCCCAGGACTGCGCTTGCCCAACCTGCAGGGTATGTGTGTGACTCTGTGGGTCTGTGTGTGTCTCTTCTGTGTGTGTGTGTGTGTGTGTATGTGTGTGTGTGTGTGTGTGTGTCTGCACAAAGTGTGTGTTGAGGTTTGGTGAAAGAATCACTGCTGAAAAAGGCAGAGGGCTCCACAATTCCCAGGGACCTGAAACACAGACAAAAGGAAAAACAGAAGGAGGGACAAGGAGGCAGAACTGAGAGAGGAGGGGACAGAGAGGTGTCCTGGGCCTGACCCCACCCATGAGCTTGAGAAGTGCTCCTGCCCCGGGAAGAGGCTCAGTGCAGAAGGAGGAAGGACAGCACAGCTGACAGCCGTGCTCAGGAAGATTCTGGATCCTAGGCTCATCTCCACAGAGGAGAACACGCAGGGAGCAGAGACCATGGGGCCCCTCTCAGCCCCTCCCTGCACACAGCATATAACCTGGAAAGGGCTCCTGCTCACAGGTGAGGAGAGAACTTCCTGGGAGAGGACAGGAAAAGGAAGCAGAGTGACTGGATGGGGTCTCCTAGAGAGGATGGGGTTCTAAAAAATAAAAGAAGCCAGCACTTTGGGAGGCTGAGGTGGGTGGATCAAGAGATCAGGAGTTCAAGATCAGTCTGGCCAACACAATGTAGCCCTGTCTGTACTAAAAATACAAAAAATTAACCAGGTATGGTGGTGTGCTCCTGTAATCCTAGCTACTCAGGAGGCTGAGGCAGGAGAATCACATGAACCCGGGAGGCAGAAGTTGCAGCTAGCCGAGATAGCACCACTGCATGCCAGCCTGGGTGACAGTATGAGACTCCGTCCCAAAAGAAAAAAAGGAAAAAAGAAAAAAAAGGAAAGAAGGCTCTGTTGGAGCCTGGATAGGGGAAAATACACCAGAGAGGGACAGGGGTCAAAATAGGAAAGTCACATTGAACCGGAATTGGTAAGAGGTAGGAAAATCTTAAGTGTTCTGTTTTTCTGATTAATCCTCAGGGGTCACCACATTTTGAAAAATGAAAATAATAACTATATCAGATGACACTTGAAATAAAAATATAAGCAGGGCATGAAACACTGTCCTCAGCAAAAAACCTCAACAATTGGGAGGAAAAAAAACACCCAGGGCATGGAGGCCCCTGAGAACTCTCACATCTACAGGAGTCTGCAGCCTGTTCCAGGCACTGGGGTGCGACCAAGATCACAAAAGTCCCTGTCCTCACGGAGCTCATGCTGTCATGGGGAGGAAGACAGACATGCAAAGAGATCTAGAATGTGAGATCAGGTGTTGACAAGAACCCTGGAGGGAGCAGAGCAGGGAAAGGTCAAAAAGGAAAGACCCAGGTTCTCTGAAGGAGGTGTCAGGAAAGAAGTCTAAGGATGCCCTGATGTGAGCAGAACCTGAGGGCAGTGTGGAGGGGGCCGTGCGGACCCCTGGGGAAGAGGATTCCAAACAGAAAAATGCCAAAGTCAGGAGTGTTGAAGGAATGGGGGTCATGCTGCTGACCTTGACCTAGTAGGACAGTAGGACACACACAGAAACACACATGCCCCTTTTATATGTGTGTGTGTGTGTTTGTGTGTGTGTGTGTGTGTGTGTGTGTGTGTGTGTGTGTGTCTTCAAGGCTGAGGATTGAAGAGACCTTCTCAGGACCCAGGGGCCCATCTTTTCAACCCAACACATAGGTCTCAATATTGACTGATGCTCTCTCCACCTCCTAGCATCACTTTTAAACTTCTGGAACCCGCCCACCACAGCCCAAGTCACGATTGAAGCCCAGCCACCAAAAGTTTCCGAGGGGAAGGATGTTCTTCTACTTGTCCACAATTTGCCCCAGAATCTTACTGGCTACATCTGGTACAAAGGACAAATCAGGGACCTCTACCATTATGTTACATCATATATAGTAGACGGTCAAATAATTAAATATGGGCCTGCATACAGTGGACGAGAAACAGTATATTCCAATGCATCCCTGCTGATCCAGAATGTCACCCAGGAAGACACAGGATCCTACACTTTACACATCATAAAGCGAGGTGATGGGACTGGAGGAGTAACTGGACGTTTCACCTTCACCTTATACCGTGAGTGATTCCACATGGTCCCTGGGTGTTGGGGGGCAGGGGTCATTTCTACTTCACACACACAGAATTGTCAGGCCTGGACTGTGCCTGTGTCCCTCTCTGCATTATGTCCCATGCTGGGGTTTGGGCATTTATTGCAGGAAACACACAGAGGAGACAAATTTCAACAGATCAGAATTCCTTTCTCACATCCAGACCCTGCAGAAACTTGCTGCAGAGGAAGGACAGTCTGATGGGGGGACTCAGCAGGAGGAGATCAGTCTCAGCCAAGCACCTCATGCCCTCTTCATAAATTTGACCCTGAGAAAGACCCTGGAAAACTGAGTAGGGCTTGGCCTGAGGGGCCCCCTGAGACCCTCAGAGAAGCTCAGCCCTAGAAGCCTCAACCCCAGACCCCTGTCCCTAAATCCTTGCTCCAGATAAAGCTGAGGAGCCTGTGCCAGGACTGGGTTATGGTTTCTTGGGCAGGGCTTACTGGGACTAAGAATTTTCCAGCTGTCTGAGGACTGTGTCTCCTGCAGCTGTTCACCAGCCAGGGCTCAGCCCTCAGAGCCTCATCTGGGCAAGGACAGAGCTTTCTTCACCTGACACTCAGAGTGGAGAGGACAGAAAGACAAGCTTTGTAGGCCATCAGCCAACTGCCTTAGGAGGCCTAGGACACTCCATAGAAAGTCTAATATCCCCAGAAGCAGAAACAGAAGAGAGAAGATGTACCAGGTAGCAGCTTGTCCACAGGGATCTGACGTAAAGGTGCTTTCTCATGGAAGCAAATTAATAATAAATGCTGTTTGGTGAACATTTCCACAGTGCTACGCATTAGGTCAGGTGACTGTGAATAATTTAACATTTATTCACAGATAGCATGAAAAGCCACAGTCCATTTGCCATTTAGCTTATTTGATTGAGAGAAAACTGAGTCACAGGAAAGCACAGTCACTGAGCCAGAGTCACACAAACACAAAGGGGAGATCAGGGTCACATGAGGTCTGTCTGCAGCCACAGGCCCATCCTCTCCTCCACCAGAAGTGAGGGCTTACTGGGTTCCAAGCACCCCATACTCATTTATTGGCTCAAATCCTCTCTTCTTAGGCATCCAAACCTCAGAGGAGTGAGAGCAAGTGGTCACCTGATTAGTCTGCACTCCAGAACTAAATCAGCTGCCTCAACCATCAGAGTCAGTGCAAAAAAAATGTCCAGGTCTCCCCCTCAGATCTTAACACCCATCATTGAACCTGAAATCCTGTGTTTCCCAAAGTTCCCATGTCACTGTCATGAGAGGATCAAGGAGAGGACCTTGTTTTCTTTCCCCACTCACACCCTGCACCAGCACAGGCCCAGCCAGAGACACATACTCAGGAGCTCTCACATAACAAATAAAGGAATTGAATGCAGAAATGACTGATCCAAAACCTCTTTAGAGACTGGATCTTGGATGCAGAATCCCAGGAGTTTCTAGCCACACCTGTCCCTTGTCCTTCGGAGGCTGACACCCATGTTTCATCACCCCACTACCTCTTGCCCCTAAAGCCACCCCACCTCATGTAACTCTGAAGCTCTTTGGCCACGGAGGGTTCTCAGGGCTCCTTGGTCCTGGACTGTGGAAATGGGGGCACCTTGTCCCTGGGGTCACTGAAGTCAGTGTAGCCCTCACTGCTCACTGCCATGGTGTCTCTGCCTCTCTCTGCTTCTCTGTGTCCCTCATCTTCCTCCCACTTCATTCTGACTGGCAAGCCCTGTCCTGCACAGCTTCTTCCTCCACTGCTAGGCCTTCCGCAGACACTCCCTCTAACTAGGCTGACTGTTCTGTTCCCTTCCCGCTAACACTGTGGCCTGGCCCACCTCCCAGGAAATAGGAAAGGTGCAGAAATCACCTGGAGTTGCCACTCCTGCCAGGCTTCATCTCGAGCCAATGACCCCAGGTCACTAAGAGAATGAGCTTCCACTGTATTTCCATCCAGGGCTCTTTCACTTTGTGAGGCTGACCTGTGGACAAGACCATGGGACAGGGATAGGCAGTTCCTCCATCCACTCTTATAATTGCCAGACAAGTTCTTCTGGCCTCCTGCACACATACATACACCAAAAAAAAAAAAAAATATATATATATATATATATATATATATATATATATATATATTGAAATGGTGATTTGTAGTAAAGAATGATTTTAATGACTCCAAGTCTGCCAAACAGGAGGACAGAGGTTTATTATTACTCAAATCAGCCTCCCCAGTGGATCAGGGGTTAGAGATTTTCAAGGATAGTTTCAGGGGCACAGGACTAAAAAATGAGTACTGCTGATTGTTTGGTGATGGAATCATGTGGGCAGAGGGAAATGATCTGTTAGTGCTTGAATCTGCCTCTAGGTAGGGACCACATGACTGGCTGAGCCATTAGTCATAGGTATAGATGAGGTCAGCCGGTTGCCAGAATGCAAAAGAATGAGAAACATCTCAAAAGACCAATCTCACGTTCTACAATAGTGATGTTATCTATAGGAGCAATTAGTTACAAATTTTGTAAACTCTTGCCAAATGACACTGGAGCAGTCAGGGATTATAGAAACTGTGCCAACATTTTAGCAGAATTCAGTTCCCTCTTATAATCTAAATCTCATGGTCTTTCACTAGTTTTACCAAGGCAGTCCCTGGGCAAAGTAAGGGTGTTAGTTTTATGGAGGAACTATCATCATTCTTGCTTCAAAGTTAAACCATAAACCAAATTCTTCCCAAGGATAGCCTGGCCTATGTCCAGGAATGAGTGAGGACAGCCAGCCTGAGACTAGATGCCAGATGGAGTCAGCCACGCTAGTTTGCTGTCACTGTTGTAATCTTTGCACGGACTCATCAGGGTGTCAGAGGCTGGAAGGGCCTGCAGTTCCCAAAGCCCATGGGCTCATTTCACCCATTTCACTCGTGACTCCATTCTCAACCTGCTATGGAGCTCACATTCTTTTGTCACTTCCTAGAGACTTCTGGCTTTCTGTCAGGCATATAACAAGCTTGGAATTTGTCACTCGGTTCTAACACTAAGTAAAACGCTGAACAAACTCAAAAGTCAACAACTCGTTAAAATCCCTCAGAGATGGCTGGGCACAGTGGCTCACACCTATACTCCCAGGACTTTGGGAGGCCGAGGCAGGCACAAGGTCAGGAGATACAGACCATCCTGGCTAACATGGTGAAACCCCGTCTCTACTAAAAATACAAAAAATTAGTGGGACGTGGTGGTGGGCACCTGTAGTCCCAGCTACTCGGGAGGCTGAGGCAGGAGAATGGAGTGAAACCGGGAGGCGGAGCTTGCAGTGAGCTGAGATCATGCCACTGCACTCCAGCCTGGGTGACAAAGAGAGACTCTGTCTCAGAAAAAAAAAATGCTGTTTGAGAAATGAAGAATGCTTTTGATGCTTACTGGTAGACTGCACACAGCTGTGGAAAGAATACCTAGCTTGAGAATGTGTCAATAGAAACTTCCAAAACTGAAACAGGAAAGTTCAAAAAGAGTGGGGGAAAAAAAGTGGAACAACATTTCAACTTCATATTTAGTATTTTGTTTTGACAATAGCAATTTTTAAATTTTGTAGTTGTGGGACAACTACAAAGGCTGTAACATACCCTTAATGGGAATACAGGTGGTTTGGGGACCAGATCGAGGTGGCCAGGTAGGTGCTATCTCATGGTTTTACTGCCTGTGCCACATACAACTGTTTCCTCATGATGATGCCGTTTTCATAAGTTGGAGTTCTTCGTGTGGGGAGACACACGAGCCATTGCCATCTCACTTAGCCTCTTACTAATTCACACAAACTTAAACTCTAGTGGTGTTTCCTGAGCTTAAGAGAAAATGAAGAAAGCATTTCACATACCTGTTTTGGGGTCCTCCGCATTTTTCCTAACTCTGCCCAGAAATTATAAGCAGGCAGTTCTTTCTATATTTACTAACATAACACTCATCACTTCTTTTAATTTGGCATCCTTCCTCTCTTTATGTAATTGATGCACTGACCAGTTCTGTCCTTTTAACGGGACTCTCTCTACTTAAGGAGCTGCTAATTCAAATCACCTTTGGCATCTTTCTTTGAGCATAATGTGATCCTGCTGGAATTCACGGCACACCTAAACCTCATTTTCGTCTCAAGAGAAATACTACTACCAGCAATTGATCTTAGATGTTTGGACCATCAGTAAAAATTTCCACTAATGAAAACATTTTAATGTTTCCTCCAAATTTTTCTTTTGTTATTAGAGTCAGAACATAACCTGAGGTCTAAACTCCTGACAACATTTTATGGGAAAATTACAGTATTACGAATTGAGCATCCCAAATCCAGAAATCCACAATCTGAAATGCTCAAAACTCAACCCTTCTGACCACTGATGTGATGCTAAAAAGAAGTGCTCACTGGCGCATTGTGGATTTTAAATTTTTCAGATTTGGGATGCTAAACCAGTACATGTACTGCAAATATTCCAAAATAAAAAAATTAGAAATTGAAAACACTTTGTTTTAACCTTTCTGCATAAGGAGCACTTTATCTGTATGAACTATAGGCATGAGGCTGTACAGGAGATCTCTAGAACCCCCTCATCCTGCATAACTGAAACCACACACCCACGGAACAGTGCCCTATTCCCCTAATCCCAGCTCCTGGAAACTACTATTCTACTCTCTGATTCACTCTGGAATCCACTGATATGAGGTACATAGAGTAGTCAAACTCAGAATCAGAGGGTAGAATGTCTAATGAGAGAAAGTATCTGCAAGACTTCTTCCCAAATATTGGTCTAATATCCACCAAACACATATGGTCCATGAGGACCAGACTTCCATCATCAGTTCATGTTCACCCTTTCCACCAGTCAGTTCTGTATTTGCAAACATCAACATGTATTTCTAGAAAGATCCACATGGTCCTCACCTGCCCTCTACAGGGGAAAGGGAGCATCATGGACCCAGAACAGGGAACATGGTCTTGGGCCAAACCTATCAGCTCTTGCCTGTCCCCTTCACTCTTTGTAGGTCATTCCTTGGACTCTGCTCTATCTTTAGAGGTCACTGGCTCAAGTCAGTCACTATGAGACACCTGGGAAAACTGCGCCACCTTGTGGCTGCACTGCCTGATGACTGAACTGACCTCCAGGCTTGACTCTGGTCTCCCCTGTGTTATTTCTGCTGAAGTACCCAGTCCCAGGCCAGGCTTTCCAGTACCCAAAGGGTTTAAGGACAATGGGAAGTTCCATCATCCATCTCTAGGATGTCCTTGGAAAGGGAAGCTGAAGAGAAAACATACCACAGGGGGCAAAGTAAGATTGAAACTAAGAAGATTCCAGCACTGAATGCTCCAAGTGAGGACCACAAGGTGGGCCAGGCAGGCAGTTGGAGATGGAGGGACTCAGAGAGGCACCAGAAGCTGTGACTGCTGGTCCTGTGTCTTTCCATGACCCAATGCTGCTGCTCAATTCACACTTGAGAAAGTCCATGCTTCTCCCACATAAAGCAGGCAGCCTCACAATCTCTGAGCCCTCAGATTGCCATGCATCTGTCTTGTAACACACACACCTGCCATGGGCTTTTAAGGACTTGGGTGGGCTGAGAGGTTGGAAATGCCAACTCTGATTGAAAAATGCCTTTGGAGGAGTCAAAGGTGCCACACAGGGCAATCTTCTCTCTGTTTTCCGCACAGTGGAGACTCCCAAACCCTCCATCTCCAGCAGCAATTTCAACCCCAGGGAGGCCACGGAGGCTGTGATTTTAACCTGTGATCCTGAGACTCCAGATGCAAGCTACCTGTGGTGGATGAATGGTCAGAGCCTCCCTATGACTCACAGCTTGCAGCTGTCTGAAACCAACAGGACCCTCTACCTATTTGGTGTCACAAACTATACTGCAGGACCCTATGAATGTGAAATACGGAACCCAGTGAGTGCCAGCCGCAGTGACCCAGTCACCCTGAATCTCCTCCGTGAGTATCTTCTGTTCCTCTGTTAGCCAGGCTGCCATCCCAAATACACATGGCCAGAGGCCGGGCTTCTCAGTCCCTCTCAGGTCCAAGTATGTAGACCTTTACCCCTGGACATCAAAGCTGGTGGTGACTTCCTGCCCCAGGCAAACCAGAGTAGGCCTAGGCTTGATCCACAATAAGAGAAAAGAGGCTGCTCCTGTCATGGGAGACTCAGGGTCCACAGCTTGTGATGGAAGAAACAGGTGAATGTCTCAGGCTCCAGATCATGAACACAGCGGGGATTTGGCTGGGACTTCAGTGTTGCGACTTGACTCACAGGGTCACTGTGGCCCTTCCACAGACCAGGATTTTACCTTCCCTCTGACAATATCACCTGTGACATTATTCTCTTTGCTCCACATGGCCTGGATGCCCCCACCATTTTTTCCTCATACACCTATTACCATACAAGAGAAGTCCCCAAGCTCCCCTGCCTCACAGATTCTCATCCACTGGCCGAGCATTCTTGGCTGATTGATGGGAAGTTCCAGCAATCAGTACAAGTGTTCTTTATACCCCAATTCACTAAAACATATAGAGGGGTCTATGTCTCTTTCATCCATAACTCAGCCACTGGTGGAACAAATCTCATAATCAAGAGGATCATAGTCCCTGGTAAGTGGATCCCTGGAGCATTGGCAATATGTTTTCCAGGGAAGTCTATCTGGCTATCAGGGAAGAGCCACCTGCCCTCTGCAGAGGGAGAGGGAAAATCAAAACTCAGGAAAGGGAATATATTTCTGCTCCAAAACCACCAGGTTTTGCCTGTACCCTTCACTCTTTCTAGATCATTCTTCAGACTATACACTAACAATGAACAATCTGAAAAGAAATTAAGAAAATAATTTCAATTCACATTAACATCAAAAGGAATAAAATATTTTGGAATAAGTTTAACCAAAAAGGTCAAATGATTATACCCTGAAAACTACAAACCTTCCTGAAACAAATTAAAGATGATATCAATATATGGAAACACATTTCATTTTCATGGATTGGAAGAATCAATATTGTTAGAAAGAAAATACTACGCAAAGTGAGTTGCAGATTCAATGCAACCCCTACCAGCATCCCAGTAACATTTTTTGCAGAATTAGAAAACTCTGTCCTAAATCTGAGCTGACAGGCTCTTCTTAATGACTGCCACAACAAAAACACTGAGAAAAAGATGCAACCATGAAAAGGTGGAAAGTTCTCATGACATAGAAAATAGCAATCAGCCTTTCTCACATGCCAAGGCATTCAAAAATATACAAGTGCAGCATGGCCAGTATGGAATTCACCGAAAACTAATCACCAAGCTAGAAACGTGGTGAGAGAAAAAAAAGGGCAAGAATATCTTTGGCTTATCACCTCCCACTTATGCCTACTAATCTGATGCTGAAAAGAAATGCTCACTGAAGCATCTTAGACTTTGAATCTATCAGATTTGGGATGCTTAACCAGTAAGTATATGACAAATATTTCAGAATCAAAAAATGAAAGAAATGCAAAACACTTTTTGTCCTAAGTTGTAGGCATAAGAAATACTCCATCTTTGTGAACTATAGGCATCAAGCTCTACAGCAGATCTCTAGAAACTCCCCATCTTGCATAAAAGAAACTGCCCACCCATGAACAACTTCTGATTCTCCCCACTCCCAGCTCCTGGCAACCAGCAGTCTCTTCTCATATTCACTCTGGAATCCACTTACATGAGGTCCCTAGAGTAGTCAACCCCAAGGAATCAGAGAGTAGAATGTCCAGTGAAAGAAAATATTTGCAAAACTTCTCTCCAAATTTGTCTTATATCCATCAAACACACATGGTCCATGAGGACCAGATTTCCAGCAGTTCATTCCCACACTTTCCACCAGTCAGTTCTGCATTTGCAAATGTCCACATGTATTTCTGGAAAGATCCACATGGTCCTCACCTGCCCTCTGCAGAAGGAGAGGAAACTTAAAGAACCCAGGACAGGGAACATGCTTCTGCTCCAAAACCACCAGCTCTTGCTTGTCCCCTTCACTCTTTCTAGATCATTCCTTGCACTCTGCTCTATCTTTAGAGGTCACTGGTTCAAGTAAGTCATCATGAAACACCTGCAAAAAACTGCCCCACCTTGAGCCTCCACTGCCTGATGACTGAACTGACCTCCAGGCTTGACTATGGTCTCCCCTGTGTTATTTCTGCTGAAACATCCAGTCCCAGGCCAGGCTGCTCAGTATCTGCAGGGTTTCAGGACAATGGGAAGTCCCATTATTACTCATCTCTAGAATGTCCTTGGAAATGGAAGTTGCAGAGAAATCACATCTAGGGGGGCAAAGTAGGATGCAATTTGGAAAGGGCCCAGCAGTTGCACATTCCAGGTAATGAACCCAGGGTGAGCCAGCCAGTCAACTCATTAGTGAGGGACTGGGAGGGGTACCAGGCGCTGTGACTCCCACTGACATGTCTGTCCATGACCCAGCACTGCTGCTCAATTGACACTTGAGAAAGTCTATGCTTCCCTAAGACTGAGCAGGTGGCCTCACAGTCTTTGAGCCCTTAGATCATCATGCATCTACCTTGTGACACACACACCAGCTATTGGCTTTCAAGGACTCACACGTGTTGACAGGTGGGAGATGCCAACTCTAATTGAAGGATGCCTGTGGAGGAATCAAAGGTGCCACACAGGACAATCTTCTCTCTGTTATTCACACAGCGAAGCTGCCCAAGCCCTACATCACCATCAATAACTTAAACCCCAGGGAGAATAAGGATGTCTCAACCTTCACCTGTGAACCTAAGAGTGAGAACTACACCTACATTTGGTGGCTAAATGGTCAGAGCCTCCCGGTCAGTCCCAGGGTAAAGCGACGCATTGAAAACAGGATCCTCATTCTACCCAGTGTCACGAGAAATGAAACAGGACCCTATCAATGTGAAATACGGGACCGATATGGTGGCATCCGCAGTGACCCAGTCACCCTGAATGTCCTCTGTGAGTATCCTTGAGTATCCTTTCTTCCTCTGTGGGCCAGGACACCAGCTTAACTCCAAACGACCAGAGGCCAGTCCTCTCAGTCTCTCTCCGGTCCAAGTATAGACATATTTACTTCTGGACATCCGAGCTGGCCATGACTCCCTGCCCTGGGAAAACCTGGGTAGGCACAGCCTTAACCAAGAATATAAGGGGAGTGGACGCTCTTGTCATGGGAGACTTGGGGCCCACAGCTTGTGATGGGAGAAACAGGTGAATACCTCAGGCTTCGGCTCAGTGAACATAGAGGGGATTTGGCTGTCACTTGAGGGTGTGTCTCGGCTCAGAGGGTCACTCTGTCCCTTTAAGAGACCAGGAGCATCCCCTTCCCTCGGATAACATCACCTGTGGCTTTATTCTCTTTCCTCCAGATGGTCCAGACCTCCCCAGAATTTACCCTTCATTCACCTATTACCATTCAGGACAAAACCTCTACTTGTCCTGCTTTGCGGACTCTAACCCACCGGCACAGTATTCTTGGACAATTAATGGGAAGTTTCAGCTATCAGGACAAAAGCTTTCTATCCCCCAGATTACTACAAAGCATAGCGGGCTCTATGCTTGCTCTGTTCGTAACTCAGCCACTGGCAAGGAAAGCTCCAAATCCGTGACAGTCAGAGTCTCTGGTAAGTGGATCCCAGCATCCTTGGCAATAGGGTTTTAGGTGCAGTCTATCTGACTTTCAGAGAAAAGTCAGGAAAACATTTGTATTCCCAGCCTGTGTCCCATGGGCACAAGCAAATCCCAAATTTTCCTCCTGAACCCTCCAAATTTGTCTAAGAACTTCGAAAACTTTAACAAACAGGCTGATATCTTCATAACATTCCCAGCCTAGACCAAGCAGGAAAAACATTGATTTCATTGAAATAATTGATAATAATGAGGATAATGTTTTTATGATTTTTATTTGAAAATATGCTGATTCTTTATGTGGATAGTTTTCTAGATTTATGGAAATTTGTCTTTTAATCTATCTCTAGCTTATAGTGGTTCAATAAACTATACTTCTGGGAATGATAATTGAAATATTTACTTTTGCTCTCTACCTGAATGCCCCAGAATTGGGCAACTATTCATGAGTATTGATATGTTTATGGTAATACAGATATTTGCACAAACAGAGTAACAACCTGCTCTCTTTGTAACAGGACACATTTCAAATCATTGGTTATATTACCAAGGCTTTGACTGGGATGTTATATTTAAGAATATAGCTAGAATGAACCAGTATGAACTGCAGGCAAACTCTGAAGTCAGCCTTGGTTTGGCTTCCTATTCTCAAGAGTTTTGTAAAGGTTTAATCTGAGATTCCTTATAAAAACTTACAGCAAAGAAAATTTTAAAAGAGAGCCTACATAGTCCATTGCTACTCTTGCTGCACTTATGTAAACAATCAGACCAAGTTTGAAGAAACTCAACCTATTTTGCAAACAAACTTATTCTACTGAAATTATCATTGGTAAAACTAGAGATGCCCATAGAGAGAAAAATTATGTGGAAAATAAAACCGTAGTACACCTGTTATGAGATTGCAGCTCTGTTCATTGTTTCTGTGTTTTTATTATCCACTGTAGACTGGACATTACCCTGAATTCTACTAGTTCCTCCAATTCCATCTTCTCCCATGGAACCTCAAAGAGCAAGACCCACTCTGTTCCAGAAGCCCTATAAGTCAGAGTTGGACAACTCAATGTAAATTTCATGGGAAAATCCTTGTACCTGATGTCTGAGCCACTCAGAACTCACCAAAATGTTCAACACCATAACAACAGCTGCTCAAACTGTAAACAAGGAAAACAAGTTGATGACTTCACACTGTGGACAGCTTTTCCCAAGATGTCAGAATAAGACTCCCCATCATGATGAGGCTCTCACCCCTCTTAGCTGTCCTTGCTTGTGCCTGCCTCTTTCACTTGGCAGGATAATGCAGTCATTAGAATTTCACATGTAGTATAGGAGCTTCTGAGGGTAACAACAGAGTGTCAGATATGTCATCTCAACCTCAGACTTTTACATAACATCTCAGGAGGAAATGTGGCTCTCTCCATCTTGCATACAGGGCTCCCAATAGAAATGAACACAGAGATATTGCCTGTGTGTTTGCAGAGAAGATGGTTTCTATAAAGAGTAGGAAAGCTGAAATTATAGTAGACTCCCCTTTAAATGCACATTGTGTGGATGGCTCTCACCATTTCCTAAGAGATACATTGTAAAACGTGACAGTAAGACTGATTCTAGCAGAATAAAACATGTACTACATTTGCTAATACTGTTCTCTTAAAACAATTTTAAAAGAATGGGGTGGGCCCTCCCATGTGTCCAGGCCTGGTCTCTGAACAGAATCCTCCATCTGCAGTAACAATGCCTCAGAAGATGACATGGACTTGGTCCTGATATGCAGCCATTCCTGTATACCCTTCCCCTGCTTCAGGGTCGTACAAGCCCAGGGCCCAAATCTTCAGCTGCAGAGCTGAGAGAGAACATGGGATACCCAGCATCCCTTACCTTCTTCCAGTCCACTGCAGTGGCTACTGGCATGGCCCATGTACCCCTGAGGACACCCATCTGCTGACACACAGTTTCTAAGAGTCAGACATTCCTGGCTTCTATGAACCCCAGCTACTTTCACTCTGCTGAAACCTTCTACTCCGTACAGGAGTCATTGACTTAACAGACTCCTCTTTCAGTTGCAGCTAATAGGTAAGCCAAGACCCAGACCCCAGAGGATAAACAAGGATTTCAAAACCTACTGTGTCCAATGGAGATGCCCACTTGTGGGCGGCAAGCCACCCAGGTGCTGAGGCAAGAGACTCAGGGCATGAGCTGTTCCAGTATCATAAAATATAAAAGAAGAATAGTTATACCAGGTACAGATCTTAGATATGATTATATATGAATATCATTAATTGTTAGTTGGTAGCAATTACTCTTTATTCCAATATTATAATAATCCTCGCTTTATAATCATAACCTAGGAAAGGCCAGGCCATACAGAGATAGGAGCTGAGGAGACATAGTGAGAAGTGACCAGAAGACAAGAGTGCAAGGCTTCTGTTATGCCCAGACAGGGCCACTAGAGGGCTCCTCGGCCTAGCGGTAACACCAGCGTCTGGGAAGACACCCTTTGCCAAGTGGACCGTGGTCTAGTGGTAGCCTCAGTGTCAAGGAAAAACACCCACTACTTAGCCGACCGGAAAGGGAGTCTCCCTTTCCCCGGCGGAGTTTAGAGAAGACTCTACTCCTCCACCTCTTGTGGAGGGCCTGACATTAGTCAGGTCCACCCACAGTTATCCAGAGGCCTAACCGTCTCCCTGTGATGCTGTGCTTCAGTGGTCACACTCTTAGTCCGCCCTCATGTTCCATACTGTACACGTGGTTCTGCCATTTAGTTAGCAGTAGCAAATTAGTGAAAGTACTAAAAGTCTCTAATAAGCAGAAATAATGCTGTAAGCTCTCTCTCTCATTCTCCTCCCTCTCTCTGCCTCACCTGCCAGGCAGGGAAGGGCCCCCTGTCCAGTGGACATGTGACACAGGTGGCATTTCCTATCATTGAAGATGGCACACATTCCTTATCCTGCCCCTTTGTCTTCTATCCAATAAATATCAGTGCAGCCTGGCATTCAGGGCCACTACCGGTCTCCGCATCTTGGTGGTAGTGGTCCCCCAGGCCCAGTTGTCTTTTCTTTTATCTCTTAGTCTTGTGTCTTTATTTCCACAATCTCTCATCTCCACACACAGGGAGAAAAACCCAACGACCCTGTGGGGCTGCTCCCTACACCCACTGTACAGAGACATAAAGAAGTTGAGATGTATACAACTCCCCCAACAACACTGTATCCCAAAACAATGTCCTCTCTGCCCCTCATCGTGGAATTCACTGTCTCTCACCACATGGGCAAGTGCTTCCAGGGTCTCATAATTCTTCCACAAGAGGCAATGCACACTTTAACATAGCACTTCAGCAAATAAAGTGGTGACAGTTTACCTACTTAGATAAAGTTTCTTAAAAGCTTCTCCCAAATTTCCCCCTGAAGAAGAGAGAAAAGGCTTTCCCAATTGTGAAACATTGGCCTCCCCACCTTTCAAAAAAGTACCCCTGAGTAGCTAAAACAATCTTGCCAAAATAAATTGTAGGACTTGAACTTTCTTATTTGAAATCTCACAAAAGAGTACAATTATTAAAATGGAAGCTGCTGCCAAAGAATAGACATAAGCTGCTGGCAAAAGAATAGACATAAAGACAAATGGGATAGAATTAAGAATCTAGAAATAAACCCTCAAACTTATGGTCAATTACTCCTTGAAGAGGGTGTCAAGACAATTTAATGGATGAACAATTCTCCTTTCAAATCATAGTACAGAAACAACTAGATAACCACATGCAAAACAGTGAATTTAGATAACTCTGCCTCCCACCATATCAAACAATTCTCTAAAAAATTGATGAGTGAGTAAAATATAAGACCTATAACCATAAAAACATCTTAAACTAGACATAGAGGTAAATATTGATGAACTCAAATGTGTAATGGATTCTTAGATATGATACAAAAGCATGAGAAACAAGAAAAACAAGATATGTTGGGCTTTATCAAGATGTGAGCCTTTTGTACATCAAAGGAAATTATCAAGAAAATAATTAATAGAAAAGAATGAAAGAAAATATTTGCAAACCACATATAGGCAGTTTTCATATCCAGTTAATATAAAGAACTAGCTAAAACTCAATAACAAAAGGACAAACCATCCAATTTATAAATGGGCAAAAGACTCATATAGACATTTCTTCAAAGAAGATATACAAATAGTCAAGAAGGACATGAAAAGATACTCAACATCTATAGTCATTAGGAAAATACAAAGTCAAAGCTGCAATGAGACACCACATCACACCTACAAAACTGGCTACCATTCTTTTAAAATGTTAAACAACAAGTAGCAGCATTATGTAGAATTTGGAATCCTCATACATGGCTGGTGAGAATATGAAAAGGTACAGCCACTTGGAGAAAGAGTTTTGCTGTTCCTCAAAAAGCTAATCATAGAATTCTCATTTGAAACAACAGGCATTCCTAGGTACATACCCAAAGAATTAAATCCAGGGCCTCAAACAGGTACTTGCATGGGAATGTTCATTGCAGCATTATTCACAAAAGATAAAATATGAAAATAATCCAAGTGTTCATCAACACATGAATAAACAAATATGGTGACACATACAACAGATTGTTAACCTGCCATAAAGAGGAATGAAGCTCTGACACCCACTGGAACATGCATGGACTTGGGAAACATTATGCTAAGTGAAATATGTCAGAAACAAAATAACATAATTGTATAATTCCATTTATATGAAACATCAAGAATAGGCAAATTCATAGAGAGAGAGTGGAGATGATCAAGGTCTAGGGTGGAACATACAGGGAGGTATTGTTTAAAAGTGACAAAGTTTCAGTTTAAAATGATAAAAATTTTCTAGGAAAAATAGTGGTGATGGTAATTTAACATGGTGTATGTGGTTAATTTCACTTGATTGTGCATTTTAAAGTGGTTAAAATAGCACATTATTCACAGAACTGTGAAAAATAGATTTCTATTATTTAATTCACCCAGGCTAAGGTTATGTTATGGCAGGTGAAGCCCATGAATACATCACCTGACCCAGTGTTCCAATGAAAGGCATCAGGTTTTCAATCAAGTTAGCTGGAAGCTCCTGTCCCCAGGAGAACCAGAGGCCCCAAAACAAGAGCTCCAGCAGAAGCTCAACCAGCACAAGTCCCATAGGGCAGCCTCAATGTCAGGCCCTGGATGGCATGTGAGGCTATAATGATATAACAAGAACGTGAAAATATAAGTATTTTTACTACTTACAGACACTAGGGAGCACTCAGCACACCTGGAGGCCACAGACACAGAGGTCAGTGAGCCCAGGCAGGGAGGAGAGAAGAGACCGGTAAGCCAATGCCTTTATTAAGTCCAGGGTGTTATCTGACAGGTTTCCAGCAGGGAGCTTTAATGGATGTGTTCAAAGCAAGCAGCAAACACTGGGACCAGGAGCTCAAGCTGTGACTGAGAGGTGGTCACTTTAAATGTGAGGGCAAATGTCAGAATTATCAGTTTAAAGAAAGCAGCTGGAGAGAGGTGAGCCCAGCACACCAAGCAGGAGAGATACCTCTAAGATTTTATCTCTGGCCACCAACTGGAGCCACTTGAACCAGATACAGTATTGAAAACTGCCATGGTGACCAAGCCCTGCCTCTGATTTGAGGCAAATAAACTTACACCTTAAAAAATGAATGCCAAGGCAACATGACACTATGAGCATCATGACATCCAGGGACACAAGCAGGGTGTGGTACTGTGCCCTGGAGTCAGAATCCTGGGATTGGTCCCTGGGAGTGAGAAAATGAAAATGACTTGTCCCTGCCCCTCTGACATTGATCTTCCCACGCTGCTGCTCCCTCTTCTGCTCCCAAGCCCACGTGCACTGCTCAGCCCCAGACATCACTGCTCCCAGGGTATACACAGTGCCACCTACTGCACACAAACACAAACTCACAAAGGTGACAAAAATCTGCCTTTGGGACATCTGACTGTGAAAGAGGGAGAACAGTGAACGTACAGCCACAAAGACTGGGTCTCACGGGGCTGGAAGGTGAAGGAGCTGTAACATAACATACGTGTTACCTCGTGTGAAGTGTGCAGATCCACGTGGAATAAAACATGCAGCCTGGCCTGGGATTGCTGCCGTTCACACTTCCCTCCCTGTCCACCAGAGGGTGACCGAGTCCCTCCCAGCCTGGAGCCTTCCCAGGGGAAGCCAACCTCCCTCAGCGGAACCCACAGCCCAGCAGTGTCCACCCTCACCAGGGTCACTTCGGCCTAAGTCCTCAGCGCCCTCCATGCTCCCCACACGGACTCTGTCAGCTCCTCCCTGACCTGGGGGCCACCAACCTAACACCACGCCCTCTGCAGGTAGCTCCTGCCCCACACACCTGCTCCTTCCCTGGGCCCAGCTAAAGGCATCTCCCAGGGCAGCGCTGGTGCACGCGATGCCACACTGGGCGCTTTCCCCTCGTGACCTCCCTCCATCCTCATCAACTCTTTCTGTCACCGCTCCCTAAATGCCCGCCCCTGCTCCATCTGTCCTGTTCCCTGGGGCATCCCAGGCCAAGCTTAGCGCTGACACAGAATAGCGGCTGCCTGAGGGCCCACAGCCTCACCGGGAATCAGCCAGGCACCCTGTGACCTGCCTGCACGCTGCACCCCACGGGGCTCAGAGCGCGTGTGATGGTCACACACAGGCACCATCCGAGGTGTGGCCACCTATCCCCAGCTGTCCCTTGGGAAGACAGACCTCTCCTGTGTGCTTGCGGGGAGAAGGGGGATGTTATTGCTCTTTGCTCCCAGAACACAACTCACCCCCCACCCGCCCGCTCAGGTGTGAGCAACGTCCCTCCAGACAGGATCTCTGGCCACTGCCTGTTCCTCCTCTACACACAGCAGCTTGGCCAGGTCAAAAACCCTCAGGACAGACCCCTGGGTATGTCAACACATGAAAGGCTCTGCCCAACATTGCCACGGAGTTGGTCGGGATGAATCTCTCCAGCTCTGAAACTCTGCTCCGACCCAGGCTCCCCCTCCTGCGTCTCAACGAGCCATGTCCCACCGGGTTCCTGTTTAACTCCTCACTTCCTTCTGCACCACCACGGAGAAGCTGTGGTGACCACAGGACAATCAGCTGGGCAGAGAAGAGAGGACATCAAAGATGGTCAGGAAGAACATGAGAAACCATGAGCTCCAGCTCAGCCACCGGACCCCACGGAGTCATACAGTGACCGAGAACTTTCCCTTTGACTATGGGACTCACAGCCACCACTGAGCAACAGGCACAGGCCTCTCCTCCCAAGAGGCATGAGAGATTCACCCTGCACACCTCCAGGAAGGACAGTTTCCTCTGGGACACCCAGGTCCTGAATGACCATCCTTGGAAGCTGCAGCCAAGCTAGACACGATTAGAAAAAGGAAGGGTCCCTCTCACCAGGCAACACACAGCTCACCCACAGCACAATGGGACATCACTGTGAAAGGGACCTGGTGCAGCTCCAGCCTCCTGCACTGAAGGGGAGAGCCAGATGGGGATGAAAGAGGGCAAATGGCATGAATGTGCACCCCGACCCAGAGCCATGGGGACAGCAGGAGGCTGAGGCCCAGGACTGTCCTCGCCCAACCTGCAGGGTATGTGTGTCACTGTGTGGGTCTGTGTGTGTGTGTGTGTGTGTGTGTGTGTGTGTCTGCACAAAGTGTGTGTTGAGGTTTGGTGAAAGAATCACTGCTGAAAAAGGCAGAGGCCTCCACAATTCCCAGGGACCTGAAACACAGACAAAAGGAAAAACAGAAGGAGGGACAAGGAGGCAGGACTGAGAGAGGAGGGGACAGAGAGGTGTCCTGGGCCTGACCCCGCCCATGAGCCTGAGAAGTGCTTCTGCCCTGGGAAGAGGCTCAGCACAGAAGGAGGAAGGACAGCACACCTGACAGCCCTGCTCAGGAAGTCTCTGGATCCTAGGCTCATCTCCACAGGGGAGAACACACAGACAGCAGAGACCATGGGACCCCTCTCAGCCCCTCCCTGCACTCAGCACATCACCTGGAAGGGGCTCCTGCTCACAGGTGAGGAGAGGACTTCCTGGGAGAGGACAGGAGGAGGAAGCAGAGTGACTGGATGGGGTATCCTGGAGAGGATGGGGTTCTAAAAAATAAAAGAAGCCAGCACTTAGGGAGGCTGAGGTGGGTGGATCACGAGATCAGGAGTTCAAGATCAGTCTGGCCAACACAGTGTAGACGTGTCTCTACCAAAAAATACAAAAAATTAACCAAGTATGGTGGTGTGCTCCTGTAATCCCAGCTTTCGGGAGGCTGAGGCAGGATAATCACATGAACCCAGGAGGCAGAAGTTGCAGCTAGCCGAGACAGCACCACTGCACGCCAGCCTGGGTGACAGTACGAGACTCCATTTCAAAAAAAAAAAAAAAAAAGAATAAAAAGAAGAAAGAAAAAAAGGGAAAGAAGGCTCTGTTGGAGCCTGGATAGGGGAAAATACACCAGAGAGGGACAGGGGTCAAAATAGGAAAGTCACATTGAACCGGAATTGGTAAGAGGTAGTAAAATCTTAAGTGTTCTGTTTTCCTGATTAATCATCAGGGGCCACCACATTTTGAAAAATGATAATAATGACTATATCAGATGACACCTCAAATAAAAATGTAACCAGGGCATGAAACACTTTCCTCAGCAAAAAACCTCAACAATTGGGGGAAAAAAAACACCCAGGGCATGGAGGGCCCTGAGAACTCTCACATCTACAGGAGTCTGCATCCTGTTCCAGGCACTGGGGTGCAACCAACATGACAAAAGTCTCTGTCCTCACAGAGCTCACACTCTCATGGGGAGGAAGACAGACATGCAAAGAGATATAGAATGTGAGGTCAGGTGTTGACAAGAACCCTAGAGGGAGCAGAGCAGGGAAAGGTCAGAAAGGGAAGACCCAGGGTCTCTGAAGCAGGCATCAGGAAAGAAGTCTAAGGATGCCCTGATGTGAGCAGGACCTGAGGGCAGTGTGGAGGGGGCCGTGCGGACCCCTGGGGAAGAGGATTGCAAACAGAAAAATGCCAAGGTCAGGAGTGTTGAAGGAATGGGGGTCATGCTGCTGACCTTGACCTAGTAGGACAGTAGGACACACACACATACACACACACAAACACACATGCCCTTTTGTGTGTGTGTGTTTGTATGTGTGTGTGTGCATATCTTCAAGGCTGATGATTGAAGAGACCTTCTCAGGACACAGGGCCCCATCTTTTCACCCCAATACATAGGTCCAAATATTAACTGATGCTGTCTCTACCTCCTAGCATCACTTTTAAACTTCTGGAACCTGCCCACCACTGCCCAAGTAATAATTGAAGCCAAGCCACCCAAAGTTTCCGAGGGGAAGGATGTTCTTCTACTTGTCCACAATTTGCCCCAGAATCTTACTGGCTACATCTGGTACAAAGGGCAAATGACGGACCTCTACCATTACATTACATCATATGTAGTACACGGTCAAATTATATATGGGCCTGCCTACAGTGGACGAGAAACAGTATATTCCAATGCATCCCTGCTGATCCAGAATGTCACACAGGAGGATGCAGGATCCTACACCTTACACATCATAAAGCGAGGCGATGGGACTGGAGGAGTAACTGGATATTTCACTGTCACCTTATACTGTGAGTGATTCCGCATGATCCCTGGGTGTTGGGGGGCAGGGGTCATTTCTACTTCACACACACAGAATTGTCAGGCCTGGACTCTGCCTGTGTCACTCTCTGCATTATGTCCCATGCTGGGGTTTGGGCATTTAGTGCAGGACACACACAGAGGAGACACATTTCAACAGATCAGAATTCCTTTCCCGCATCCAGACCCTGCAGACACTCGCTGCAGAGGAAGGACAGTCTGATGGGGGGACTCAGCAGGAGGAGATCAGTCTCAGCCAAGCACCTCATGCCCTCTTCATAAATTTGACCCTGAGAAAGACCCTGGAAAACTGAGTAGGGCTTGGCCTGAGGGGCCCACTGAGATACCCTCAGAGAACCTCAGCTCTGGAAGCCTCAATCCCAGACCCCTGTCCCTAAATCCTTGCTCCAGGTAAAGCTGAGGAGCCTGTGCCAGGACTGGGTTGTGGCTTCTTTGGCAGGGCTTACTGGGACCAAGGATTTACCAGCTGTCTGAGGACTGTGTCTCCTGGAGCTGTTCACCAGCCAGGGCTCAGTCCTCAGAGCCTCATCTGGGCAAGGACAGAGCTTTCTTCACCTGACACTCAGAGTGGAGAGGACAGAAAGACAAGCTTTGTAGGCCATCAGCCAACTGCCTTAGGAGGCCTAGGACACTCCATAGAAAGTCTAATATCCCCAGAAGCAGAAACAGAAGAGAGAAGATGCACCAGGTAGCCGTTTGTCCACAGGGATCTGACGCAAAGGTGCTTTCTCATGGAAGCAAATTAATAATAAATGCTGTTTGTGTGAACACCTCCACTGTGCCAAGCATTAAGTCAGTTGACTGTGAATACTTTAACATTTATTCACAGATAGCATGAAAAGCCACAGTCCATTTGCCATTTAGCTCATTTGATTGAGAGAAAACTGAGGCACAGGAAGGCACAGTCACTGAGCCACAGTCACACAAACACAAAGGGGAGATCGGGGTCACATGAGGTCTGTCTGCAGCCACAGGCCCATCCTCTCCTCTACCAGAAGTGAGGGCTTACTGGGTTCCAAGGACCCCATAGTCATTTATTGACTCAAATCCTCTCTTCTTAGGCATCCAAACCTCAGAGGAGTGAGAGCAAATGGTCAGCTGATTAGTCTGTACTCCAGAACTAAATCACTGGCTTCAACCGCCAGAGTCAGTGCAAAAAAAATGTCCAGGTCTCCCCCTCAGATCTTAACCTCCATCACTGAATGTGAAATCCTGTGTTTCCCAAGTGTCCATGTCACCGTCATGAGAGGATCAAGGAGAGGACCTTGTTTTCTTTCCCCACTCACACCCTGCCTCAGCACAGGCCCAGTGAGAGAGACACACTCAGGAGCTCTCACATAACAAATGAAGGAATGGAATGAAGAAATGGATGATCCAAAACCTCTTTAGAGACTGGATCTTGGAATCAGAATCCTAGGAGGTTCTAGCCACACCTGTCCCTTGTCCTTCAGAGGCTGACACCCATGTTTCATCCCCCCACTACCTCTTGACCCTAAAGCCACCCCACCTCATGCAACTCTGAAGTTCTTTGGCCACCGGAGGGTTCTCAGGGCTCTTTGGTCCTGGACTGTGGAGCTGGGGGCACCTGGTCCCTGGGGTTTTTGAAGTCAGTGTCTCCCTCACTGCTCACTGCCATGGTGTCTCTGCCTCTCTCTGCTTCTCTGTGTCCCTCATCTTCCTCCCACTTCATTCTGACTGGCAAGCCCTGTCCTGCACAGCTTCTTCCTCCAACCCTAGGCCTTCCCCAGACACTCCCTCTAACTAGGCTGGCTGTTCTGTTCCCTTCCCGCTAACACTGTGGCCTGGCCCACCTCCCAGGAAATAGGAAAGGTGCAGAAATCACCTGGAGTTGCCACTCCTGCCAGGCTTCCTCTCGAGCCAATGTCCCCAGGTCACTAAGAGAAACCTTCCACTGTATTCCCATCCAGGGCTCTTTCCCTTTGTGAGGCTGACCTGTGGACAAGACCATGGGACAGGGATAGGCAGTTCCCCCATCCACCCTTGTAATTGCCAGACAAGTTCCTCTGGCCTCCTGCACACAAAAAAATATAAAATAAAATAAAATTTATTGAAATGGTGGTTTGCAGTAAAGAAAGATTTTAAGAACTCCAAGTCTGCCAAACAGGAGGGTGGAGGTTTATTATTACTCAAATCAGCCTCCCCAGTGGATCAGGTGTTAGAGATTTTCAAGGATAGTTTCAGGGGCACAGGACTAAAAAATGAGTACTGCTGATTGGTGATGGAATCATGCGGGCGGAGGGAAATGATCTGTTAGTGCTTGAATCTGCCTCTAGGTAGGGGCCACATGACTGGCTGAGCCATTAGGCATAGGTATGGATGAGGTCAGCCGGTTGTCAGAAGGCAAAAGAATGAGAAACATTTCAAAAGACCAATCTCACGTTCTACAATAGTGATGTTATCTATAGGAGCAATTATAGGAGCAATTAAGCCCATAGGCTCATTTCACCCATTTCACTAGTGACTCCATCCTCAACCTGCTATGGAGCTCACATTCTCCGGTCACTTTCTAGAGACTTCTGGCTTCCTGTCAGGCATAAAACAAGCTTGAAATTTGTCACTCGGTTCTAACACTAAGTAAAAAGCTGAACAAACTCAAAAGTCAACAACTCATTAAAATCCTTCAGAGATGGCTGGGCACAGTGGCTCACGCCTATAATCCCAGCACTTTGGGAGGCTGAGGCGGGCACAAGGTCAGGAGATAGAGACCATCCTGGCTAACATGGTGAAACCCCGTCTCTACTAAAAATACAAAAAATTAGCTGGGCATGGTGGTGGTCACCTGTAGTCCCAGCTACTTGGGAGGCCGAGGCAGGAGAATGGCATGAACCCAGGAGGTGGAGCTTGCAGTGAGCTGAGATCATGCCACTGCAGCTGGGGTGACAGAGCGAGACTCTGTCTCAGAAAAAAAAATGCTGTTAGAGAAATGAAGAATGCTTTTGATGCTTACTGATAGACCGCACAGAGCTGAGGAAAGAATCCCTAGCTTGAGAATGTGTCAATAGAAACTTCCAAAACTGAAACAGGAAAGCTCAAAAAGAGTGGGGAAAAAAAGCGGAACAACATATTCAACTTCATATTTAATATTTTGTTTTGACAATAGCAATTTTTAAATTTTGTAGTTGTGGGACAACTACAAAGGCTGTCACATACACTTAACGGGAATACTTGTGGTTTGGGGACCAGATGGAGGTGGCCAGGTAGGTCCTATCTCATGGTTTTACTGCCTGTGCCACATACAACTATTTCCTCATGATGATGCCGTTTTCATAAGTTGGAGTTCTTCGTGTGGGGAGACACAAGAGCCATTGGCATCTCACTTAGACTCTTCCTAATTCACACAAACTTAAATTTTAGTGGTGTTTCCTGACCTTAAGAGAAAATGAAGAAGACATTTCACATACCTGTTTTGGGGTCCTCCCCATGTTTTGTAACTCTGCACAGAAATTAGAAGCAGGTTCTTTCTATATTTACTAACATAACACACATCACTTCTTTTAATTTGGCATCCTTCCTCCTTTTATGTAATTGACACACTAACCAGTTCGGTCCTTTTAACAGGACTCTCTCTACTTAAGGAGTTGCTAATTTCAAATCACCTTTGGCATCTTTCTTTGAGCATAATGTGATCCTGCTGGAATTCATGGCACACCTAAACCTTATTTTGGTCTCAAGAGAAATATGACTACCAGCAATTGATCTTAGATGTTTGGACCATCAGTAAAAATTTCCACTTATGAAAACATTTTAAGGTTTCCTCCAAATTTTTTTTGTTACTAGAGTCAGAATATAACATGAGGTCTAAACTCCTGACAACTTTTTATGGGAAAATTACAGTATTACAAATTGAGCATCGGAAATCCAGAAATCCACAATCTGAAATGCTCAAAACTCAACACTTCTGACCACTGATGTGATGCTAAAAAGAAGTGCTCACTCGCGCATTGTGGATTTTAAATTTTTCAGATTTGGGATGCTAAACCAGTACATATACTGCAAATATTCCAAAATAAAAAAAATTAGAAATCCAAAACACTTTGTTTTAAGCTTTCTGCATAAGGAGCACTGTATCTGCATGAAGTATAGGCACGAGGCTGCACAGGAGATCTCTAGAACCTCCTCATCCTGCATAACAGAAACCGCACACCCACGGAACAACGCCCTATACCCGTGATTTCAGTTGCTGCAAACTACTATTCTAATCTCTGATTCCCTCTGGAATCCACTGATATGAGGTACATAGAGTAGTCAAACTCAGAATCAGAGAGTAGAATGTCTAATAAGAGAAAGTATCTGCAAGACTTCTTCCCAAATATTGGTCTAATATCCACCAAACACATAAGGTCCCTGAGGGCCAGACTTCTGTCATCTGTTCATGTTTGCCCTTTCCACCAGTCAGTTCTGCATTTGCAAACATCAACATGTATTTCTAGAAAGATCCATATGGTCCTCAACTGCCCTCTACAGGGGGAAGGGAGCATCATGGACCCAGAACAGGGATCATGGTCTTGGGCCAAACCTATCAGCTCTTGCCTGTCCCTTTCACTCTTTGTAGGTCATTCCTTGGACTCTGCTCTATCTTTAGAGTCATTGGCTCAACTCAGTCACTATGAGACACCTGGAAAACTGCCCCACCTTGTGGCTCCACTGCCTGATGACTGAACTGACCTCCAGGCCTGACTCTGGTCTCCCCTGTGTTATTTCTGCTGAAGTACCCAGTTCCAGGCCAGGCTTTCTAATACCCAAAGGGCTTAAGGACAATGGGAAGTTCCATCATCCATCTCTAGGATGTCCTTGGCAAGGGAAGCTGATGAGAAAACATACCTCAGGGGGCAAAGTGAGACTGAAACTAACAAGATTCCAGCACTGCATGCCCCAAGTAAGGACCAAAAGGTGGGCCAGGCAGGCAGTTGGAGACGGAGGGACTCAGAGAGGCACCAGGGGCTGTGACTGCTGGTCCTGTGTCTTTCCATGACCCAATGCTGCTGCTCAATTCACATTTGAGAAAGTCCATGCTTCTCCTACATAAAGCAGGCAGCCTCACAATCACTGAGCCCTCAGGTTGCCATGCATCTGTCTTGTAACACACACACCTGCCATGGGCTTTTAAGGACTTGGGTGGGCTGAGAGGTTGGAAATGCCAACTCTGATTGAAAAATGCCTTTGGAGGAATCAAAGGTGCCACACAGGGCAATCTTCTCTCTGTTTTCTGCACAGCGGAGACTCCCAAGCCCTCCATCTCCAGCAGCAACTTAAACCCCAGGGAGGTCATGGAGGCTGTGCGCTTAATCTGTGATCCTGAGACTCCGGATGCAAGCTACCTGTGGTTGCTGAATGGTCAGAACCTCCCTATGACTCACAGGTTGCAGCTGTCCAAAACCAACAGGACCCTCTATCTATTTGGTGTCACAAAGTATATTGCAGGACCCTATGAATGTGAAATACGGAACCCAGTGAGTGCCAGCCGCAGTGACCCAGTCACCCTGAATCTCCTCCGTGAGTATCTTCTGTTCCTCTGTGAGCCAGGCTGCCATCCCAAATACAAGTGGCCAGAGGCCAGGCCTCTCAGTCCCTCTCAGGTCCAAGTACAGAGACCTTTATCCCTGAACATCAAAGCTGGCCATGACTTTCTGCTCCAGGCAAACCAGAGTAGGCCTAGGCTTGATCAACAATAAGAGAGAAGAGGCTTCTCCTGTCATGGGAGACTCAGGTTCCACAGCTTGTGATGGAAGAAACAGGTGAATGTCTCAGGCTCCAGATCAGTGAACACAGCGGGGATTTGGCTGGGACTTCAGTGTTGCAACTTGGCTCACAGGGTCACTGTGACTGTGTCCCTTCCACAGACCAGGATTTTCCCTTCCCTCTGACAATATCGCCTGTGACATTATTCTCTTTGCTCCGCATGGCCTGGATGCTCCCACCGTTTCTTCCTCATACACCTATTACCATACAGGGGAAGTCCCCAAGCTCTCCTGCCTCACAGACTCTCACCCACTGGCAGAGCATTCTTGGCTGATTGATGGGAAGTTCCAGCAATCAGCACAAGTGTTCTTTATACCCCAAATCACTAAAACATATAGAGGGGTCTATGTCTGTTTCATCCATAACTCAGCCACTGGTGGAACAAATCTCATAATCAAGAGGATCATAGTCCCTGGTAAGTGGATCCCTGGAGCATTGGCACCATGTTTTCCAGTAAAGTCTATCTAGCTGTCAGGGAAGAGCCACCTGCTCTCTGCAAAGGGAGAGGGAAAATCAAAACCCAGGAAAGGGAATATGTTTCTGCTCCAAAACCACCAGCTTCTGCCTGTCCCCTTCACTCTTTCTAGATCATTCTTTAGACAATACACTAACAATGAACAATCTGAAAGGAAGTTAAGGAAAGAATTTCAATTCACATTAACATCAAAAGGAATAAAATATTTTGGAATAAGTTTAACCAAAAAGGTCAAATGATTATACCCTGAAAACTACAAAACATTGCTGAAAGAAATTAAAGACGATATCAATATATGGAAACACATTTCATTTTCATGGATTGGAAGAAGCAATATTGTTAGAAAGGCAATACTACCCAATTGAGTTGCAGATTCAATGCAACCCCTACCAGAATCCCAGTAACATTTTTTGCAGAATTTAGAAAACTCTGTCCTAAATCTGAGCTGACAGGCTCTTCTTAATGACTGCCACAACACAAACACTGAGAAAAAGAAGCAACCAGAAAAGGTGGAAAGTTCTGATGACATAGAAAATAGCAATCAGCCTTTCTCACATCCCAAAGCCTTCAAAAATATACGAGTGCAGCATGGCCACTATGGAATTCACCGAAAACTAATCACCAAGCTAGAAACATGGTGAGAGAAAAAAAAGGGCAAGAATATATCTGGCTTATCACCTCCCACTTTTGCCTACTAATCTGATGCTGAAAAGAAATGCTCACTGAAGCATTTTACATTTTGAATCTTTCAGATTTGGGATGCTAAACCAGTAAGTATATGACAAATATTTGAGAATCAAAAAATATCAGAAATCCAAAACACTTTTTGTCCTAAAACTTATGCATAAGAGATAATCTGTGTGAACTATAGGCATCAAGCTCTACAGCAGATCTCTAGAACCTCTCCAACTTGTATAACTGAAACTGCACACCCATGAACAACTTCTGATTCTCCCCACTCCCAGCTCCTGGCTTCCAGCAGCCTCGTCTCATATTCAATCTGGAATCAACTTACATGAGGTCCCTAGATTAGTGGAACCCATGGAATCAGAGAGTAGAATGTCCAATGAAAGAAAATATTTGCAAAACTTCTCTCCAAATTTGTCTCATATCCATCAAACACACATGGTCCATGAGGACTAGATTTCCAGCAGTTCATTCCCACCCTTTCCACCACTCAGTTCTGCATTTGCAAATGTCCACATGTATTTCTAGAAAGATCCACATGGTCCTCACCTGCCCTCTGCAGAAGGAGAGGAAACTTAAAGAACCCAGGACAGGGAACATGCTTCTGCTCCAAAGCCACCAGCTCTTGCCTGTCCCCTTCACTCTTTCTAGATCATTCCTTGCACTCTGCTCTATCTTTAGAGGTCACTGGTTCAAGTAAGTCATCATGAAACACCTGCAAAAAAACTGCCCCACCTGGTGCCTCTAGTGCCTGATGACTGAACTGACCTACAGGCTTGACTCTGGTCTTCCCTGTGTTATTTCTGCTGAAACATCCAGTCCCAGGCCAGGCTGCTCAGTATCTGCAGGGTTTCAGGACAATGGGAAGTCCCATTATTACTCATCTCTAGAATGTCCTTGGAAATGGAAGCTGCAGAGAAATCACATCTAGGGGGGCAAAGTAGGATGTAATTTGGAAGGGGCCCAGCAGTTGCACATTCCAGGTAAGGAACCCAGGGTGAGCCAGCCAGTCAACTGATTATGGAGGGACTGGGAGGGGTACCAGGGGCTGTGACTCCCACTGACGTGTCTGTCCATGACCCAACACTGCTGCTCAATTGACACTTGAGAAAGTCTGTGCTTCCCTAAGACAGAGCAGGAGGCCTCACAGTCTTTGAGCCCTTAGATCATCATACATCTGTCTTGTGACACATGCACCAGCTACTGGCTTTCAAGGACTCATGTGGGTTGACAGGTGGGAGATGCCAACTCTGAATGAAGGATGCCTGTGGAGGAATCAAAGGTGCCACACAGGACAATCTTCTGTTATCCACACAGCGAAGCTGCCCATGCCTTACATCACCATCAACAACTTAAACCCCAGGGAGAAGAAGGATGTGTTAGCCTTCACCTGTGAACCTAAGAGTCGGAACTACACCTACATTTGGTGGCTAAATGGTCAGAGCCTCCCGGTCAGTCCGAGGGTAAAGCGACCCATTGAAAACAGGATACTCATTCTACCCAGTGTCACGAGAAATGAAACAGGACCCTATCAATGTGAAATACGGGACCGATATGGTGGCATCCGCAGTAACCCAGTCACCCTGAATGTCCTCTGTGAGTATCCTTTGTTCCTCTGTGGGCCAGGACACCAGCTTAACTCCAAACGACCAGAGGCCAGGCCTCTCAGTCTCTCTCCGGTCCAAGTATAGACAACTTTACTTCTGGACATCAGACCTGGCCATGACTCCCTGCCCTGGGAAATCCTGGGTAGGCACAGCCTTAACCAAGAATATAAGGGGAGGGGCGCTCTTGTCATGGGACACTAGGGGCCCACAGCTTGTAATGAGAGAAACAGGGGAATACCTCAGGCTTGGGCTTAGTAAACATAGATGGGATTTGGCTGTCACTTGAGGTTGTGTCTTGGTTCAGAGGGTCACTGTGTCCCTTTAAGAGACCAGGAGCATCCCCTTCCCTTGGATGACATCACCTGTGGCTTTATTCTCTTTCCTCCAGATGGTCCAGACCTCCCCAGAATTTACCCTTCATTCACCTATTACCGTTCAGGAGAAAACCTC
Organism: Homo sapiens; assembly: GCF_000001405.40. NCBI lineage: Eukaryota > Metazoa > Chordata > Mammalia > Primates > Hominidae > Homo > Homo sapiens. The sequence continues at coordinate 42,907,114 of NC_000019.10, read as the reverse complement.
GACTTGTCCTGCTTTGCGGACTCTAACCCACCGGCAGAGTATTCTTGGACAATTAATGGGAAGTTTCAGCTATCAGGACAAAAGCTCTTTATCCCCCAAATTACTACAAATCATAGCGGGCTCTATGCTTGCTCTGTTCGTAACTCAGCCACTGGCAAGGAAATCTCCAAATCCATGATAGTCAAAGTCTCTGGTAAGTGGATCCCAGCATCCTTGGCAATAGGGTTTTAGGTGGAGTCTATCTGGCTTTCAGAGAAGAGTCAGGAAAACATTTGTATTCCCAGACTGTGTCCCATGGGCACAAGCAAATCCCAAATTCTCCTCCTGAACCCTCCCAACTTATCTCTACAGACTCTCTTCTGCTTGTTTTTCTGTTTTCTCATGGCTGACCTTGTGTCTGGCCTGAGAAAGGTAGGGAGGGGGCTTTATCAGCCCTGAGCCCTATGTGGTAGAAGAGGCTTCACAGAGGGACAAGAAGGAGAGTCCTCAAGATCAAGTTGCTTCTCGCTGTCACGAACACATCCCCTTCTGCCATGTCTTTGTTTTCTTGTACCTATTCCATGAGCTACAAGGAACATCTGAGGCTTTGAAACAAGCTCACACTTTTCCCCCAAATGAGAGGAGGAAGCCCTTTGGGTGAGGGAGGAGCAGCTCAGACTCTGCTTCCTGCTCTGCTCCGGGCTCCTCTGGTGACTGGCCTGGCCCTGCCTGACTCCACCTGGGGTGGAACCAACATGTGTGGAGAAAGGGCCCTGGTGGCCTGTCCTGAAGTTGGCTAAATCGAGCTGCCAGTTGAAGCCAAGCCTCCCCCGGGCCAGGCTGCAGGGAAATAAGAAGAGAGGGAGCTTCAGGGCTGACTCCTGAGCTGCATCCTGGCTCTGAAGTCACCAGCTGTATGAGGCTTTGGGCACAGCACGTGGGACACAGCACGGAGGACAGTGACTGATGCAGAGCTAGAGAAATAGGGAGATTCACCCCTGGGGCTCTGCATGGCAGGAAAGGGGCAGTGCCAAAAAGTGTGTAATTATAGAGAGGGCAAGACCACGAGACACTTTATATATATCTAATATTAGACTTACCATTAACTAAGTGTGCAATTTAGTGTTGTGTAACTATCACACTATCCATTTCCAGAACTTTTTCCTCTTACCATATTAAACCTCTGTACCCAATAAACAGTAACTCTCACTCCTTCTCCCCCTAACCCTTAACACCCACCATTCTACTTTCTGTCTCTATGTAACTGGCTATTCTAACTATCTTTTATAAATGGAATTATATAATAATTATCCTTTTGTGTCTGGCTTATTTCAGTTGGCATAATATCTTCAAGGTTCATCCATTTTGCACGATGTATTGTAATTTTCTTCCTTGTTAAGGTTGAATAACATTTCAATGTATAGATACATCTCATTTGCCTACCCACTTATCTTTCAATGGACTTTTCAGTTGTTTCCATTTTTGGCTAGTGTGAGTAATGCTTCTCTGTACATCAGTGTACAAATATTTCTTCAAATTTCTTTCAATTCTATAGGGAGTATGTCCAGAAGGGGAATTGCTGGATCAAATGGTAATTTATTGTTTAATTTTTTGAAAAACAGCCACACTACTTTTTACATTGGCTATAACATTTCCCATTCCCATCAGCAATGCACTAGAGCTCCAATTTTTCCATCTACTTGGAAACACCTGTTGTTTAGTGTTGCTGTCATTGTTGTTGTTTATCAAAGCCATCCTAAAGTGTGTGAGGTGTTGTAACATTGTGGTTTTGATTTGCATATCTCTAAGTATTCGTGATGCTGAGGAACTTTGCATGGGCTATATAAAAGGTTTTGATTTTTATGAAGTCTGATTTATCCATTTTATTTGTTGCCTATGCTTTTGTTGTTACAACCAAGAAATCATTGTGAAATCCACTATCATGAAGTTTTTCTTCTAAGAGTTGTATAGTTTTTACTCTTACATTTAGATCTTTGATCTATTGTGGGTTAATTTTTGTACATGGTGTTAGGTAAAGGTTCCACTCTTCTTGCCCTTGGATATCCACCTTTCCCAATATCATTTGGTGAGAACACTGTCCCTTCCCCATTGAACGATCTTGGCACACTCGATGAAAATCATTTGGCCATATATGCAAGCATTTCTTTCTGGGCTATGATATTTCATTAATTTCTATGTCCTCCTTTATGCCAGTACCACACTGTATTGATTACTGGGGCTTTGTAGTAAATGCTGAAATCAGGAAGTGTGAGTCCTCCAGCTTCATTCTTCCTCTTCAAAGCTGTGTGTCTATTTAGAGTCATGAGATGCAATATAAATTTTAGGACAGATTTTTCTTTTTCTGCAAAAATGTCACTGAGATTCTGATAGGAATTGTATTGAATCTGCAGCTCACTTTGGGCAGCACTGTCCTCCTAACAATATTGAGTCTTCCAATTCATGAACACAAAATGTCTTTCAATTTATTGATGTCATCTTTCATTTCTTTCAGCAATACTTTGTAGATTTCAGGTATAATCATTTCACCTCTTTGGTTAAACTTATTCCTAAATATTTTATTCTTTTTGATGTGAATATAAATTGAAATTATTTTTCTTAATTTCCCTTCAGATTGTTCATGGTTAGTGTATTGAAATACAACTGATGTTTGAATGTTGATTTTGTATTGTGCAACATTACTGAATTTATTAATTCTAATAGGTTTGTTCCATCTTTAGGATTTTCTACAAATAAGTTCAAGTTATCTATAAACAGAAATAATTTTACTCCTTCCTTCCAATTTGAATGTCTTTTTAAAAATTCTTCCCTAATTTTTCTGATTAGACCTTTCACTACTATGTTGAATAAAAGTGTCAATAGCAGGCATCCTTGTCTTTTCCTGCTCATACAGGGAAAGTTTTCAGTCTTTCTCTGTTATGTAAGATGTTAGCATTGGGTTTTTCACATATTGCCTTTATGTTGAGGTGGTTGCCTTCCATTCTTAGAATGTTTTTATTATGAAAAAATACTGAATTTCATCAAATGCTTTTATTGATTCAATCTTCTTACTGATTATAGTTATATTCATATTTTTGTGTGTTTCTAGGAGTTTGTCTATTTCATCTAGGTTATCCAATTTATTGGCATACAATTATTTATAGTACTTTCATAATCATTATTTTATTAGAATTGGTAGTAATCGCTTCATTTTTCTTTTTTCTTTTTCTTTTAAGACAGAGAGACAGGCTCTCACTCTGTAGGCCACCCTAGGATGGAATACAGTGGTGTGATTATGGCTCACTGCAGCCTCAACCTCCTGGGCTCAAGCAATTCTCCTTCTTCAGCCTCCCAAGATGCTAGGACTACAGGTGCATGTCAACATGCCCAGCTAATTGGTTTTTTTTTTTTTTGTAGAGACAGCATCTCCCCAGGTTACCTATGCTGGTCCAAACACCTGGTTTCAAGAAATCCTTCTGCTGTGACCTCCCAAAGTGCTAGGATTAAAACATGACCCACCATGCTCAGAGTCCATTTTCATTTATGATTTGAGTAATTTTATCTTTTCTCTTTTTTTCTTAGCCAATCTAGTTAATGGTTGTCAATTTTGTTGATTTTATTTTGAAGAATCAACTTTTGGTTTCAGTAATTTCCTCTATTCTGTTTCCATTCTCCATTTTATTTATATCCACCCTAATACTTATTATTTCCCTCATTCACTGTGCTTGGGTTTAGTTTGTTCTTCTTTCGTATCCTGAAGTATTAAAGTAGGTTGTTGACCTGAGCTCTTTCTTCTTTTTTAATGTAAGAGTTTACAGTTATAAATTTCTTGCACAAGACTCAACTTCTCTGAACCCCTGATTCCTCACCTGAAAATTGCAATAAGAGTACTTTCTTCATACCATTCTTTTAAAGGTTTAATGCAGTCAATGAAACAAGATGCCACACAAAGAGGAACCAATGTCAGCTGCTATATTACTACCATCATCATTAGCCTTGAGGTCAAATAGTCCTAGAATCAAATCTCAGATCCACCTGTCACTAGCCATATGACACCAGGAAAGTTTTTACACCATGCTAAGCTTCTGTCTTTTCATCAGCAAAATGGAAATAATGCCTACCTGACAGGGTTATTGTGTGGATTAAATGAGATACAGGTAAAGTATTGAGCACAGGGCCTGGCACATAGAAAGTGCACCTCAACAGTACCTACCTTTTTCCATAGATATGAAAAAAGCGGTAACACATAAAACACTAGGACATGGTTACTGACTAATTGTGGGAGAGAAAGAAAAAAAGCTAAGTGCAAAGAATCAAGTCTGGTATGTTAGTTTTTACCAACTGAGATGCATCCAAGATGGGATTAGACATACAAGATAATTTATCAGGGAAGACACCTGTGAGGGAATGTGGGGCAGGCATGAAGGTAGTATGGGAGAACCCACAGACCGCTATGCAGAGCTGATTCCTGTGAAAAAGAAAGAGAAAGAAGTTTTAGGTACCAATGCAGTTCTAAGAGTTTTTGCAAGGCTGATGAGGAATCCTCCAACCAGTCACCCATTGGAGTTAAAGAGAGCCTCGGAGAACTAGACTTGCTTTCACACCCTTGCTGGGAGCCTGTGGGAAAGAAGCTTTCTCTGTAAAGGAGGTAGTGAATTTGAAATGCGCTGACCTGGGCCTTCTGTCAATCAGGTCCCTGCCATGGAAACCAGACAGAGTCTCATTAATGGCTGCCACAATAGAGACACTGAGAAAAAGAACAGGTTGATACCTTCATGAAATTCAAGACAAAGAAGAAAAAAACTCAATGTTATTGGACTAAATAATCAAAAGGATAATGTTTTCATAATTTTTTATTGGAAAATGTGCTGATTCTTGGAATGTTTTATTCTCCAGATTTATGAACTTTTTTTCTTCAGCAATTGGTAAAGTATACTTTTGTAAACAAAAATTGAAACATTTGCTTTTGCTCTCTATCTGAGTGCCCCAGAATTGGGAAACTATTCATGAGTATTCATAGGTTTATGGTAATAAAGTTATTTGCACAAGTTCAGTAAGAATCTGCTCTCTTTATAACAGGACACATTTGAAAACATTGGTTATATTACCAAAGCTTTTACTGGGATGTTATATTTGATAATATACCTAGAATAAACCCATAGGGAAAGCAGGCAAAGTCTGAAGTTGGTCTTGGTTTAGTTTCCTAGTCTCAAGAGGTTTTTGGAAGTTTCATCTGAGATTCTTATTAAAAACTTCTAGCAAAGGGACGTTTAAAAAGAGCCTCTATGGTCCACGGCTACTCTTGCCGCACTTAGGTAAAAAATCTGGGCAAGTTCGGTGAGACTCAACCTATTTTGCAAACAAATTCATCCTACTGGAATTATCTTTGGTAAAATTAGAGACTCCTATAGAGAGAAAAACTAGTTGAAAAGAAAAACTGTAGTACACCTGTTACCAGATTGAACCACTACTGTTCATTATCTTTGAGTATTTATAATCCACTGGTAGACTGGACTGGACCCTGAATTCTTTTAGTTCTTCCAATTCAATTTTCTCCAATGAAATCATTAAGAACAAGAGCAGCTCTGTTCCTGAAGCCATATAAGCTGGAGGTGGACAACTCAATGTAAATTTCATGGGAAAACCCTCGTGTCTGAGGTGTGGGCCACTAAAAGCTCACCAAATGTTCAACACCATAACTTAGAGACACTCAAACTGCAAACCACGACAACAAGTTGATGACTTTACACTGTGGACAGCTTTTCTCAAGATGTCAGAACAAGACTATCAATCATGATGAGACTCTTACCTCTCTTAATTTCTCCTTGCTTATGCCTGTCTCCTTTGCTTCCCAGAATAATGCTGTACTTAGGATTTCACAAGAAGTAGCTTCTGAGAGTAAGTTAACAGTGTCAGATATATCATGTCAACCACACTTCATTTATTTTTTAAGATGGAGTTTCACTCTTGTTGCCCATGCTGGAGTGCAATGGGACAATCTTGGCTCAATACAACCTCCGCCCCCTGGGTTCAAGTGATTCTCCTGCCTCAGCCTCCCAAGTAGCTGGGATAACAGGCATGCACCATCATGCCCAGCTAATTTTGTATTTTCAGTAGAGACAGGGTTCCTCCATGTTGGTCAGGCTGGTCTCGAACTCCCGACATCAGGTGATCCACACGCCTCAGCCTCCCAAAGTACTGGGATTACAGGCATGAGCCACCGCACCCAGCCAACACATTTTTACATAACAAGACATCCTTTAAAGCTCCTGATTATTGTAAGTACAAAATTGCATGAAGGATTGTGTAAAGAAAAATGCCAGGTTGGACTGCCAGAATGAGCCAACAGCACGTGATGTGCTTCCCCCTGCAGAGAGCCTATGAATGGATGGGCAGTCAGGGAGGTTTCACATTACCAAGATTCCTATCCCAGAAAAGCAGATGTCTGTAGCTCTGGGAAAGGAATGTGACCCTTATGGAGAGCCTATAAATGACCCTAAATCCCTCACTAAACTACCCCCACTCTCACTAAACTTAATAATAAATGCTGGTGTATCCAGTGCATTGGCAGCATCGCAGGACCAGAAGGCGGTGACACCCCTGGACACAGCTTTCCCTATCTTGTGTGTGTCCTTTATTTCTCAACTTGCCGATCTGCCTGGGAACAAAGAAAGAGCCCTGTTGCATTGCAGGTTGCTGGCCAGATCCCACAATATAGTCCCAGCTACTTGGGATGCTGAGGCATCTGTAGAGGGAGAGCTGCCCCAAATCATAAATCACAAATAAAAACCAATTACATCTATAACTAAATCAGTTGTAATTTTGTCTTATCACACATGTTCACAGCAAGCAATGGCCAGTGGAGTCTCTCAGACTGCATCATTCTCACCCTGACCCTCCTGCCTTGCTCTTTCACTTACAAGGACCCCTATGATGACACTGGGAGCCATCCAGATAAGCCAGAATAAGCTTTCCATCTCAAGATACTCAACCTCATCACCTTTGAACAGTGTTTTTGCCAAGAAAAGTAAATGCATGTGTTCCAAGAGTTAGGATGTGGATTTTTTTTTTTTTTGAGACAGTTTCACTCATGTTGCCCCGGCTGGAGTGCAGTGGGACAATCTAGGCTCACTGCAATCTCCGCCTCCCAGGTTCATATGATTCTCCTGCCTCAGCCTCCCAAGTAGCTGGCATTAAAGTTGCCCGCCACCACGCCCAGCTAATTTTTGCATTTTTAGTAGAAACGGGGTTTCACCTCGTTGGCCAGGCTGGTCTTGAACTCCTGACCTCGTGATCCACCCGTATCAGCCTCCCAAAGTGGTGGGATGACAGGCGTGAGCCCCTGCACCCGGCCCGGATGTGGACATTTTTAAGAGGCCATTATTCTGCCTCATACGGGTCACTTTCATAAACATCACCCACAACAAAAATGTTTTGCCTTCCTTCCATGTCTCACTTTTCTGTCTGCACAAACCACAGTGAAACACACTAGCTCTGCTATGAAGTGGCTGGATGACCCTGGGCCACTCATTTGACTTCCCTCAGCCTCTTTCCTCATCTGCAGTGTAAGGCTGACTCTTACTGCATCAGAAAATGACAGTGGAAGAGTAAATTAACATGTGTAAGACATTAGTCACAGAGCCTGGTACCTGATGAGCCCTTGGTAAACATTCCTTTCAGTCCTTTCCTTTCACCTTCCCATTTTTCTTGCCCTCACCCATCTTCTCCTTCAACTCCTTTCTCTTCAGTAACTTACTCAGTCTAACCTGACAATTAAAGAAGCCACACTAACCATTCTCTCATGACTCTGCTGGAATGTTCTTGTGATGCGGTCTGCTATCCACTCAAGGCAGGAGGTATTATTTATATAGAGAGGTCTGTTTGCAACAAGAAATCCTTTTTCTGTTCACAAAAATTTATACACAATTTCTCTTAACTTACATGTAGCAGTCTCAATTCTACCCTGTTATTTCATTCATGTACTTCATTATTTTATTCTTCAGTCTTTCTGCTTACACCTTAAAAATTAGGATAGCACAAAAACAAAAATAATGGCCTGGGCCAGAAGAGGGGATTCCTTTAGCAAGATGAATGCTTTCCTTTTTCAAGATGAATGAATGCTATGTGCAAGGCAGCCCTGAAGCCCATTTCTGGGTTTGGCTTACATCAAAGCCATTTGACTCTAGAACACATTCTTAGATTCCCAGGAGATAATGATTGTCACGGAAGACACACCCACTCTGAGTATTCCTACTGTTGGGTAAAGGAATGTTTGCAGAATGTTGTGCATTCTGTTTACTCCTCCTAAATTCTTCCACTCCTGGAAGTTAAGCTTCCCTACTAATCAGCTTCATCTCCAGCTGGCCTGCCTGGACCCTGACCAGAAAATATCTCCCCACTCTGGATGGCCAGGGTGATACCTTTGTATATTCCCATAATTATAATAGCTCACACTGATGCAGCACTCACTATGCACCAGGCACTATCCTAAGAGCTTTTCAGGTAACTATAGTGCTCACCAAAAAATCCCAAGAGCCACAATCCCCATTTTTACAGATTAAAAAAAAAAACTGAGGCAGAGAATTATATACCCACTGTCACTTAAATCCATAATTCAACCTCAACCTCCAATTCTTCTGGTAAGAGGACACGCTAAGATGTACAAGGTCTCCTGAATGACATCCTCCTTCAAAAATGATTTTTGTCCCATTTACTTTCAGGATTTGACAAACAGCCAGCATTTTGTTTTCTGTCTCACCCTTCACTTATGCATCTGTTCCCTAAAACTACACTCACAACTGCACAGCCCTGCATAAAAGCTAGCTTTTAGAAACCCCAATCTCTTTTGGAAAAAAGAAAGGCCAGCTTCCAAGTCTCAGAAAACATCATTTTTTATTCTATTGTCAACTATTTACACGGCCATTCTCTGGCCATAAACGAGTGCACTAGAAACAGAAAGAGTAATGAGAAGAAAGTAGGAGGGGGGTGAGTTTCTAGATAGACACACAGGGAAAAGATTATGAATCCAGAAAAATTCATAAAATGCACCCAGGGTGTGTGGCTTTGAGCAATGACAGCCCCACCTGCCACTTTCCATGTTCACTTCTTACTTCCTTCTCAACCTGCCCCTCCTGGTCTTGCTTTCTTAGACCAATACAAACAACCTGGGAGCTGGGGTCAGATCAGAGCACACAGCACTGAGTGGTAGGGTTGGGAAAGACAGAAAGGAAGACGAGTGTTTGACTCATGAAGACCTGACTCACCTTACACATCACCTAGGCAGGCAACAGATTACTGAAGGGCTTTGCAGGACTCATGGTGGTTATCCAGAATGACTGACTGAGGCAAGGGTCTTGATAAATTGAGATTTATTGAGCCAGAACTTGAAAGTACACCCTGGGAATACATGAGTTGCAAAAAAACCTCTGTGGCTTGTGTTTTCTCTGAAGAGGTTTCAGGAGGCTTAGTATTTATACATTTGATTAAAGGGATAAGGCATGTCGGAAGAGATGGTGTGGGCAGAAAAACAATTCATCTAATCTTGTCTTTCTTCTTTGCCTCAGAAAATAAATATTATCAGAATGAGAGTTAAAATACTTCAGTTTTAGGAGCTAGATTTTGACTGCTCACTTAAAGTTACAATTGGCATGTCTTTCTTTTACAAAGAAATATACATCTTGAAAGGTTTTGAAGCCAAGAAAAAACAATTTGTTCAGGGAATCATCTGGAGATGCCCGAGATCTTTGGCTTTCCTGCTTACCCCATTCTTTTCCTTTCCTTTTTTTTTTTCTTTTAGAGACACAACCTTGCTCTGTCACCAAGACTGGAGTGTACTCACTACAGCCTTGAACTCCTGGGCTGAAGTGGTCCTCCCGCCTTAGCCTCCCAAGTATCTGAGACTGTAGGCATGCATCACTGCACCTGGCTAATTTGATTTATTTTATGTTTGGTAGAGACATGGTCTCCCTTTGTTGCTCAGGCTGGTCTTAAACTCCTGGTTTCAAGTGATCCTCCTGCCTTGGACTCTCAAACTGCTGGGATTACAGGTCTGTGTCAGCACACCTGGTCCCTCGATTCTTCAAAAGCTTTCAGAGAAAGCATTGTAGAAGACATGACTTTGTGACTGTATGTTTCATCTGATCCTACATCACTAGGAAGGCTCATTCTTAAGAAGTCATGCCCCGTGGAAAAGGGGATGAAGACAAATCAGAAAAAGGCAAAGGGAAGTCACAGCAACAAAGGGACAGTATAATCCTGGAACTTTATTAAAGTCACACAACTGCTGCTTCAATTAGAGCAATTCGTTTGGCAAACATCACTCTAACCCTATAGACTAGGTTTTCTAGAGTTTCTGAAGCATCTTCTAATTGCAATGGCAATCTGACACATTTTTCTGAATTGCAGTCTGAATCCAGCGTTCATGTGTACCTTTTGTATAGTACACATCAGCAGGCACAAAGGTTGTTTATATATAAGTTGCTATGATTTCTCCAGAAGTTTACATAAGTCATCGAGTTTCAGCTTGCAAGGTTTAACCTATCCATCTGACAAAAGGCTAATATCCAAAATCTACAAGAAACTTAAACAAATTTACAAGAAAAAAAAAAGCCCATCAAAAAGTGGGAGAAGCACATGAACAGACACTTCTCAAAATAGGACATTTTTGTGACCAACAAACATACAAAAAAAAGCTCATCATCACTGGTCATTAGAGAAATGCAAATCAAAACCACAATGAGATACTGTCTCATGCTAGTTAGAATGGTGACCATTAAAAGGTCAGGAAACAACAGATGCTGGAGAGGATGTGGAGAAATAGGAACGCTTTTACACTGTTGGTAGGAATGTAAATTAGTTCAACCATTGTGAAAGACAGTGTGGCGATTCCTCAAGGATGTAGAACAAGAAATATCATTTGACCCAGTGATCCCATTACTGGGTATATACCCAAAGATTATAGATCATTCTACTGTAAAGACACATGCACACATATGTTTATTGCAGCACTATTCACAATAGCAAAGACTTGGAACCAACCCAAATGCCTATCAATGATAGACTGGATAAAGAAAATATGGTACATATACACCATGGAATTCAATGCAGCCATAAAAAAGGATGAGTTCATGTCCTTTGCAGGGACATGGATGAAACTGGAAATGACCATTCTCAGCAAACTAACACAGGAACAGAAAACCAAACACTGCATGTTCTTACTTATAAGTGGGAGTTGAACAATGAGAACACATGGACACAGGGAGGGGAACATCACACACTGGGGCCTGTTGAGGGGTGGGGGACTAGGGGAGGGATAGCATTAGGAGAAATACCTAAGGTAGATGATGGGTTAATGGGTGCAGCAAAACACCATGACACATGTATACCTATGTAACAAACCTGCAGGTTCTGTGCATGTATCCCAGAACTTAAAAGCGTAATAAAAAAATGATAAAAATTTAAAAAGCACAGTTTTAATTTATAATATACCAAAATGGAAGAAAATTCTGAAACCATTAGTTTTGAAATTTGTAGCCAGGAAAAAATTTAGGATTCAGCCCAAATTGTAGGTAAATAACAAAATTCAAAAAAAAAAATGAACAGATCTAAAATTTAATAACTGTTGTTCTGTTGTTTTTTTCTAAAAATAATTTTCCCCCTCCTGTCTCCCATTTTTATGAAATAGAAATCATATGGGACAAATGTATTTCCAAAATAACTTTTAGTCTTCTACCTGGATTGTTTACATGAAGTGCAGCAAGAATGTAGATTCAAGGCCTCTATGAATACATATATTTTATATATATGTATAAATATAAGAATATGTATATTCTATCATGTAGAATGGCACTAAAGTATATTAATGGCAGCAAATCTGTACAAGTCTGCAGCAGCCTCAATTCTTGCTTCTTCAGAAGAAAGAATTAAACTAAGTGTCATAAGGCAGAAGAAGAGACTTAGGCAAATTTTAGAGCAAGAGTGAAAGTTCATTTAAAAGCTTTAGAGCAGAAATTAAAGAAAGTAAAGTACACTGAAAACAGGGCCAAACAGGTGATGAGATTTCAAGTGTGCAGTTTGACCTTTGACTTAGGCATTTGTATGTTGGCATAATTCTGGGGTCTGCATCTCTTCTCCCCTGATTCTTCCCTTAAAGTGGGCTGTCTGTATATGCAGTGGCTCACCAGCACTTAAGAAGGGAGCCTGTGTAGTGTGTTTCCTGGAGTACAGTTGGAAAACAGAGACCAAAATAAAAGCTATGTATGGAAATAAAATTGGTCTCCTTATAAAATCCTGTTATAAATTTCTATCATTTTTGTGTTACCTTGGCATCTACTTTTAATCTTCCTTGAACACACCCAAATTCTTCTGTGTGTGTGTGTGTGTGTGTGTGTGTGTGTGTGTGTGTGTGCTTTGAGATGTAAATTTACTACCTACTCTCTCTAAAACTCAGCAAGGGCTTCCTCAGATAAATGTTAATTTTTATATTTACAATAGCACAATTTAAATCCAGTTTTTTTTTTTTAACAGGGAGTTTTATAGGTTCATGCATAAAGTTTTAAAATCAAAAATCTGAAGTATTTCTGTCGCACTCTATCTTTATGTGCACATGTATATGTTCTATGCTGTATCGCCTATCACATATGTATATGTCCATACCTATGTTTATATATTGTTTATACATGGTATCAAAATTAATGTAAAAATAAATGAGTACTCATCAATTAAGTAAACAGTCCCAAATGCTTTTCAACACATGTGATTTTAATAATCTTCAATAAGGGAAGAACACCTCCAATGAGCATGCATACCCATCTGCAGCCTCCTTAAAAAAATTTATCAGGCCGGCCGCGGTGGCTCACGCCCGTAGTCCCAGCACTTTGGGAGGCCGACGCGGGCAGATCACAAGGTCAGGAGATCGAGACCATCCTGGCTAACATGGTGAAACCCCGTCTCTACTAAAAATACAAAAAAAATTAGCCAGGCCTGGTGGCAGGCGCCTGTAATCCCAGCTACTCAGGAGGCTGAGGCAGGAGAATGGCGTGAATCCAGGAGGCGGAGGTTGCAGTGAGCCGAGATCACACCACTGCACTCCAGCCTGGGCAACAGGGAAAGACTCCATCTCAGAAAAAGAAAAAAAAAATTATCAGCCAAGAATTTTGTATCCAGCAAAACTAAAGTTCATAAATAAAGGAAAGATAACAGTCTTTTTCAGACAAACAAATGCTCAGAGAATTTGCCACTACCAAGCCAGCACTACAATAACTGCTAAAAGGAGCTCCAAATCTTGAAACAAATCCTGGAAACACATCAGAACAGAACCTCTTTGAGCGTGAATCTCACAGGACCTATAAAACAAAAATACAATAAATAAATGAATAAAACCAAGGTATTCAGGCAACAAATAGCAGGATGAATGGAACAGTACCTCAAATCTCAATACTAACATTGAATATAAGTGGTCTAAATGCTCCACTTAAAAGATACAGAATTGCAGAATTGATAATAATTCACCAAGCAAGTATCTGCTGCCCTCAAGAGACTCCCCTAACCATAAAGTGTCACATAAACTTAAGGTAAAAGGGTAGAAAAAGACGCCCCATGCAAATGGCCACAAAAGTGAGCAGGAGTAACTATTCTTATAACAAAAAAACTAACTTTAAAGCAACAGCACTTAAAAAAGACAAAGAGGAACATTATATAATAATAAAAGGACTTGTCCAACAGGAAAATATCACAGTCCTAAATAAACATGCACCTAACACTGGAGCTCCCAAATTTATATAGCCATTACTACTAGACCTAAGAAATGAGATAGACAGTAACACAATAATTGTGAGGGACTTCATTACTCCACTGACAGCACTAGACGGGTCATCAAGACAGAAAGTCAAGGAAGAAACAATGGATTTAAACTATGCCCTAGAGCAAATAGACTTAAGAGATATTTACAGAATATTCTACCCAACAACCACAAAATATACATTCTATTCATCAGCACATGGAACTTTCTTCAAGATAGGCCATATGATAGGCCACAAAACAAGTCTCAATAAATTTAAGAAAATTGAAATTATATGAAGTACTCTCTCAGACAATGGTAGAATAAACTGGAAATCAACTCCAAAAGGAACTTTCAAAACCATGCAAACACATGGAAATTAAATAACTTGCTCCTGAATGATCATTGGGTCAAATATGAAATCAAGATGGAAATTTAAAAATTCTTCAAACTGAACAATAGTGACGCACCCTATCAAAACATCTGGAATACAGCAAAGAGTGTGCTAAAAGTTTATAGCCTTAAATGCCTACATCAAAAAGACTGAAAGAGCACAAATAGACAATCTAAGGTTACACTTCTAGAAACTCAAGAAACAAGAACACACCAAACCCAAATCCAGCAGAAGAAAGAAAATAACCAACATCAGAGTAGAACTAAATGAAATTGAAACAAAATAATACAAAATATAAATAAAATGTAAAGCTGATTTTTGGGAAAAATAAATAAAATTGATAGACCATTGGCAAGATTAACCAAGAAAAAAAGAGGGAAGAGCCAAATAAGATCAATTGGAAATGAAATGGGAGCCATTACAACCAACATTGCATCACTGCACTTCAGCCTGGATGACAGAGCAAGACCCCTCTCAAAAAAGACAAAGAAAGAAAGAAATAGACAAAGCCCAATGCTGGCAGTGCTGTGGAACTAACATCTTAGGATTGATGGAGAGAGTGGACTTAGCACTTGTGGAAAGAGCCATATTTCCTGGGGGCCACGAGTCCACATATGCCCTGTGAAGACTTACCAGGGAGTGTTGGGCTGCTACCCACATTTCATCTATTTGTCAGGCAAAAATGCCTTAAAGATCATACCACTTGATTTTCCTTTAAATAAAAATAATGTGGGAATGGAATGGAATTGCCGAGTAGTATAGTGGGTGTATGCTGAAATTTTTAGAAGCTGCCAGACTGCTTTCATAGTGGTTGTACCATCTTACATTCCCACCAGTAGCGTGAGCATTCCAGTGCCTCCACATCCTTGCCAACACTTGTCATGGTCACTCTTTTTAATCTTAGCCATTCTAATAGTTCTGTAGTGGTATCTTATTGTGGTTTTATTCTGCATGTTTTTCTTGAGACAGAGCCTCATTACATTGCCCAGGCTAGAGTACAGTGGGCCCATCAGAGCTCACTTTCTCTTCAGGAAAGTCTTCCCTGATCTTTCAGTCTAGGTCGGAAGCCCAGTAATATACAGTCATGAGGCCCCATATTTATTCTTTTTGTGTTTTTTTTGAGATGGACTTTTTTTTTTTGCACTCCAGACTGGAGTACAATGGCACAATCTTGGCTCACTGCAGCTCCACCTCCAGGGTTCATGCTATCCTTGTGCCTCAGCCTCCCAAATAGCTGGGATTACAGGCATGAGCCACCATACCCACTAATTTTTTAATTTTTGGTAGAGACAGCGTATTAGCATGTTGCCCAAGCTGCTCTCGAAATCCTGACTTCATCGGCTTCCCAAAGTGCTGAGATTACAGGCATGAGCCACCATGCCTGGCTCAAGGTTGACTTTTTTTTTTTTTTTTTTTTTTGAGCTGATGTCTCACTCTTGTTCCCCAAGCTAGAGTGCAATGGCACAATCTCAGCTCACTGCAACTTCTGCCTCCCGGGTTCAAGCGATTCTCCTGCCTCAGCCTCCCAAGTAGCTGGGATTACAGGCACATGCCACCACGCCCAGCTAATTTTTGTATTTTTAGTAGAGACGAGGTTTCACCATGTTGGCCAGGCTGGTCTCGAACTCCTGACCTCAGGTGATCCACCGGCCTTGGCCTCCCAAAATGCTGGGATTACAGGCTTGAGCCACCATGCCTAGCCAAGTTTGACTCTTAAGACTAGAACCTTGCTACTCCAGAGTTGGTCTGAGGACTGAAATATATCACCTCTTACCCATCAGGAAATAGCATCACTTCTCTGAGCTTCAGTGTCCTCATTTAAAAATGGTAAAAATTCCTGCCCTGCAGGTAGGCAAGAAAGTTCAGAAGTGGTGTGACTAAAGTACTTCTTACCTAGCCAGGTAGTCTTGAGTTTGAAGGCCTGTCTTGTCATTCAGGGGCTGTGGAATGGTCTCACTGTTGGAACAGGGAGTGGCATTTGATGCTTGGTGTCATCCTAACCCCCACAGTCACTATAGTAGTTTGCTAGGGCTGCCATGACAAAATACTGCAGAGGAGTAGATAAGCAACAGGAGTTTATTGTATCACAGTTCTAGAAGCTAGAAGTCCATGAACTTTCCTCCTCTGTAAGAGGTCACAGCGTTTCCCATGAGCTCATATATATGGCGAAGGGAGAAACAGAAGGAGCAGGTGCCATGGGAGTCTGAGTCACCCATTGGGTCACTGGTGCCCTGAGACCTGCTTGAGCCTGACCCCATACACAGCTCTCCCTGGGATGCTGGAGGCTGCTGTGCACGCCCCAGGTAACTCAGATGTCACCACCACATGATGTGTCATTCAGGTCCCAAAGCCCTTGGTGTCCTATGGTCAGGTATTCGAATTCCACTAAGCCCAGGGATAAGCCAAGAGCTGCTTGCTGAATGAAGAGTTACCCGCAGGAGGAGGCGTGGTCTTTCTCTAGAATCTCCAGTTCTGCACGGTGAATCTTTTGGAGCTTGTGAAAGCCTGCATAAAATAATACACTGCATTTGGAACATAGATGCTCTTCGTTCGTTAATTTCTTTTTTTTTTTTTTTTGGTTGAGATGGAGATTCCCTCTGTCGTCCAGGATGGAGTGCAGTGGCGCCGTCTTGGCTCACTGCAACCTCCGCCTCCTGGGTTCAAGCGATTCTCCTGCCTCACCCTCCCAAGTAGCTGGGATTACAGGCGCCTGTCACCATGCCTGGGTAATTTTTGTATTTTTAGTAGAGATGGGGTTTCACCATATTGCCCAGGCTGGTCTCAAACTCCTAATCTAAAGTGATCCGCCTGTCTCAATCTCCCAAAGTGCTGGGATTAGACGTGAGCCACCTTGCCCGGCCCATTTTAACCACTTTTAACTGTACATCCAGTGGCAGGAAGTACATTTACGTTGTTGTTCAACCACCACCACTGTCCATCCCCACCCAGAACTTTTTCATATTCCCCAACTGGAATTCTTTACCAATTAAACAACAACTCCTCTTTCCCCCTCCCTCCAGCCGCTGACAACCACCTTTTCATTTTCTGTCTATGCATTTCATGACGTCAGGCACTTCTGTTAAGTGGAATCATGCAATGTTTGTCTTTTTGAGTCTGATTATTTCACTTAGCAGAAAGAACTCAAGGCTTATTCATGTTGAAGCACGCATCAGAACCACCCTTCTTGTTATGGTTTAATCCCATTCATTTGTACGTATAGACCACATTCTGTTTATTCATTCATGGATGGATGGACACTGGGCTTATTTCCAACATCTAGCTATTGTGAATAATGCTGCTATGAACAAAGACATGCAAATATCTGCTGGGGCCCCTGCTTTCCGTTCTTTTTGGAATACACCAGAAGCCGAATTGCTGCATCTTGTGGTAAGTCTATGATTAATTTTTTGAGAAACGATGACAGTGGGTGCGCCATATTTCATACCCACAAACACTACACAAGCATTCCAATTCCTACCTGCCAACACTTGTTCTTTTCTGTTTTTCTTTTTTTTAAGAACAATCATCATAATGGATGTAAGATGGTATCTCACTGTAGCCGTGATTTTTATTTTCCAAATGATTAGTGATGTTGAGCATCTTTTCATGTGCTTATTGGCCATTGGTAAATTAATTTTACATTTCCTCCTATGTAATGTAAGAGGTAGCACACCGTGCATTGTTCTGCTTCTTGTTTTTCTCACTGTGCGGTATATCTTGGAAACCTTTCCCAGTACACAGAAGAAAGATACCTCATTCTTTGCCACAGCTGCCCAGTATCCATGATGTGGATCATGGCTCATGACCCAGTTCCCTATGGATAAACGTCAGGGTCGTTCCCGATCTGTGGCCATCACCAACACTGCCGTGACTAGTCTAGAATGGGTGCCATTTCATGCATTTGCAATTCCCAGAAGTACACTGGTTAGTCAGCAGGTGAGTGCATTGGTGAGAGGATGTGACTCCAGTCTCAGGAAATATGGAAACCTTCTTCCCTTTCTAGCTGCAGCACCCCCAGTCTGGACAGCATATGGAAAGCACACATGATCATTTGAAAATCACAAAATAACTCTAAATTTCTGCACAAGTAGGTCATCTACCACTTGTCATTCTAATCCCACACTAGGCACTTTAAGAACATGCACCCATGGGCTTTTGCTACACTCTTTTCTTATGTTGGTACCCACCTTGTGGTGACTGAGGATACTCTTAATATCCCCAAGTCTGAGGAAACTGAGGCACAATTCGATTATCCACTTATGAAGTGGTGAAGCTGTGGATTAAACTTATAAGACATATCCACTTCACACTCCAGAAAACTTCATCATTCCCAACATTATTGTCTTCCACCATTGGGAAAGAAATACTTTTCTTGGTAATTAGAGGAGAAAAGGTGTTTGGTGTTTCATTGTCACTTTCCTGGTGTAGACCAGATACTTGCGGGTCTTTCCTAGGGCCAGCGAGTCCTAACATGTTTGAACATCTACCCATGCTATTTAAGGCAGCACACCAAACACATTCCTGCTTCAACTGCAGTGCCTGTTTCATCAAGAAGAGTATTTTCCTTAAATAAGTTTCAGGTGCCTATTACTTGGGGAAATACTAAGCCTTTGGTATGCTTCTGCTCATCTAGGCATGAGACAGCTCCCTCATTACTTTGGTCTTCAGTTTTCTGAATCTGCTTCTGGAAAACTCTGCAAAATGTCATTGTTGAGAACTGCTGCTTTGCAAATACTTTTCATGCCTATGTGATGTGCTGTTATTCTCTCTCATTTCCTTGCTAACATACAGTCATGTTTATGAAACAAGTTATGAGCCAGTTAAGGCTGGAGCTGAGTCAGCTAGATTTGCATGCATTTTCAGCTCCAGGGCAGTTTCCTAAAAGTCATCACATGTCTAGTCTCAAAGTTCTTATAGAATACCATCTGATTATTATTAAGTAGATTCTTTAAGGCCTCTCAAGGATAAAGCTGTGAGGTGTTATATCCATTCCTTTCCTCCCTCACACTGTTTTTGACTTTTAATTCTTCCCTTTATCCACTTTAATTTCTAGTCTCCCACTGCTAATTCTCCATATGACCCATCCCCACCACCGCCACCGTCAACAGCCACCAGTGAGAATTCTTACTACCTGAACTTCACTGTGACAAAAAATCAGCCTTGGACCTGTGGGCTAAATTGTTCCAAGATTCCTGATGGAGTTCTCAGATTCAGGCAAAGCTAGGTCTCCTGATACCCTGTCTTAGTCAGTTTTGTGTTGCTAAAAAGGAATACCTGAGTGAAGCTGGATAATTTATAAAGAAAAGAGGTTTATTTGGCTCACAGTTCTACAGGCTATACAAGAAGCATTGCACCAGCATCTGCTTCTGGTGAGGCCTCAGGGAGCTTCCACTCATGGTGGAATGGGAAGGGGAGCTGCTGTGTGCACAGATGACATGGTGAGAGAAGAAGCAAGAGAAAGAGGAGAGGAAGGTGCCAGGCTCTTTCTAACAATCAGCTCTTGCAGGATTGAGTAGAAAACCCACTCATTACCATGAGGGCAGCACCAAGCCATTCATGAGGGATCCGCCCCCATGACCCAAACACCCCCATGTAGATCCCCATCTCCAACATTGGGGATCAAATTTCAATGTGGGGTTTGCATTTTCCTGCAAACTCATGTGCTGTGCACTCCCTCATGTCATCTATGAATGATCATCTGCCCCAGGACTTCCTTGAAGCAATAGCTCAAATCATATTCTAAGAGTTCTGGGGGTAAAAAGGCAAAAAAACTAACTCTACTGACTCCCTTGTTTGTCTCCCAGTGTTTATGGAGGGTGACCGGTGTTCACAGCCCTCTGCTAGGCATCGCAGATACAGAGGTCAAGGAGATAGACATAGCCCTGCCCCCGTGGAACTTGTAATATAGTTGGGGAGACATATGAAACCATTGCGCACGTAAAGGTCTGATTGCCAATTATTACACAGGCTAGCAAGGGAAAGAACAGAGTCAATGACAGAACGGCTCTGGGCACCTAACTTAATTCAGGTCTTATAAGGCCAAGGAGTGGGCCTCACTACAGAAATGGCGTGGAAGGTGAAATCAGGAAGGAGTAGAAGTCCAGTTTCTGAAAAGTTGGAACACAGATTCATCATACAACCCAGCAATTCTACTCTTTGATGTCTACCCCCCAAAAAATGAAAACATATGTCCACCCAGAAACTTGTACATGCATGTTCACAGCAGCTCTATTGATAATAAAAGGAGGAAATGACAAGAAACTACCAAAAGAGAACAATGTGAAGGGCTGGGTGGAAGTTGGTTCTTCAATGAAATCTCACAAATTCCAGTGTTTCTAGTACTTCTTACCAACACTTACATGTATTCACCCTAATTAGCTCATGTGAAAAAGATCTTCCTGTATTACTAACAAGTGTAATTTGGAGAGTAGATAGATCTCAGGTGAGGACTTCGGAACATGCCAAATGAATTAATGGAATCAGTCCACTTTCTAACTTAACATCACTGGCTTACTTAACAATACGTGACGTTGGTGAGAAGAACCTGCAGAGGACACAGGAAGTAGAAGAGGAGCTCACATCTGTCCATGATTTCTATTGCATTTCAGTTTATGTGGTCATTGGAGACTCAGTTTGTGAAGGTAAGCCAATCCTTGCTTTGAGGAAAATATACATATTCAGGGGAAGATGGGTCTTACTAGATGAAAAGATAATAAATGAAAAGAGGGAGAAGGGAATGCATGGTGGCCCCAAGAAGCCAGAGAAGACAATTACATGAACATGGACATCAACCACCAAATGTTGTATAGGTCAAAAAAGAAAAGCAAAGGACTGGAGACCAAGCAGAAGGGCTCACACCCCTACCAGCTACTCAGGAAGATGAGGCCAGAGGATCTTTAGAGCTCAACAGTTTGAGACCAACCTGGGCAACAGAGTGAGACCCCTGTCTCAAAAAAAAAAGAG
Source organism: Homo sapiens (assembly GCF_000001405.40). Lineage (NCBI taxonomy): Eukaryota > Metazoa > Chordata > Mammalia > Primates > Hominidae > Homo > Homo sapiens. The sequence goes on along the minus strand of NC_000019.10, from coordinate 42,886,004 downwards.
AGAGAGAGAGAGACTGGGAAGTAGAAGCTGAGATGATATGAGGGTCACCTGTGGCTTGGACAGGATTAATGCAGGGACCATTGGAGATCAGAGACAAGCTGGAGAAGGTTGCACTGAAGAAGCAGAGATCATGAATGCAGAAAGCTTGAGAAGTTTTTCCAATCAGGAAAGCCAAGACATGGGGCTGTCACTACAGGGCAAAACGGAGCCTGCAGGGAGTCATGCAAAAGTATTTGTCTCTTTTGAAGTTTGGTGTGACATGAGGGATTCAAAGAGAGTTAACAGAGGAGGGGAAGCTTTTAAACTCCAGATGATGAAAGAGCTCAGAAAGGACTCAACTTTTGTCCAAAGGGGATGAGATGGACAGAGTTTAAATTTCTCTTTCAAAAAATGATGCCTTCGAGGGAACAATAAGAGGAAAGCAGGCTAAGAGGTCAGCCAGGTGGATGAAAACCATGTTGTTTTCACTTAAATATGTGTAGTCCTGCAAGTGTAACACAGCCAGATAATTCCAGAGCTCCTGGGTCACCGTTCCCTCTATCTTCTCAGACCCCACTCAGCAGAAGAGATGTTTGTTTATGGCTCCACCCAGGAAGCAACTGCAAGCTCCTATGACTTCAGCATCTGAAAAGTACTTCAGATCCAAACTCTCGCTTCCTGAACCTGAACGGAGCTCATCCCCACTCCCCTGTCACTCTGCATAAGATTCCAGGGTGACATTGTCAGATGTGGTCATTAATCTCCTTTTAAAAGTGCAAATCCCCTCAGAACGTGACTCTGCTCATCACCTGTTTAATCAGATCGCTTCCTTCTCATTTGTAGCTCAGAAGTGGTTGGAAGAGGGAAGCAGGGAAGAGTGAGAAGTGACCAGAAGACAAGAGTGCGAGCCTTCTGTTATGCCCACAGAAGGCCACTAGAGGGCTCCTTGGTCTAGCGATAATGCCAGCATCTGGAAAGATGCCCATTGCCAAGCGGACCATGGTCTAGTGGTAGCCTCAGTGTCAAGGAAAAACACTCGCTACTTAGCAGACCGGGAAAGGGAGTCTCCCTTTCCCCAGGGGAGTTTAGAGAAGACTCTACTCCTCCACCTCTTGTGGAGGGCCTGACATTAGTCAGGTCCACCCGCAGTTATCCAGAGGCCTGACCATCTCCCTGTGAGGCTGTGCTTCAGTGGTCACGCTCCTAGTCCGCCTTCATGTTCCATGCTGTACACCTGGCTCTGCTGTTTAGTTAGCAATAGCAAATTAGTGAAAGTACTAAAAGTCTCTAATAAGCAGAAATAATGCTGTAAGCTCTCTCTCTCTTTCTCCTCCCTCTCTCTGCCTCAGCTGCCAGGCAGGGAAGGGCCCCCTGTGCAGTGGACACGTGACCCACGTGACCTTACCTATCACTGGAGATGGCTCACACTAATTATCCTGCCCTTTTGTCTTGTATCCAATAAATATCAGCACAGCCTGGCATTAAGGGCCACTATCTGTCTCCATGACTTGGTGGTAGTGGTCCCCCGGGCCCAGCTGTCTTTTCTTTTATCTCTCTGTCTTGCGTCTTTATTTCTACAATCTCACGTCTCTGCACACGGGGAGAAAAACCCACCGACCCTGCGGGCTGCTCCCTATGCCCACTTTACAGAGACATAAAGAAGTTGAGATGTATACAACTCCCCCAACAACACTGTATCACAAAACAACATCATCTCTGCCCCTCATCGTGGAATTCACTGTCTCTCACCACGTGGGCAAGTGCTTCCAGGGTCCAAAATTCTTCCACAAGAGGCAATGCACACTTTAACATAGCACTTCAGCAAATAAAGTGGTGACAGTTTACCTACTTAGATAAAGTTTCTTAAAAGCTTCTCCCAAATTTCCCCCTGAAGAAGACAGAAACGGCTTTCCCAATTGTGAAACTTTGTCCTCCCCATCTTTCAAAAAAGTACCCCTGAATAGTGAAAACAATCCTGCCAAAAGAAATTGTAAGACTTGAACTTTCTTATTTGCAATCTCACAAAGGAGTACAATTATTAAAACAAGCTGCTGGCAAAAGACTGGACATAATGAAAAATGGGATAGAATTGAGAGTCTAGAAATAAACCCTCACATTTATGGTCAATTACTCTTTGAAGAGGGTGTCAAGAAAATTTAATGGAGGAACAATTCTCCTTTCTAATGATAATGCAGAAACAACTAGATAACCACATGCAAAACAGTGAATTTAGATAACTCTACCTCCCACCATATCAAACAATTCTCTGAAAAATTCATCAGTGAGTTAAATATCAGACCTATAAAACATCTTAAAATAGACATAGAGGTAAATATTGATGAACTCAAATGTGCAATGGATTCTTAGATATGATACAAAAGCATGAGAAACAAGAAAAACAAGATAAATTGGGCTTTATCAAGATGTGAGCCTTTTGTACATCAAAGAAAATTATCAAGACAATAATTAATAGACACAGAATGAGAGAAAATATTTGACAACCACATATAGGCAGTTTTCATGTCCAGATAATATAAAGAACTAGCTACAACTCAGTAACAAAAGGAGAAACCATTAAATTTATAAATGGGCAAAAGACTCAAATATACATTTCTTCAAAGAAGATATACAAATAGTCAAGAAGGACATGAAAAGATACTAAACATCATTAGTCATTAGGAAAATACAAAGTCAAAGCTGCAATGAGACACCACATCAAACCTACAAAACTGGCTACCGTTCTTTTAAAATGTTAAATAACAAGTAGCAGCATTATGTAGAATTTGGAATCCTCATACATGGCTGGTGAGAATATAAAAAAGTACAGCAGCTAGGAGAAAGAGTATTGCTGTTCCTCAAAAAGCTAATTATAGAATTCTCATTTGAAATAACATCCATTCCTAGGTATATACCCAAAGAATTAAATCCACGGACTCAAAAAGGTACTTGCATGGGAATGTTCATTGCAGCATTATTCAGAAAAGATAAAATATGAAAACAATCCAAGTGTTCATCAACACATGAATAAACAAATATGGTGACACATAAAACAGAATGATAATCTGCCATAAAGAGGAAGGAAGCTCTGACACCCGCTGGAACATGCATGGACTTGGAAAACATTATGCTAAGTGAAATGTGTCAGAAACAAAATAACATAATTGTATAATTCCATTTATATGAAACATCAAGAATAGGCAAATTCATAGAGACAGAGTAGAGGTGATCAAGGCCTAGGGTGGAACATACAGGGAGTTATTGTTTAAAAGATACAAAGTTTCAGTTTAAAATGATAACAATTTTCTAGGAAAAATACTGGTGATGGTAATTTAACACGGTGTATGCGGTTAATTTCATTGATTGTGCATTTTAAAGTGGTTAAAATAGCACATTATTCACAGAACTGTGAAAAATAGATTTCTATTATTTAATTCACCCAGGCTAAGGTGTTTGTTATAGGAGCTGAAGCCTATGAATACATCATCTGACCCAGTGTTTTCAATGAAATGCATCAGTTTTTCAATCAAGTTAGCTGGAAGCTCCTGTCCCCAAGAGAACCAGAGGCCCCAAAACAAGAGCTCCAGCAGGGGCTCAGCCAGCACAGGTCCCATAAGGCAGCCTCAATGTCAGGCCCTGGATGGCATGTGAGGCCACAGCAATACAACCACAACGTGAAAGTGTAAGTATTTTTACTACTTACAGACACTGGGAAGCACTTGGCACACCTGGAGACCACAGACACAGAGGTCAGTGAGCCCAGGGAGGGAGGAGAGAAGAGACCGGTAAGCCAATGGCTTTATTAAGTCCAGGGTGTTATCTGACAGGTTTCCAGCAGGGAGCTTTAATGGATGTGTTCAAAGCAAGCAGCAAACACTGGGAACAGGAGCTCACGCTGTGACTGAGAGGTGGTCACTTTTAATGTGAGGGCGAATGTCAGAATTATCAGTTTAAAGAAAGCAGCTGGAGAGACGGGAGCCCAGCACACCAAGCAGGAGAGATGTCTCTAAGATTTGATCTCTGGACACCAACTGGAGCCACTTGAACCAGACACAGTATTGAAAACTGCCATGGTGACCAAGCCCTGCCTCTGATTTGAGGCAAATAAACTTACACCTTAAAAAATGAATGCCAAGGCAACATGACACTATGAGCATCATGACATCCAGGGACACCAGCAGGGTGTGGTACTCTGCCCTGGAGTCAGAATCCTGGGTTCTGGTCCCTGGGAGTGAGAAAATGAAAATGACTTGTCCCTGCCCCCCTGACATTGATCTTCCCACCCTGCTGCTCCCAAGCCCAACTGCAGTGCTCAGCCCCAGACATCACTGCCCCCAGGGTATACACAGTGCCGCCTACTGCACACAAACACAAACTCACAGAAGGTGACAAAAATCTGCATTTGGGACATCTGATTGTGAAAGAGGGAGAACAGTGAACATAGAGCCACAGAGACTGGGACTCACGGGGCTGGAAGGTGATGGGGCTGTAACATAACACAGGTGTGACCTCGTGTGAACTGTGCAGATCCACGTGGAATAAAACATGCATCCTGGCCTGGAATTGCTGCCGTTCACACTTCCCTCCCTGTCCACCAGAGGGGGACAGAGTCCCTCCCAGCCTGGAGTCTTCCCAGGGGATGCCAACCTCACTCAGCGGAACCCACAGCCCAGCAGTGTCCACCCTCTACAGGGTCACTTCTGCCCAAGTCCTCAGCGCCCTCCATGCTCCCCACACGGACACTGTCAGCTCCTCCCTGACCTGGCGGCCGCCAACCTAACACCACTCCCCCTGCAGGTAGCTCCTCCCCACACACCTGCTCCTTCCCTGGGCCCAGCTAAAGGCATCTCCCAGGGCAGCGCTGGTGCACGCGATGCCACACCGGGTGCTTTCCCCTCGTGACCTCCCTCCATCCTCATCAACTCTTTCTGGCACTGCTCCCTAAATGCCCACCCCTGCTCCATCTGTCCTGTTCTCTGGGGCATCCCAGGCCAAGCCTAGCGCTGACACAGAACAGCGGCTGCCTGAGGGCCCACAGCCTCCCCGGGAATCAGCCAGGCACCCTGTGACCTGCCTGCCCGCTGCACCCTGGGGGCTCAGAGCGCGTGTGATGGTCACACACAGGCACCATCCGGGATGTGGCCACCTAACACCAGCTGTCCCTTGGGAAGACAGACCTCTCCTGTGTGCTTGCGGGAAGAAGGGGAATGTTATTGCTCTTTGATCTCAGAACACAACTCACCCCCACCCGCCCTCTCAGGTGAGAGCAATGTCCCTCCAGACAGGCTCTCTGGCCACTGCCTGTTCCTCCTCTACACACAGCAGCTTGGCCAGGTCAAAACCATCAGGACAGACCCCTGGGTATGTCAGCATATGGAGGGCTGAGCCCATCATGGCCACGGAGTAAGTTGGGATGAATCTCTCCAGCTCTGAACCCCTGCTCTGTCCCAGGCTCCCCCTCCCGCATCTCAATGAGCCATGTCCCGCAGGGTTCCTGGGTAACTCCCCACTTCCTCCTGCACCACCACAGGGAAGGTGTGGTGACCACAGGACAGTCAGCTGGGCAGAGAAGAGAGGACATCAAAGATGGTCAGGAAGAACATGAGAAACTATGAGCTCCAGCTCAGCCGCCAGACCCCAGGGAGCCATAGACTGACAGAGAACTGTCCCTTTGACTATGGGACTCACAGCCCCCACTGAGCAACCAGCACAGGCCTCTCCTCCCAAGAGGCATGAGAGATTCACCCTGCACACCGCCAGAAAGGACAGTTTCCTCTGGGACACCCAGGTCCTGAATGTCCATCCTTGGAAGCTGCAGCCAAGCTAGACATGATTAGAGAAAGGAAGGGTCCCTCTCACCAGGCAACACACAGCTCACCCACAGCACAATGGGGCATCATTCTGACAGGGACCTGGTACAGCTCCAGCCTCCTGCACTGAAGGGGAGAGCCTGATGGGGATGAAAGAGGCCAAAGGGCGTTAATTTGCACCCCGACCCAGAGCCATGGGGACACCAGGAGGCTGAGGCCCAGGACTGTTCTTGCCCAACCTGCAGGGTATGTGTCTGACTGTGTGGGTCTGTGTGTATCTCTTCTGTGTGTGTGTGTGTGTGTGTGTGTGTGTGTGTCTGTGTGTCTGCACAAAGTGTGTCTTGAGGTTTGGTGAAAGAATCACTGCTGAAAAAGGCAGAGGCCGCCACAATTCCCAGGGACCTGAAACACAGACAAAAGGAGAAACAGAAGGAGGGACAAGGAGGCAGGACTTAGAGAGGAGGGGACAGAGAGGTGTCCTGGGCCTGACCCTGCCCATGAGCTTGAGAATTGCTCCTGCCCTGGGAAGAGGCTCAGCACAGAAAGAGGAAGGACAGCACAGCTGACAGCCGTGCTCAGAGAGTTTCTGGATCCTAGGCTTATCTCCACAGAGGAGAACACACAAGCAGCAGAGACCATGGGAACCCTCTCAGCCCCTCCCTGCACACAGCGCATCAAATGGAAGGGGCTCCTGCTCACAGGTGAGGAGAGAACTTCCTGGGAGAGGACAGGAGGAGGAAGCAGAGTGACTGGATGGGGTCTCCTGGAGAGGATGGGGTTCTAAAAAATGAAAGAAGCCAGCACTTTGGGAGTCTGAGGTGGGTGGATCATGAGATCAGAAGTTCAAGATCAGTCTGGCCAACACAGTGAAGCCCTGTCTGTACTGAAAATACAAAAATTTAACCAGGTATGGTGGTGTGCTCCTATAATCCTAGCTACTCGGGAGGCTGAGGCAGGAGAATCACGTGAACCCGGGAGGCAGAAGTTGCAGATAGCTGAGATAGCACCACCGCATGCCAGCCTGGGCGACAGTACAAGACTCCATCTCAAAAAAAAAAAAAGAAAAAAGAAAAAAAGGAAAGAAGGCTCTGTTGGAGCCTGGATAGGGGAAAATACACCAGAGAGGGACAGGGGTCAAAACAGGAAAGTCGTATTGGACCGGAATTGGTAAGAGGTAGGAAAATCTTAAGTGTTCTGTTTTCCTGATTAATCATCAGGGGCCACCATATTTTGAAAAATGATAATAATAACTATAGCAGATGACACCTCAAATAAAAATATAAACAGGGCAGGAAACACTGTCCTCAGCAAGAAACCTCAACAATTGGGGGAAAAAAAACACCCAGGGCATGGAGGGCCCTGAGAACTCTCACATCTACAGGAGTCTGCAGCCTGTTCCAGGCACTGGGGTGCAACCAAGATCACAAAAGTCCCTGTCTTCACGGAGCTCACGCTGTCATGGGGGGGAAGACAGACATGCAAAGAGATCTAGAATGTGAGGTCAGGTGTTGACAAGAACCCTGGAGGGAGCAGAGCAGGGAAAGGTCAGAAAGGGAAGACCCAGGGTCTCTGAAGCAGGCATCAGGAAAGAAGTCTAACGATGCCCTGATGTAAGCAGGACCTGAGGGCATTGTGGAGGGGGCCATGCGGACCCCTGGGGAAGAGGATTCCAAACAGAAAAATGCCAACGTCAGAAGTGTTGAAGGAATGGGCGTCATGCTGCTGACCTTGACCTAGTAGGACAGTAGGACACACACACATACACACACACAATCACACATGCCGCTTTTGTGTGTGTGTGTGTGTGTGTGTTTGTATGTGTGTGTGTGTCTGTGTTGTCAAGGCTGAGGACTGAAGAGACCTTCTCAGGACCCAGGGCCCCATGTTTTCACACCAATACATAGGTCTCAATATTGACTGATGTTCTCTCCACCTCCTAGCATCACTTTTAAACTTCTGGAACCTGCCCACCACTGCCCAAGTCACGATTGAAGCCGAGCCAACCAAAGTTTCCGAGGGGAAGGATGTTCTTCTACTTGTCCACAATTTGCCCCAGAATCTTACCGGCTACATCTGGTACAAAGGGCAAATGAGGGACCTCTACCATTACATTACATCATATGTAGTAGACGGTGAAATAATTATATATGGGCCTGCATATAGTGGACGAGAAACAGCATATTCCAATGCATCCCTGCTGATCCAGAATGTCACCCGGGAGGACGCAGGATCCTACACCTTACACATCATAAAGGGAGATGATGGGACTAGAGGAGTAACTGGACGTTTCACCTTCACCTTACACCGTAAGTGATTCCACATGATCCCTGGGTGTTGGGGGACAGGGGTCACTTCTACTTCACACACACAGGATTGTCAGGCCTGGACTCTGCCTGTGTCACTCACTGCGTTATGTCCCATGCTGGGATTTGGGCATTTAGTGCAGGACACACACAGAGGAGACAAATTTCAACAGATCAGAATTCCTTTCCTGCATCCAGACCCTGCAGACACTCGCTGCAGAGGAAGGACAGTCTGATGGGGGGACTCAGCAGGAGGAGATCAGTCTCAGCCAAGCACCTCATGCCCTCTTCATAAATTTGACCCTGAGAAAGACCCTGGATAACTGAGTAGGGCTTGGCCTGAGGGGCCCCCTGAGATACTCTCAGAGAAGCTCAGCCCTAGAAGCCTCAACCCCAGACCCTTGTCCCTAAATCCTTGTTCCAGATAAAGCTGAGGAGCCTGTGCTGGGACTGGGTTGTGGCTTCTTGGGCAGGGCTTACTGGGACCAAGGATTTACCAGCTGTCAGAGGACTGTGTCTCCTGGAGCTGTTCACCAGCCAGGGCTCAGCCCTCAGAGCCTCATCTGGGCCAGGACAGAGCTTTCTTCACCTGATACTCAGAGTGGAGAGGACAGAAAGACAAGCTTTGTAGGCCATCACCCAACTGCCTTAGGAGGCTTAGGATAGTCCATAGAAAGACTAATGTCCCCAGAAGCAGAAACAGAAGAGAGAAGATGTACCAGGTAGCAGCTTGTCCACAGGGATCTGACGTAAAGGTGCTTTCTCATGGAAGCAAATTAATAATAAATGCTGTTTGTGTGAAACCTCCACTGTGCCAAGCATTAGGTCAGGTGACTGTGAATAATTTAACATTTATTCACAGATAGCATGAAAAGCCACAGTCCATTTGCCATTTAGCTTATTTGATTGAGAGAAAACTGAGGCACAGGAAGGCACAGTGACTGAGCAAGAGTCACACAAACACAAAGGGGAGATCAGGGTCACATGAGGTCTGTCTGTAGCCACAGGCCCATCCTCTACTCCACCAGAAGTGAGGGCTTACTGGGTTCCAAGCACCCCATAGTCATTTGTTGGCTCAAATCCTCTCTTCTTAGGCATCCAAACCTCAGAGGAGTGAGAGCAAATGGTCAGCTGATTAGTCTGCACTCCAGAACTAAATCACCTGCTTCAACCATCAGAGTCAGTGCAAAAAAATGTCCAGGCCTCCTCCTCAGATCTTAACCACCATCACTGAACCTGAAATCCTGTGTTTCCCAAAGTGTCCTTGTCACTGTCATGAGAGGATCAAGGAGAGGACCTTGTTTTCTTTCCCCACTCACACTCTACACCACCACAGGCCCAGCGAGAGAGACACACACTCAGGAGCTCTCACATGACAAATGAAGGAATGGAATGAAGAAATGAATGATCCAAAACCTCTTTAGAGATTGGATCTTGGATGCAGAATCCTAGGAGGTTCTAGCCACACCTGTCCCTTGTCCTTCAGAGGCTGACATCCATGTTTCATCCCCCCACTACCTCTTGCCCCTAAAGCCACCCCACCTCATGTAATTCTGAAGCTCTTAAGCCACCGGAGGGTTCTCGAGGGCTCCTTGGTCCTGGACTATGGAACTGGGGGCACCTGGTCCCTGGAGTTTCTGAAGACAGTGTCTCCCTCACTGCTCACTGCCATGGTGTATCTGCCTCTCTCTGCTTCTCTGTGTCCCTCATCTTCCTCCCACTTCATTCTGACTGGCAAGCCCTGTCCTGCACAGCTTCTTCCTCCACCTCTAGGCCTTCCCTAGACACTCCCTCTAACCACTCTGGCTGTTCAGTTCCCTTCCCACTAACACTGTGGCCTGGCCCACCTCCCAGGAAAGAGGAAAGGCACAGAAATCATCTGGAGTTGCCACTCCTGCCAGGCTTCCTCTCGAGCCAATGTCCCCAGGTCACTAAGAGAATGACCTTCCACTGTATTCCCATCCAGGGCTCTTTCCCTTTGTGAGGCTGACCTGTGGACAAGACCATGGGACAGGGATAGGCAGTTCCTCCATCCACTCTCATAATTGCCAGACAAGTTCCTCTGGCCTCCTGCACAAAAAAAAAAAAAAACAAATAAATAAATAAAATAAAATAATTGAAATGGCGGTTTGCAGTAAAGAAAGATTTTAATGACTCCAAGTCTGCCAAACAGGAGGACAGAGGTTTATTATTACTCAAATCAGCCTCCCCAGTGGATCAGGGCTTAGAGATTTTCAAGGATAGTTTCAGGGCCACAGGACTAAAAAATTAGTACTGCTGATTGTTTGGTGATGGAATCATGGGGGCAGGGGGACATGATCTGTTTGTGCTTGAATCTGCCTCTAGGTAGGGACCACATGACTGGCTGAGCCATTAGTCATAGGTATGGATGAGGTCAGCCGGTTGCCAGAATGCAAAAGAATGAGAAACATCTCAAAAGACCAATCTCACGTTCTACAATAGTGATGTTATCTATAGGAGCAATTAGTTACAAATTTTGTAAACCCTGTCCCAATGACACTGGAGCAGTCAGGGATTATAGAAACTGTGCCTACATTTTAGCAAAATTCAGTTCCCTCCTATAATCTTAATCTCATGGTCTTTCACTAGTTTTACAAAGGCAGTCCCTGGACAAAGTAAGGGTGTTAGTTTTATGGAGGAACTATTATCATTCTTGCTTCAAGTTTAAACCATAAACTAAATTCCTCCCAAGGTTAACCTGGCCTATGCCCAGGAATGAGTGAGGACAGCCAGCCTGAGACTAGATGCCAGATGGAGTCAGCCATGCTAGTTTGCTGTCACTGTTGTAATCTCTGCACTGACTCACCAGGGTGTCAGAGGCTGGACAGGCCTGCTGTCCCCAAACCCCATGGGCTCATTTCACCTGTGACTCCAGCCTCAACCTGCTAAGGAGCTCACATTCTCCAGTCACTTCCTATAGACTTCTGGCTTCCTGTCAGGCATATAACAAGCTTGAAATTTGTCACTGGTTTCTAACGCTAAGTAAAAAGCTGAACAAACTCAAAAGTCAACAACTTGTTAAAATCCCTCAGAGATGGCTGGGCACTCCATCTCTGAGTGGACTCTTGACCCCATCCTCACTCATGACGCCATCCTCAACCTGCTATGGAGCTCACATTCTCCGGTCACTTTCTAGAGAGTTCTAGCTTCCTGACAGGCGTATAACAAGCTTGAAATTTGTCACTCGGTTCTAACACTAAGTAAAAAGCTGAACAAACTCAAAAGGCAACAACTCATTAAACTCCCTCAGAGACGGCTGCGCACAGTGGCTCACGCCTATAATCCCAGCACTTTGGGAGGCCGAGGCGGGCACAAGGTCAAGAGATAGAGACCATCCTGGCTAACATGGTGAAACCCCGTCTCTACTAAAAATGCAAAAAATTAGCCAGGCATGGTGGCGGGCCCCTGTAGTCCCAGCTACTTGGGAGGCCAAGGCAGGAGAATGGTGTGAACCCAGGAGGCAGAGCTTGCAGTGAGCTGAGATCATGCCACTGCACTGCAGCCGGGGTGACAGAGCGAGACTCTGTCTCAGAAAAAAAAAACCCTGTTAGAGAAATGAAGAATGCTTTTGATGCTTACTGGTAGACTGCACACAGCTGTGGAAAGAATACCTAGCTTGAGGATGTGTCAACAGAAACTTCCAAAACTGAAACAGGAAAGTTCAAAAAGAGTGGGGAAAAAAAGTGGAACAACATATTCAACTTCATATTTAATATTTTGTTTTGACAATAGCAATTTTTAAATTTTGTAGCTGTGGGACAACTACAAAGACTGTAATGTACACGTAATGGGAATACCGGTGGTTTTGGGGACTAGTTGGAGTTGACCAGGTGGGTGTTATCTGATGGTTTTACTGCCTGTGCCACCTATAACTGTTTCCTCATGATGATGTCATTTTCATAAGTTGGAGATCTTCGTGTGGGGAGACACAAGAGCCATTGCCATCTCACTTAGACTCTTCCTAATTCACACAAACTTAAACTCTAGTGGTGTTTCCTGAGCTTAAGAGAAAATGAAGAAAGCATTTCACATACCTGTTTTGAGGTCCTCCCCATTTTTCCTAACTCTGCACAGAATTTAGAAGCAGGGAGTTCTTTCTATATTTACTAACATAACACACATCACTTCTTTTAATTTGACATCCTTTCTCCCTTTATGTAATTGATGCACTGACCAGTTCGGTCCTTTCAATGGGACTCTCTCTACTTAAGGAGCTGCTAATTTCAAATCACCTTTGGCATCTTTCTTTGAGCATAACGTGATCCTGCTGGAATTCACGGCACACCTAAACCTTATTTTGGTCTCAAGAGAAATACTACTACCAGCAATTGATCTTAGATGTTTGGACCATCAGTAAAAATTTCCACTTATGAAAACATTTTAATGTTTCCTCCAAATTTTTTTTGTTACTAGAGTCAGAATATAACATGAGGTCTAAACTCCTGACAAATTTTTACGGAAAAATTACACTGTTACAAATTGAGCATCGGAAATCCAGAAATCCACAATCTGAAATGCTCAAAACTCAACACTTCTGACCACTGATGTGATGCTAAAAAGAAGTGCTCACTGGCGCATTGTGGATTTTAAATTTTTCAGATTTGGGATGCTAAACCAGTACATGTACTGCAAATATTCCAAAATAAAAAAATAATTAGACATCCAAAACACTTAGTTTCAAGCTTTCTGCATAAGGAGCACTTTATCTGTATGAAGTATAGGCATGAGGCTGTACAGGAGATCTCTAGAACCTCCTCTTCCTGCATAACTGAAACTGCACACCCACGGAACAACACCCTATTCCCCTGATCCCAGCTCCTGCAAACTACTATTCTACTCTCTGATTCACTCTGGAATCCACTGATATCAGGTACATAGAGTAGTCAAACTCAGAATCAGAGAGTAGAATGTCTAATGAGAGAAAGTATCTGCAAGACTTCTTCCCAAATATTGGTCTAATATTCACCAAACACATATGGTCCATGAGGGCCAGACTTCCGTCATCAGTTCATGATCGCCCTTTCCACCAGTCAGTTCTGCATTTGCAAAGATCCACATGTATTTCTAGAAAGATCCACATGGTCCTCAACTGCCCTCTACAGGGGGAAGGGAGCATCATGGACCCAGAAGAGAGAACATGGTCTTGGTCCAAAGCTATCAGCTCTTGCCTATCCCCTTCACTCTTTGTAGGTCATTCCTTGGACTCTGCTCTATCTTTAGAGTCACTAGCTCAACTCAGTCACTATGAGACACCTGGGAAAACTGCCCCACCTCGTGGCTCCACTGCCTGATGACTGAACTGACCTCCAGGCTTGACTCTGGTCTCCCCTGTTTTATGCTAGAATACCCAGTCCCAGGCCAGGCTTTCCAGTACCCAAAGGTTTTAAGGACAATGGGAAGTTCCATCATCCATCTCTAGGATGTCCTTGGCAAGGGAAGCTGCAGAGAAAACATACCTCAGTGGGCAAAGTGAGACTGAAACTAACAAGATTCCAGCACTGCATGCTCCAAGTGAGGACCACAAGGTGGGCCAGGCAGGCAGTTGGAGACGGAGGGACACACAGAGGCACCAGGGGCTGTGACTGCTGGTCCTGTGTCTTTCCATGACCCAATGCTGCTGCTCAATTCACACTTGAGAAAGTCTGTGCTTCTCCCACATGAAGCAGGCAGCCTCACAATCTCTGAGCCCTCAGATTGCCATGCATCTGTCTTGTATCACACACACCTGCCATGGGCTTTTAAGGACTTGGGTGGGCTGAGAGGTGGGAAATGCCAATTCTGATTGAAAAATGCCTTTGGAGGAATCAAAGGCGCCACACACGGCAATCTTCACCCTGTTTTCTGCACAGTGGAGACTCCTAAGCCCTCCATCTCCAGCAGCAACTTAAATCCCAGGGAGACCATGGAGGCTGTGAGCTTAACCTGTGACCCTGAGACTCCAGACGCAAGCTACCTGTGGTGGATGAATGGTCAGAGCCTCCCTATGACTCACAGCTTGAAGCTGTCCGAAACCAACAGGACCCTCTTTCTATTGGGTGTCACAAAGTATACTGCAGGACCCTATGAATGTGAAATACGGAACCCAGTGAGTGCCAGCCGCAGTGACCCAGTCACCCTGAATCTCCTCCGTGAGTATCTTCTGTTCCTCTGTGAGCCAGGCTGCCATCCCAAATACACGTGGCCAGAGGCCAGGCCTCTCTGTCCCTCTCAGGTCCAATACAGAGACCTTTACCCCTGGACATCAAACCTGGCCATGACTTTGTGCCCCAGGCAAACCAGAGTAGACCTAGGCTTCATCAACAATAGGAGAAAAGAGGCTGCTCCTGTCATGGGAGACTCAGGGTCCACAGCTTGTGATGGGAGAAACAGGTGAAGGTCTCAGGCTCCAGATCTGTGAACACAGTGGGGATTTGGCTGGGACTTCAATGTTGTGACTTGGCTCACAGGGTCACTGTGATTGTGGCCCTTCCACAGACCAGGATTTTCCCTTCCCTCTGACAATAGTGCCTGTGACATTATTCTCTTTACTCCACATGGCCTGGATGCCCCCACCATTTCTTCCTCATACACCTATTACCATACAGGGGAAGTCCCCAAGCTCTCCTGCCTCACAGACTCCATCCACTGGCAGAGCATTCTTGGCTGATTGCTGGGAAGTTCCAGCAATCAACACAAGTGTTCTTTATACCCCAAATCACTAAAACATATACAGGGATCTAGGTCTGTTTCATCCATAACTCAGCCACTGGTGGAACAAATCTCATAATCAAGAGGATCATAGTCCCTGGTAAGTGGATCCCTGGAGCATTGGCAATATGTTTTCCAGTGAAGTCTATCTAGCTATCAGGGAAGAGCCACCTGCCCTCTGCAAAGGGAGAGGGAAAATCAAAAACCCAGGACAGGGAATATGTTTCTACTCCAAAACCACCAGCTTTTGCCTGTCCCCTTCACTCTTTCTAGATCATTCTTTAGACTATACACTAACAATGAACAATCTGAAAGGAAATTAAGGAAATAATTTCAATTCACATTAACATCAAAAGGAATAAAATATTTTGGAGTAAGTTTAACCAAAAAAGTCAAATGATTATACCCTGAAAACTACAAACCATTGCTGAAAGAAATTAAAGACGATATCAATATATGGAAAGACATTTCATTTTCATGGATTGGAAGAATCAATATTGTTAGAAAGACAACATTACCCAAAATGAGTTGCAGATTCAATGCATCCCCTACCAGAATCACAGTAACATTTTTTGCAGAATTAGAAAACACTGTCCTAAATCTCACATGACAGGCTCTTATTAATGACTGACACAACACAAACACTGAGAAAAAGAGGTAACCATGAAAAGGTGGAAAGTTCTGATGACATAGAAAATAGCAATCAGCCTTTCTCACATCCCAAGGCCTTCAAAAATATACGAGTGCAGCATGGCCACTGTGGAATTCACCGAAAACTGATCACCAAGCTAGAAACGTGGTGAGAGAAAAAAAAGGGCAAGAATATCTTTGGCTTATCACCTCCCACTTTTGCCTACTAATCTGATGCTGAAAAGAAATGCTCACTGGAGCATTTTAGATTTTGAATCTTTCAGATTTGGGATGCTAAACCAGTAAGTATATGACAAATATTTCAGAATCAAAAAATGTCAGAAATCCAAAACACTTTTTGTCCTAAGTCTTATGCATAAGAAATACTCAATCTGTGTGAACTATAGGCATCAAGCTCTACAGCAGTTCTCTAGAACCTCCCCACCTTGCATAACTGAAACTGCACACCCATGAACAACTTCTGATTCTACCCACTCCCAGCTCCTGACAACCAGCAGTCTCTTCTCATATTCACTCTGGAATCCACTTACATGAGGTCCCTAGAGTAGTTGAACCCATGGAATCAGAGAGTAGAATGTCCAATGAAATAAAATATTTGCAAAACCTCTCTCCAAATTTGTCTCATATCCATCAAACACACATGGTTCATGAGGACCAGATTTCCAGCAGTTCATTCCCACCCTTTCTACCAGTCAGTTCTGAATTTGCAAATGTCCACATGTATTTCTGGAAAGATCCACATGGTCCTCACCTGCCCTCTGCAGAAGGAGAGGAAACTTAAAGAACCCAAGACAGGGAACATGCTTCTGCTCCAAAGCCACCAGCTCTTGCCTGTCCCCTTCACTCTTTCTAGATCATTCCTTGCACTCTGCTCTATCTTTAGAGGTCACTGGTTCAAGTAAGTCATCATGAAACACCTGCAAAAAACTGCCCCACCTTGAGCCTCCACTGCCTGATGACTGAACTGACCTCCAGCCTTGATTCTGGTCTCCCCTGTGTTATTTCTGCTGAAACATCCAGTCCCAGGCCAGGCTGCTCAGTATCTTCAGGGTTGCAGGACAAAGGGAAGTCCCATTATTACTCATCTCTAGAATGTCCTTTGAAATGGAAGCTGCAGAGAAATCACATCTAGGGGGACAAAGTAGGATGGAATTTGGAAGGGGCCCAGCAGTTGCATATTCCAGGTAAGGAACCCAAGGTGAGCCAGCCAGTCAACTGATTAGGGAGGGCCTGGGAAGGGTACCAGGGGCTGTGACTCCCACTGACGTGTCTGTCCATGACCCAACACTGCTGCTCAATTGACACTTCAGAAAGTCTGTGCTTCCCTAAGACAGAGAAGGCGGCCTCACAGTCTTTGAGCCCTTAGATCATCATGCATCTATCTTGTGACAAAAGCACCAGCTATTGGCTTTCAAGGACTCGGGTGGAATGAGAGGTGGGAGATGCCAACTCTGATTGAAGGATACCTGTGGAGGAATCAAAGGTGCCACACAGGACAATCTTCTCTCTGTTATCCACACAGCGAAGCTGCCCAAGCCCTACATCACCATCAACAACTTAAACCCCAGGGAGAATAAGGATGTCTTAAACTTCACCTGTGAACCTAAGAGTGAGAACTACACCTACATTTGGTGGCTAAATGGTCAGAGCCTCCCGGTCAGTCCCAGGGTAAAGCGACCCATTGAAAACAGGATCCTCATTCTACCCAGTGTCACGAGAAATGAAACAGGACCCTATCAATGTGAAATACGGGACCGATATGGTGGCATCCGCAGTGACCCAGTCACCCTGAATGTCCTCTGTGAGTATCTTTTGTTCCTCTGTGGGCCAGGACACCAGCTTAAATCCAAACCACCAGATGCCAGGCCTCTCAGTCTCTCTCCGGTCCAAGTATAGACACCTTTACTTCTGGACATCGGAGCTGGCCATGACTCCCTGCCCTGGGAAATCCTGGGTAGGCACAGCCTTAACCAAGAATATAAGGGGAGGGGATGCTCTTATCATGGGAGACTTGGGGCCCACAGCTTGTGATGGGAGAAACAGGGGAATACCTCAGGATTCGGCTCAGTGAACATAGAGGGGGTTGGGCTGGGACTTGAGGGTGTGTCTTGGCTCAGAGGGTCACTGTGTCCCTTTAAGAGACCAGGAACATCCCCTTCCCTCAGATGACATCACCTGTGGCTTTATTCTCTTTGCTCCAGATGGTCCAGACCTCCCCAGAATTTACCCTTCATTCACCTATTACCGTTCAGGAGAAGTCCTCTACTTGTCCTGTTCTGCGGACTCTAACCCACCGGCACAGTATTCTTGGACAATTAATGAAAAGTTTCAGCTACCAGGACAAAAGCTCTTTATCCGCCATATTACTACAAAGCATAGCGGGCTCTATGTTTGCTCTGTTCGTAACTCAGCCACTGGCAAGGAAAGCTCCAAATCCATGACAGTCGAAGTCTCTGGTAAGTGGATCCCAGCATCGTTGGCAATAGGGTTTTAGGTGGAGTCTATCTGGCATTCAGAGAAGAGTCAGGAAAACAATTGTATTCCCAGCCTGTGTCCCATGGGCACAAGCAAATCCCAAATTCTCCTCCTGAACCCTCCAAATTTGTCTAAGAACTTCGAAAACTTTAACAAACAGGCTGATATCTTCATAATATTCCCAGCCTAGACCAAGCAGGAAGAACATTGATTTCATTGAAATAATTGATAATAATGAAGATAATGTTTTTATGATTTTTATTTGAAAATTTGCTGATTCTTTAAATGGTTTGTTTTCTACATTGATGGAATTTTTCTCTTTTAATCTATCTACAGCTTATAGCAGTTCAATAAACTATACTTCTGGGAACCGTAATTGAAACATTTACTTTTGCTTTCTACCTGACTGCCCCAGAATTGGGCAACTATTCATGAGAATTGATATGTTTATGGTAATACACATATTTGCACAAGTACAGTAACAATCTGCTTTCTTTGTAACATGACACATTTGAAATCATTGGTTATATTACCAATGCTTTGATTCGGATGTTATATTAAAAACATAGATAGAATGAACCAATATGAACTGCAGGCAAAGTCTGAAGTCAGCCTTGGTTTGGCTTCCTATTCTCAAGAGGTTTGTGAAGATTTAATCTCAGATTCCTTATAAAAACTTAGAGAAAAGAAAATTTTAGAAGACAGCCTACA
This sequence comes from Homo sapiens, assembly GCF_000001405.40. Classification (NCBI taxonomy): domain Eukaryota; kingdom Metazoa; phylum Chordata; class Mammalia; order Primates; family Hominidae; genus Homo; species Homo sapiens. Next base: position 42,867,370 of record NC_000019.10, on the reverse strand, counting down.
TGGTCCATTGCTACTCTTGCTGCACTTATGTAAACAATCAGACCACATTTGAAGAAACTCCACCTATTTTGCAAACAAACTTATTCTACTGAAATTATCATTGGTAAAAGTAGAGATGCCCATAGAGGGAAAAATTATGTGGAAAATAAAAACTGTAGTATACCTGTTATGAGACTGCAGCTCTGTTCATTGTTTCTGTGTTTTTATTATCCACCTGTAGACTGGACAGTTCCCTGAATTCTACTAGTACCTCCAATTCCATTTTCTCCCATGGAATCACTAAGAGCAAGACCCACTCTGTTCCAGAAGCCCTATAAGCTGGAGGTGGACAACTCAATGTAAATTTCATGGGAAAACCCTTGTACGTGAAGCATGAGCCACTCAGAACTCACCAAAATATTCGACACCATAACAACAGATGCTCAAACTGTAAACCAGGACAACAAGTGGATGACTTCACACTGTGGACAGTTTTTCCCAAGATGTCAGAACAAGACTCCCCATCATGATGAGGCTCTCCCCCCTCTTAACTGTCCTTGCTCATGCCTGCCTCTTTCACTTGGCAGGATAATGCAGTCATTAGAATTTCACATGTAGTAGCTTCTGAGAGTAACAACAGAGTGTCAGATATGTCATCTCAACCTCAAACTTTTACATAACATCTCAGGGGGAAATGTGGCTCTCTCCACCTTGCATACAGGGCTCCCAATAGAAATGAACACAGAGATATTGCCTGTGTGTTTGCAGAGAAGATGGTTTGTATGAAGACGTAGGAAAGCTGAAATTATAATAGAGTCCCCTTTAAATCCACATTGTGTGGATGGCTCTTGCCGTTTCCTAAGAGATACATTGTAAAACGTGACAGTAAGACATTCTAGCAGAATAAAACATGTACCACCTTTGCTAATACTGTTCTCTTAAAATAATTTTAAAAGAATGGGGTGGGCCCTCCCATGTGTCCAGGCCAGTCTCTGAACAGAATCCTCCATCTGTGGTAACAATGCCTAAGAAGATGACATGGACTTGGTCCTGATATGCAGCCATTCCTCTATACCCTTCCCCTGCTGCAGGGCCGTACAAGCCCATGGCCCAAATCTTCAGCTGCAGAGCTGAGACAGAACATGGGATACCTGGCATCCCTTACCTTCTTCCAGTCCACTGCAATGTCTACTGGCATGGCCCATTTACCCCTGAGGACACCCATCTGCTGACCCATAGTTTCTAAGAGTCAGACTTTCCTGGTTTCTCTGAGCCCCAGCTACTTTCACTCTGCTGAACCCTTCTTCTCACCACAGGTGGCAATGCCTTAGCAGACACCTCTTTCAGCTGCAGCTAACAGGTAAGCCAAGACCCAGACCCCAGAGGATAAACAAGGATTTCAAAACCTACTGTGTCCAACGGAGATGCCCACTTGTGGGTGGCAAGCCACCCAGGTGCCAAGGCAAGAGACCGAGGGCACAAGCTCTTCCGGTATAATAAAATATAAAAGAAGAATAGTTATACCAGATATAGATCTTAGATATGATTATATATGAATATCATTAATCATTACTTGGTAGCAATTACTCTTTATTCCAATATTATAATAATCCTCATTTCTATAATCATAACCTAGGAAAAGCCAGGCCATACAGAGACATGAGCTCAGGAGACATAGTGAGAAGTGACCAGAAGACAAGAGTGTGAGCCTTCTGTTATGCCCAGACAGGGCAACTAGAGGGCTCCTTGGTCTAGCGGTAATGACAGCGTCTGGGAAGATGCCCATTGCCAAGCGGACCCTGGTCTAGCAGTAGCCTCAGTGTCAAGGAAAAACACCTGCTACTTAGCAGACCAGGAAAGCTACTTAGAGTCTCCCTTTCCCTGGGGAAATTTAGAGAAGACTCTACTCCTCCACCTCTTGTAGAGGGCCTGACATTAGTCAGGTCCACCTGCAGTTATTTGGAGGCCTGACTGTCTCCCTATGATGCTGTGCTTCAGTGGTCACAATCCTAGTCCACCTTCATGTTCCAACCTGTTCACCTGGCTCTGCCATTTAGTTAGCAGAAGCAAATTAGTGAAAGTACTAAAAGTCTCTAATAAGCAGAAATAATGCTGTAAGCTCTCTCTCTCTTTCTCTTCTCTCACTCTGCCTTGGTTGCCAGGCAGGGAAGGGCCCCCTGTCCAGTGGACATGTGACCCCTGTGGCCTTACCTATCATTGGAGATGGCTCACACTCCTTATCCTGCCCCTTTGTCTTGTATCCAATAAATGTCAGTGCAGCCTGGCATTCGGTGCCACTACCGGTCTCTGTGTCTTGGTGGTAGTGGTCCCACAGGCCCAGCTGTCTTTTCTTTTATCTCTGTCTTCTGTCTTTATTTCTACAATCTCTCATCTCCACACACAGGGAGAAAAACCCACTGACCTTGTGTGGCTGGTCCCTACACCAACTATACAGAGACATAAAGAAGTAGAGATGTATACCACTCCCCCAACAACATTGTATCCCAAAACAACATCCTCTCTGCCCCTCATTGTGGAATTCACTGTCTCTTACCATGTGGGCTAGTGCTTCCAGGGTCTCATAATTCTTCCACAAGAGGCAATGCACACTTTAACGTAGCACTTCAGCAAATAAAGTGGTAACAGTTTACCTACTTAGATAAAGTTTCTTAAAATGTTCTCCCAAATTTCCCCCTGAAGAAGACAGAAACGGCTTTCCCAGTTGTGAAATATTGGCCTCCCCACCTTTCAAAAAAGGACCCCTGAATAGCCAAAACAATCTTGCCAAAATAAATTGTAGGACTTGAACTTTCTTATTTGAAATCTCACAAAGGAGTACAATTATTAAAACAGAAGCTACTGGCAAAGAATAGACATAAGCTGCTGGCAAAAGAATGGACATAAAGACAAATGGGATAGAACTGAGAGCCTAGAAATAAACCCTCACACTTATGGTCAATTACTCTTTGAAGAGTGTGTCAAGACAATTTAATGGAGGAACAATTCTCCTTTCTAATGATAATGCAGAAACAACTAGATAACCACATGCAAAACAGTGAATTTAGATAACTCTACCTCCCACCATATCAAACAATTCTCTAAAAAATTGATCAGTGAGTTAAATATAAGACCTATAACCATAAAAACATCTTAAAATAGACATAGAGGTAAATATTGATGACCTCAAATGTGCAATGGATTCTTAGCTATGATACAAAAGCATGAGAAAAAAAAGATAAATTGGGCTTTATCAAGATGTGAGCCTTTTGTGCATCAAAGGAAATCATCAAGAAAATAATTAATAGACACAGAATGAGAGAAAATATTTGCAAACCACATATAGGCAGTTTTCATGTCCAGATAATATCAAGAACTAGCTACAACTCAATAACAAAGGGAGAAACCATCCAATTTATAAATGGACAAAAGACTCAAATAGATGTTTCTTCAAAGAAGATATACAAATAGTCAAGAAGGACATGAAAAGATACTCAACATCATTAGTCATTAGGAAAATACAAAGTCAAAGCTGCAATGAGATACCACACCACACCTACAAAACTGGCTACAATTCTTTTAAAATGTTAAATAACAAGTGGCAGCATTATGTAGAATTTGGAATCCTCATACATTGCTGGTGAGAATATAAAAAAGTACAGCCACTAGGAGAAACAGTTTTGCTCTTCCTCAAAAAGCTAATCATAGGGTCCTGGAGCCAAGATGGCCGAATAGGAACAGCTCTGGTCTACAGCTCCCAGCGTGAGCGATGCAGAAGACGGGTGATTTCTGCATTTCCATCTGAGGTACCAGGTTCATCTCACTAGCGACTGCTGGACAGTGGGCACAGGACAGTGGGTGCAGTGCACTGTGCATGAGCCAAAGCAGGGCAAGGCATTGCCTCACTCGGGAAGCACAAGAGGTCAGGGAGTTCCCTTTTCTAGTCAAAGAAAGGGGTGACAGATGGCACCTGGAAAATCGGGTCACTCCCATCCTAATACTGTGCTTTTGAAATAGGCATAAAAAAAGGCGCACCAGGAGATTATATCCCGAACATGGCTCAGAGGGTCCTATGCCCACAGAGTCTCGCTGATTCCTAGCACAGCAGTCTGAGATCAAACTGCAAGGTGGCAGTGAGGCTCGGGGAGGGGCTCCCGCCATTGCCAACGCTTGCTTAGGTAAACAAAGCAGCCAGGAAGCTCAAACTGGGTGGAGCCCACCACAGCTCAAAGAGGCCTGCCTGCCTCTGTAGGCTCCACCTCTGTGGGCCAGGCACAGACAAACAAAAAGACAGCAGTAACCTCTGCAGACTTAAATGTCCCTGTCTGACAGCTTTGAACAGAGCAGTGGTTCTCCCAGCATGCAGCTGGAGATCTGAAAATGGGCAGACTGCCTCCTCAAGTGGGTTCATGATGCCTGACCCCCGAGCAGCCTAACTGGGAGGCACCCCCCACTAGGGGAAGACTGACACCTCACATGGCCGGGTACTCCTCTGAGACAAAACTTCCAGAGGAACGATCAGACAGCAGCATTCGCAGTTCACAAAAATCCGCTGTTCTGCAGCCACCGCTGCTGGTACCCACACAAACAGGGTCTGGAGTGGACCTCTAGTAAACTCCAACAGACCTTCAGCTGAAGGTCCTGTCTCTTAGAAGGAAAACTAACAAACAGAGAGGACATCCACACCAAAAACCCATCTGTACATCACCATCATCAAAGACGAAAAGTAGATAAAACCACAAAGATGGGGAAAAAACAGAGCAGTAAAACGAAACTATAAAAAGCAGAGCGCCTCTCCTCCTCAAAAGGAACGCAGTTCCTCACCAGCAATGGAACAAAGCTGGATGGAGAATGACTTTCATAAGTTGAGAGAAGAAGGCTTCAGATGTTCAAACTACTCTGAGCTCCAGGAGGAAATTCAAACCAAAGGCAAAGAAGTTAAAAACTTTGAAAAAAATTTAGATGAAGGTATAACTAGAATAACCAATACAGAGAAGTGCTTGAAGGAGCTGATGGAGCTGAAAGCCAAGACTCGAGAACTACGTGAAGAATGCAGAAGCCTCAGGAGCCGATGCGATCAACTGGAAGAAGGGTATCAGTGATGGAAGATGAAATGAATGAAATGAAGCGAGAAGGGAAGTTTAGAGAAAAAAGAATAAAAAGAAATGAACAAAGCCTCCAAGAAATATGGGACTATGTGAAAAGACCAAATCTACGTCTGATTGGTGTACCTGAAAGTGACGGGGAGAATGGAACCAAGTTGGAAAACACTCTGCAGGATATTATCCAGGAGAACTTCCCCAATCTAGCAAGGCAGGCCAACATTCAGATTCAGGAAATACAGAGAACGCCACAAAGATACTCCTCAAGAAGAGCAAATCCAAGACACATAATTGTCAGATTCACCAAAGTTGAAATGAAGGAAAAAATGTTAAGGGAAGCAGAGAGAAAGGTCGACTTACCCACAAAGGGAACCCCATCAGACTAACAGCGGATCTCTCAGCAGAAACCCTACAAGCCAGAGGAGAGTGGGGGCCAATATTCAACATTCTTAAAGAAAAGAATTTTCAACCCAGAATTTCATATCCAGCCAAATTAAGCTTCATAAGTGAAGGAGAAATAAAATACTTTACAGACAAGCAAATGCTGAGAGATTTTGTCACCACCAGGCCTGCCCAAAAAGAGCTCCTGAAGGAAGCGATAAACATGGAAAGGAACAACTGGTACCAGCCACTGCAAAATCATGCCAAATTGTAAAGACCATCAAGGCTAGGAAGAAACTGCATCAACCAATGAGCAAAATAACCAGCTAACATCATAATGACAGGATAAAGTTCACACATAACAATATTAACTTTAAATTTAAATGGACTAAATGCTCCAATTAAAAGACACAGACTGGCAAATTGGATAAAGAGTCAAGACCCATCAGTGTGCTGTATTCAGGAAACCCATCCCATGTGCAGAGACACACATAGGCTCAAAATAAAAGGATGGAGGAAGATCTACCAAGCAAATGGAAAAAAGAAAAGGCAGGGGTTGCAATCCTAGTCTCTAATAAAACAGACTTTAAACCAACAAAGATCAAAAGAGACAAAGAAGGCCATTACATAATGGTAAAGGGATCAATTCAACAAGAAGAGCTAACTATCCTAAACATATATGCACCCAATACAGGAGCACCCAGATTCATAAAGCAAGTCCTGAGTGACCTACAAAGAGACTTAGACTCCCACACAATAATAATGGGAGACTTTAACACCCCATTGTCAACATTAGACAGATCAACGAGACAGAAAGTTAAGAAGGATACCCAGGAATTGAACTCAGCTCTGCACCAAGTGGACCTAATAGACATCTACAGAACTCTCCAACCCAAATCAACAGAATCTACATTTTTTTCAGCACCACACCACACCTATTACAAAATTGACCACATACTTGGAAGTAAAGCTCTCCTCAGCAAATGTAAAAGAACAGAAATTATAACAAACTGTCTCTCAGACCACAGTGCAATCAAACTAGAACTCAGGATTAAGAATCTCACTTAAAACAGGTCAACTACATGGAAACTGAACAACCTGCTCCTGAATGACTACTGGGTAGATAACAAAATGAAGGCAGAAATAAAGATGTTCTTTGAAACCAATGAGAACAAAGACACAACATACCAGAATCTCTGGGATGCATTCAAAGCAGTGTGCAGAGGGAAATTTATAGCACGAAATGCCCACAAGAGAAAGCAGGAAAGATCCAAAATTGACACCCTAACTTCACAATTAAAAGAACTAGAAAAGCAAGAGCAAACACATTCAAAAGCTAGCAGAAGGCAAGAAATAACTAAAATCAGAGCAGAACTGAAGGAAATAGAGACACAAAAAACCCTTCAAAAAATTAATGAATCCAGGAGCTGGTTTTTTGAAAGGATCAACAAAATTGATAGACCACTAGCAAGACTAATAAAGAAGAAAAGAGAGAAGAATCAAATAGACACAATAAAAAATGATAAAGGGGATATCACCACCGATCCCACAGAAATACAAACTGCCATCAGAGAATACTAAAAGCACTTCTATGCAAATAAACTAGAAAATGTAGAAGAAATGGATAAATTCCTTGACACATACACCCTCCCAAGACTAAACCAGGAAGAAGTTGAATCTCTGAATAGACCAATAACAGGATCTGAAATTGTGGCAATAATCAATAGCTTACCAACCAAAAAGAGTCCAGGACCAGATGGATTCACAGCCGAATTCTACCAGAGGTACAAGGAGGAGCTGGTACCATTCCTTCTGAAACTATTCCAATCAATAGAAAAAGAGGGAATCCTCCCTAACTCATTTTATGAGGCCAGCATCATCCTGATACCAAAGCCGGGCAGAGACACAACCAAAAAAGAGAATTTTAGACCAATATCCTTTATCAACATTGACGCAAAAATCCTCAATAAAATACTGGCAAACAGAATCCAGCAGCACATCAAAAAGCTTATCCACCATGATCAAGTGGGCTTCAACCCTGGGATGCAAGGCTGGTTCAACATACGCAAATCAATAAATGTAATCCAGCATAAGAACCAAAGACAAAAACCACATGATTATCTCAATAGATGCAGAAGAGGCCTTTGACAAAATTCAACAATGCTTCATGCTAAAAACTCTCAATAAATTAGGTATTGATGGGACATATCTCAAAATAATAAGAGCTATCTATGACAAACCCACAGCCAATATCATACTTCACAATAGCAAAGACTTGGAACCAACCCAAATGTCCAACAATGATAGACTGGATTAAGAAAATGTGGCACATATACACCATGGAATACTATGCAGCCATAAAAAATGATGAGTTCATGTCCTTTGTAGGGACATGGATGAAATTGGAAATCATCATTCTCAGTAAACTATTGCAAGAACAAAAAAACCAAACACCGCATATTCTCACTCACAGGTGGGAACTGAACAATGAGAACACACGAACACAGGAAGGGGAACATCACACTCTGGGGACTGTTGTGGGGTGAGGGGAGGGGGGACGGATAACTTTAGGAGATATACCTAATGCTAAATGATGAGTCAGTGGGTGCAGCACACCAGCATGGCACATGTATACATATATAACAAACCTGCACATTGTGCACATGTACCCTAAAACTTAAAGTATAATAATAACAAAAACAAAAGCTAATCATAGTATTCTCATTTGAAACAACATCCATTCCTAGGTATATACCCAAAGTACGGACTCAAACAGGTACTTGCATGGGAATGTTCATTGCAGCATTATTCAGAAAAGATAAAATATGAAAACAATCCAAGTGTTCATCAACACATGAATAAACAAATATGGTGACACATACAACAGAATGATAATCTGCCATAAAGAGGAAGGAAGCTCTGACACCCGCTGGAACATGCATGGACTTTGGAAACATTATGCTAAGTGAAATATGTCAGAAATGAAATAACATAATTGTATAATTCCATTTATATGAAACATCAAGAATAGGCAAATTCATAGAGACAGAGTAGAGATGATCAAGGTCTAGGGTGGAACATACAGGGAGTTATTGTTTAAAAGATACAAACTTTCAGTTTAAAATGATAAAAATTTTCTAGGGAAAATAGTGGTGATGGTAATTTAACACTGTGTGTGTGGTTAATTTCACTTGATTGTGGATTTTAAAGTGGTTAGAATAGCACATTATTCACAGAACTGTGAAAAATAGATTTCTATTATTTAATTCACCCAGGCTAAGGTGTTTGTTATGGCAGCTGAAGCCCATGAATACATCATCTGACCCAGTGTTTTCAATGAAAGGCATCAGTTTTTCAATCAAGTTAGCTGGAAGCTCCTGTCCCCAGCAGAACCAGAGACCATAAAACAACAGCTCCAGCAGGGGCTCAGCCAGCACAGGTCCCACAAGGCAGCGTCAATGTCAGGCCCTGGATGGCATGTGAGGCCACAGCAATACAACCACAACGTGAAAGTGTAAGTATTTTTACTACTTACAGACACTGGGGAGCACTTGGCACACCTGGAGACCACAGACACAGAGGTCAGTGAGCCCAGGCAGGGAGGAGAGAAGAGACCGGTAAGCCAATGCCTTTATTAAGTCCAGGGTGTTATCTGACAGATTTCCAGCAGGGAGCTTTAATGGATGTGTTCAAAGCAAGCAGCAAACACTGGGACCAGGAGCTCATGCTGTGACTGAGAGGTGGTCACTTTAAATGTGAGGGTGAATGTCAGAATTATCAGTTTAAAGAAAGCAGCTGGAGAGAGGAGAGCCCAGCACACCAAGCAGGAGAGATGCCTCTAAGATTTGATCTCTGGACACCAACTGGAGCCACTTGAACCAGATACAGTATTGAAAACTGCCATGGTGACCAAGCCCTGCCTCTGATTTGAGGCAAATAAACTTACACCTTAAAAAATGAATGCCAAGGCAACATGACACTATGAGCATCATGACATCCAGGGACACCAGCAAGGTGTGGTACTGTGCCCTGGAGTCAGAATCCTGGGTTCTGGTCCCTGGGAGTGAGAAAATGAAAGTGACTTGTCCCTGTCCCTCTGACATTGATATTCCCACTCTGCTGCTCCCTCTTCTCCTCCCAAGCCCACGTGCACTGCTCAGCCCTAGACATCACTGCCCCCAGGGTATATACAGTGCCGCCTACTGCATACAAACACGAACTCACAGAAAGTGACAAAAATCTGCGTTTGGGACATCTGATTGTGAAAGGGAGAACAGTGAACATAGAGCCACAGAGACTGGGACTCACGGGGCTGGAAGGGTGATGGAGCTGTAACATAACATATGTGTGACCTAGTGTGAAGTGTGCAGATCCATGTGGAATAAAACATGCAGCCTGGCCTGGGATTGCTGCCGTTCACACTTCCCTCCCTGTCCACCAGAGGGCGACAGAGTCCCTCCCACCCTGGAGCCTTCCTAGGGGATGCCAACCTCCCTCAGCGGAACCCACAGCCCAGCAGGATCCACCCTCATCAGGGTCACTTCGGCCTAAGTCCTCAGCTCTCTCCATGCTCCCCACACGGACTCTGTCAGCTCCTCCCTGACCTGGTGGCCACCAACCTAACACCACTCCCCCTACAGGTAGCTCCTCCCCACACACCTGCTCCTTCCCTGGGCCCAGCTAAAGGCATCTCCCAGGGCAGCACTGGTGCACGCGACGCTACACGGGGTGCTTTCCCCTCGTGGCCTCCCTCCATCCTCATCAACTCTTTCTGTCACTGCTCTCTAAATACCCGCCCCTGCTCCATCTGTCCTCTTCTCTGGGGCATCCCAGGCCAAGCCTAGCGCCGACACAGAACAGCGGCTGCCTGAGGACCCACAGCCTCCCCGGGAATCAGTCAGGCACCCTGTGACCTGCCTGCCCGCTGCACCCCGGGGTGCTCAGAGTGCGTGTGATGGTCACACACAGGCACCATCCGGGATGTGGCCACCTACCCCCAGCTGTCCCTTGGGAAGACAGACCTCTCCTGTGTGCTTGCTGGGAGAAGGGGGGTGTTATTGCTCTTTGATCCCAGAACACAACTCACCCCCACACACCCTCTCAGGTGTGAGCAAGGTCCCTCCAGACAGGCTCTCTGGCCACTGCCTCTTCCTCCTCTACAGAGAGCAGCTTGACCAGGTCAAAACCCTCAGGATAGACCCCTGGGTATGTCAGCACATGGAGGGCTGAGCCCATCATGGCCACGGAGTAAGTTGGGATGAATCTCTCCACCTCTAACCCCTGCCCTGTCCCAGGCTCCCCCTCCTGCGTCTCAATGAGCCATGTCCCACGGGGTTCCTGGGTGACTCCCCACTTCCTCCTGCACCACCAGGGGGAAGGTGTGGTGACCACAGGACAATCAGCTGGGCAGAGAAGAGAGGACATCAAAGATGGTCAGGAAGAACATGAGAAATCCTGAGCTTCAGCTCAGCCGCCAGACCCGAGGGAGCCATAGACTGACCAAGAACTGTCCCTTTGACTATGGGAATCACAGCCCCCAAAGAGCAACCAGCACAGGCCTCTCCTCCCAAGAGGCATGAGAGATTCACCCTGCACACCTCCAGGTAGGACACTTTCCTCTGTGACACCCAGGTCCTCAATGTCCATCCTTGGAAGCTGCAGCCAAGCTAGACACGATTAGAGAAAGGAAGGGTCCTTCTCACCAGGCAACACACAGCTCACACACAGCACAATGGGGCATCACTGTGACAGGGACCTGGTGCAGCTCCAGCCTCCTGCACTGCAAGGGAGAGCCAGATGGGGATGAAAGAGGGCAAAGGGCATGAATGTGCACCGCAACCAAGACCCATGGGGACACCTGGAGGCTGAGGCCCAGGACTCTGCTTGCCCAACCTGCAGGGTATGTGTGTGACTGTGGGTCTGTGTGTGTCTCTTCTGTGTGTGTGTGGGGGGGGGGGTGTGTGTCTGTGTGTGTTTGTGTCTGCACAAAGTGTGTGTTGAGGTTTGGTGAAAGAATCACTGCTGAAAAAGGCAGAGGCCTCCACAATTCCCAGGGACCTGAAACACAGACAAAAGGAAAAACAGAAGGAGGGACAAGGAGGCAGGATGTAGAGAGGAGGGGACAGAGAGGTGTCCTGGGCCTAACCCCACCCATGAGCCTGAGAAGTGCTCCTGCCCCAGGAAGAGGCTCAGCGCAGAAGGAGGAAGGACAGCACAGCCTACAGCCGTGCTCAGGAAGTTTCTGGAACCTAGGCTCATCTCCACAGAGGAGAACACACAAGCAGCAGAGACCATGGGGCCCCTCTCAGCCCCTCCCTGCACACAGCACATCAAATGGAAGGGGGTCCTGCTCACAGGTGAGGAGAGAACTTCCTGGGAGAGGACAGGAGGAGGAAGCAGAGTGACTGGATGGGGTCTCCTGGAGAGGATGGGGTTCTAAAAAATGAAAGAAGCCAGCACTTTGGGAGGCTGAGGCGAGTGGATCAGGAGATCAGGAGTTCACGATCAGTCTGGCCAACACAGTGAAGCCCTGTCTCTGCTAAAAATACAAAAATTTAACCAGGTATGGTGGTGTGCTCCTGTAATCCTAGCCACTCGGGAGGCTGAGGCAGGAGAATCACCTGAACCCGGGAGGCAGAAGTTGCAGCTAGCCGAGATAGTGCCACTGAATGCCAGCCCGGGCGACAGTACGAGAATCCGTCACAAAAAAAAAAAAAAAGAAAAAAAGAAAAAAAAAAGGAAAGAACGCTCTGTTGATGCCTGGATAGGGGAAAATACACCAGAGAGGGACAGGGGTCAAAATAGGAAAGTCACATTGAACCGGAATTGGTAAGAGGTAGGAAAATCTTAAGTGTTCTGTTTTCCTGATTAATCATCAGAGGCCAGCACATTTTGAAAAATGATAATAATAACTATATCAGATGACACTTCAAATAAAAATATAAGCAGGACATGAAATGCTGTCCTCAGCAAAAAACCTCAACAATTGGGAGAAAAAAAACACCCAGGGCATGGAGGGCCCTGAGAACTCTCACATCTACAGGAGTCTGCAGCCTGTTCCAGGCACTGGGGTGCAACCAAGATCACAAAAGTCCCTGTCCTCACGGAGCTCACGCTGTCATGGGGGGGAAGACAGACATGCAAAGAGATCTAGAATGTGAGGTCAGGTGTTGACAAGAACCCTGGAGGGAGCAGAGCAGGGAAAGGTCAGAAAGGGAAGACCCAGGGTCTCTGAAGCAGGCATCAGGAAAGAAGTCTAACGATGCCCTGATGTAAGCAGGACCTGAGGGCAGTGTGGAGGGGGCCATGCGGACCCCTGGGGAAGAGGATTCCAAACAGAAAAATGCCAAGGTCAGAAGTGTTGAAGGAATGGGCGTCATGCTGCTGACCTTGACCTAGTAGGACAGTAGGACACACACACATACACACACACAATCACACATGCCGCTTTTGTGTGTGTGTGTGTGTGTTTGTATGTGTGTGTGTGTCTGTGTTGTCAAGGCTGAGGACTGAAGAGACCTTCTCAGGACCCAGGGCCCCATGTTTTCACACCAATACACAGGTCTCAATATTGACTGATGCTCTCTCCACCTCCTAGCATCACTTTTAAACTTCTGGAACCCACCTACCATTGCCCAAGTCACGACTGAAGCCCAGCCACCCAAAGTTTCCGAGGGGAAGGATGTTCTTCTACTTGTCCACAATTTGCCCCAGAATCTTACTGGTTACATGTGGTAGAAAGGGCAAATAAGGGACCTCTACCATTACATTACATCATATGTAGTAGACGGTCAAAGAATTACATATGGGCCTGCATACAGTGGACGAGAAACAGTATATTCCAATGCATCCCTGCTGATCCAGAATGTCACCCGGGAGGACGGAGTATCCTACACCTTACACATCATACAGCGAGGTGATGGGACTAGAGGAGTAACTGGAAATTTCACCTTCACCTTATACCGTAAGTGATTCCACATGATCCCTGGGTGTTGGGGGACAGGGGTCACTTCTACTTCACACACACAGGATTGTCAGGCCTGGACTGTGCCTGTGTCCCCCTCTGCATTATGTCCCATGCTGGAGTTTGGGCATTTAGTGCAGGACACACACAGAGGAGACAAATTTCAACAGATCAGAATTCCTTTCCCACATCCAGACCCTGCAGACACTCGCTGCAGAGGAAGGACAGTCTGATGGGGGGACTCAGCAGGAGGAGATCAGTCTCAGCCAGGCACCTCATGCCCTCTTCATAAATTTGACCCTGAGAAAGACCCTGGATAACTGAGTAGGGCTTGGCCTGAGAGGCCACCTGAGATACTCTCAGAGAAGCTCAGCCCTAGAAGCCTCAACCCCAGACCCTTGTCCCTAAATCCTTGCTGCAGATAAATCTAAGGAGCCTGTACTGGGGCTGGGTTGTGGCTTCTTGGGCAGGGCTTACTGGGACCAAGGGTTTTCCAGCTGTCTGAGGACTGTGTCTCCTGCAGCTGTTCACCAGCTAGGGCTCAGCCCTCAGAGCCTCATCTGGGCAAGGACAGAGCTTTCTTCACCTGACATTCAGAGTGGAGAGGACAGAAAGACAAGCTTTGTAGGCCATCAGCCAACTGCCTTGGGAGGCTCAGGACAGTCCATAGAAAGTCTAATGTTCCCGGAAGCAGAAACAGAAGAGAGAAGGTGTAACTGGTAGCAGCTTGTCCACAGGGATCTGACATAAATGTGCTTTCTCATGGAAGCAAATTAATAATAAATGCTGTTTGTGTGAACACCTCCACTGTGCCAAGCATTAAGTCAGGTGACTGTGAATACTTTAACATTTATTCACAGATAGCATGAAAAGCCACAGTCCATTTGCCAGTTAACTTATTTGATTGAGAGAAAACAGAGGCACAGGAAGGCACAGTCTTTGAACCAGAGTCACACAAACCCAAAGGGGAGATCAGGGTCACATGAGGTCTGTCTGCAGCCACAGGCCCATCCTCTCCTCCACCAGAAGTGAGGGCTTACTGGGTTTCAAGCACCCCATAGTCATTTATTGGCTCAAATCCTCTCTTCTTAGGCATCCAAACCTCAGAGGAGTGAGAGCAAATGGTCAGCTGATTAGTCTGTACTCCAGAACTAAATCACCTGCCTCAACCATCAGAGTCAGTGCAAAAAAAATGTCCAGGCCTCCCCCTCAGATCTTAACCCCCATCACTGAACCTGAAATCCTGTGTTTCCCAAAGTGTCCATGTTACTGTCATGAGAGGATCAAGGAGAGGACCTTGTTTTCTTTCCCCACTCACACCCTGCACCAGCACAGGCCCAGCCAGAGACACATACTCAGGAGCTCTCACATAACAAATGAAGGAATCAAATGAAGAAATGAATGATCCAAAACCTCTTTAGAGACTGGATCTTGGATGCAGAATCCTAGGAGGTCCTAGCCACACCTGTCCCTTGTCCTTCAGAGGCTGACACCCATGTTTCATCCCCCTACTACCTCTTGCCCCTAAAGCCACCCCACCTCATGCAACTCTGAAGCTCTTTGGCCACCGGAGGGTTCTCAGGGCTCCTTGGTCCTGGACTGAGGAAATGGGGGCACCTGGTACCTGGGGTCTCTGAAGTCAGTGTCTCCCTCACTGCTCACTGCCATGGTGTCTCTGCCTCTCTCTGCTTCTCTGTGTCCCTCATCTTCCTCCCACTTCATTCTGACTGGCAAGCCCTGTCCTGCACAGCTTCTTCCTCCACACCTAGGCCTTCCCCAGACACTCCCTCTAATTAGTCTGGCAGTTCTGTTCCCTTCCTGCTAACACTGTGGCCTGGCCCACCTCCCAGGAAATAGGAAAGGTGTAGAAATCACCTGGAGTTGCCACTCCTGCCGGGCTTTATCTCCAGCCAATGTCCCCAGGTCACTAAGAGAATGAGCTTCCAATGTATTCCCATCTAGGGCTCTTTCCCTTTGTGAGGCTGACCTGTGGACAAGACCATGGGACAGGGATAGGCAGTTCTCCATCCACTGTTATCATTGCCAGACAAGTTCTTCTGGCCTTCTGCACACACAGACACAAACACACACACAAAAAAAAAATTATTGAAATGGTGGTTTGTAGTAAAGAAAGATTTTAATGACTCCAAGTCTGCCAAACAGGAGGACAGAGGTTTATTATTACTCAAATCAGCCTCCCCAGTGGATCAGGTGTTAGACATTTCCAAGGATGATTTCAGGGACACAGGACTAAAAAATGAGTACTGCTGATTGTTTGGTGATGGAATCATGCGGGCGGAGGGAAATGAACTGTTTGTGCTTGAATCCACTTCTAGGTAGGGACCACATGGCTGGCTGAGCCATTAGTCATGGGTATGGATGAGGTCAGCCAGTTGCCAGAATGCAAAAGAATGAAAAACATCTCAAAAGACTAATCTCACGTTCTGCAATAGTGATGTTATCTATGGGAGCAATTAGTTACAAATTTTGTAAACTCTGGCCAAATGACATTTGATCAGTCAGGGATTATAGAAACTGTGCCTACATTGTAGCAGAATTCGGTTCCCTCCTATAATCTCAATCTCATGGTCTTTCACTAGTTTTAGAAAGGCAGCCCCTGGGCAAAGTAAGGGTGTTAGTTTTATGGAGGTACTATTATCTTTCTTGTTTCAAAGTTAAACCATAAACTAAATTCCTCCCAATGTTAGCCTGGCCTATGCCCAGGAATGAGTGAGGACAGCCAGCCTGAGACTAGATGCCAGATGGAGTCAGCCACGCTAGTTTCCTGTCACTGTTGTAATCTTTGCTCTGACTCACCAGGGTGTCAGAGGCTGGACAGGCCTGCAGTCCCCAAAGCCCATGGGCTCATTTCACTCGTGACTCCATCCTCAACCTGCTGTGGAGCTCACATTCTCCAGTCACTTCCTAGAGACTTCTGGCTTCCTGTCAGGCATATAACAAGCTTGAAATTTGTCACTCGGTTCTAACGCTAAGTAAAAACTGAACAAACTCAAAAGTCAACAACTCGTTAAAATCCTTCAGAGATGGCTGGGCACAGTGGCTCATGCCTATAATCCCAGCACTTTGGGAGGCCAAGGCGGGCACAAGTTCACGAGATAGAGACCATCCTGGCTAACATGGTGAAACCCCGTCTCTACTAAAAATACAAAAAATTAGCTGGGCTTGGTGGTGGGCACCTGTAGTGCCAGCTACTTGGGAGGTTGAGGCAGGAGAATGGCATGAACCCGCGAGGCGGAACTTGCAGTGAGCTGAGATCATGCCACTGCACTCCAGCCGGGGTGACAGAGTGAGACTCTGTCTCAGAAAATAAAAAATGCTGTTAGAGAAATGAAGAATGCTTTTGATGCTTACTGGTAGACTGCACAGAGCTGAGGAAAGAATCCCTAGCTTGAGGATGTGTCAATAGAAACTTCCAAAACTGAAACAAGAAAGGTCAAAAAGAGTGGGGAAAAAAAGTGGAACAACATATTCGCCTTCATATTTAATATTTTGTTTTGACAATAGCAATTTTTAAATTTCTTTGTTGTGGGACAACTACAAAGGCTGTAACCTACATGTAATGGGAATACTGGTGGTTTTGGGGACCAGCTGGAGGTGGCCAGGTGGGTGCTATCTGATGGTATTACTGCCTGTGCCACATACAACTGTTTCCTCATGATGATGCTGCTTTCATAAGTTCGAGTTCTTCCTGTGGGGAGACACACGAGCCATTGGCATCTCACTTAGACTCTTCCTAATTCACACAAACTTAAACTCTAGTGTTATTTCCTGAACTTAAGAGAGAACGAAGAAAGTATTTCACATACCTGCTTTGTGCTCCTCCCGATTTTTCCTAACTCGGCACAGAAAGCAGAAGCAGGGAGTTCTTTCTATATTTACTAACATAACACACATCACTTCTTTTAATTTGGCATCATTCCTCCCTTTATGTAATTGACACACTACCCAGTTTTGTCCTTTTAACGGGACTCTCTCTACTTAAGGAGTTGCTAATTTCAAATCACCTTTGGCATCTTTCTTTGAGCATAATGTGATCCTGCTGGAATTCATGGCACACCTAAACCTTATGTTGGCCTCAAGAGAAATACTACTACCAGCAATTGATCTCAGATGTTTGGACCATCAGTAAAAATTCCCACTTATGAAAACATTTCAATGTTTCCTCCAAATTTTTTTTTGTTACTAGAGTCAGAACATAACATGAGGTCTAAAGTCCTGAAAACTTTTTATGGGAAAATTACAGTATTACAAATTGAGCATCTGAAATCCAGAAATCCACAATCTGAAATGCTCAAAACTCAACACTTCTGACCACTGATGTGATGCTAAAAAGAAGTGCTCACTGGCGCATTGTGGATTTTAAATTTTTCAGATTTGGGATGCTAAACCAGTACATGTACTGCAAATATTCCAAAATAAAAAAATAATTAGACATCCAAAACACTTTGTTTTAAGCTTTCTGCATAAGGAGCACTGTATCTGCATGAAGTATAGGCACGAGGCTGCACAGGAGATCTCTAGAACCTCCTCATCCTGCATAACTGAAACCGCACACCCACGGAACAACGCCCTATTCCCCTGATCCCAGCTCCTGCAAACTACTATTCTACTCTCTGATTCACTCTGGAATCCACTGATATCAGGTACATAGAGTAGTCAAACTCAGAATCAGAGAGTAGAATGTCTAATGAGAGAAAGTATCTGCAAGACTTCTTCCCAAATATTGGTCTAATATCCACCAAACACATATGGTCCATGAGGGCCAGACTTCCATCATCAGTTCATGTTTGCCCTTTCCACCAGTCAGTTCTGCATTTGCAAACATCCACATGTATTTCCAGAAAGATCCACATGGTCCTCACCTGCCCTCTACAGGGGGAAGGGAGCATCATGGACCCAGAACAGGGAACGTGGTCTTCGTCCAAAGCTATCAGCTCTTGCCTGTCCCCTTCACTCTTTGTAGGTCATTCCTTGGACTCTGCTCTATCTTTAGAGGTCACTGGCTCAAGTCAGTCACTATGAGACATCTGGGAAAACTGCCCCACCTTGTGGCTCCACTGCCTGATGACTGAACTGACCTCCAGGCTTGACTCTGGTCTCCCCTGTGTTATTTCTGCTGAAGTACCCAGTCCCAGGCCAGGCTTTCCAGTACCCAAAGGGTTTAAGGACAATGGGAAGTTCCATCATCCATCTCTAGGATGTCCTTGGAAAGGGAAGCTGCAGAGAAAACATGCCTCGGGGGCAAAGTAAGACTGAAGCTAAGAAGATTCCAGCACTGCATGCTCCAAGTGAGGACCAAAAGGTGGGCCAGGCAGGCAGTTGGAGATGGAGGGACTCAGAGAGGCACCAGGGGCTGTGACTGCTGGTCCTGTGTCTTTCCATGACCCAATGCTGCTGCTCAATTCACACTTGAGAAAGTCTGTGCTTCTCCCACATGAAGCAGGCAGCCTCACAATCTCTGAGCCCTCAGATTGCCATGCATCTGTCTTGTAACACACACACCTGCCATGGGCTTTTAAGGACTCGGGTGGGCTGAGAGGTTGGAAATGCCAACTCTGATTGAAAAATGCCTTTGGAGGAATCAAAGGTGCCACACAGGGCAATCTTCTCCCTGTTTTCTGCACAGTGGAGACTCCCAAGCCCTCCATCTCCAGCAGCAAATTAAACCCCAGGGAGATCATGGAGGCTGTGATCTTAATCTGTGATCCTGCAACTCCGAACGCAAGCTACCTGTGGTGGATGAATGGTCAGAACCTCCCTACCACTCAAAGGTTGCAGCTGTCCAAAACCAACAGGACCCTCTTTATATTTGGTGCCACAAAGTATACTGCAGGACCCTATGAATGTGAAATACGGAACCCAGTGAGTGCCAGCCGCAGTGACCCATTCACCCTGAATCTCCTCCGTGACTATCTTCTGTTCCTCTGTGAGCCACGCTGCCATCCCAAATACACATGGCCAGAGGCCAGGCCTCTCAGTCCCTCTCAGGTCCAAGTACAGAGACCTTTATCCCTGGACATCAAAACTGGCCATGACTTTCTGCCCCAGGAAAACAAGAGTAGGCCTAGGCTTGATCCACAATAGGAGAAAAGAGGCTGCTCCTGTCATGGGAGACTCATGGTCCAGAGCTTGTGATGGGAGAAACAGGTGAATGTCTCACTCTCCAGATCAGTGAACACAGCAGGGATTTTCTTGGGACTTCAGTGTTGCGACTTGGCTCACGGGGCAACTGTGGCCCTTCCACAGACCAGGATTTTCCCTTCCCTCTGACAATATCACCTGTGACCTTATTCTCTTTGCTCCAGATGGCCTGGATGCCCCCACCATTTCTTCCTCATACACCTATTACCATACAAGGGAAGTCCCCAAGCTCTCCTGCCTCACAGACTCTCACCCACTAGCAGAGCATTCTTGGCTGATTGATGGGAAGTTCCAGCAATCAGCACAAGTGTTATTTATACCCCAAATCACCAAAACATATAGAGGGGTCTATGTCTGTTTCATCCATAACTCAGCCATTGGTGGAACAAATCTCATAATCAAGAGGATCATAGTCCCTGGTGAGTGGATCCCTGGAGGACTGGCAATATGTTTTCCAGTGAAGTCTATCTAGCTATCAGGGAAGAGCCACCTGCCCTCTGCAAAGGGAGAGGGAAAATCAAAAACCCAGGACAGGGAATATGTTTCTGCTCCAAAACCACCAGCTTTTCCTGTCCCTTTCACTCTTTCTAGATCATTCTTTACACTATACACTAACAATGAACTATCTGAAGGGAAATTAAGAAAAGAATTTCAATTCACATTAACATCAAAAGGAATAAACTATTTTGGAATAAGTTTAACCAAAAAGGTCAAATGATTATACACTGAAGACTACAAAACATTGCTGAAAGAAATTAAATGCAATATCAATATATGGAAAGACATTTCATTTTCATGGATTGGAAGAGTCAATATTGTTAGAAAGACAATACTACCCAAAGTGAGTTGCAGATTCAATGCAACCCCTAGCAGAATCGCAGTAAAATTTTTTGCAGAATCAGAAAACTCTGTCCTAAATCTGACCTGACAGGCTGTTATTAATCACTGCCACAACACAAACACTGAGAAAAAGATGATGCAGCCATGAAAAGGTGGAAAGTTCTGATGACACAGAAAATAGCAATCAGGCTTTCTCACATCCCAAAACCTTCAAAAACATACGAGTGCAGCATGGCCAGTATGGAATTGACCAAAAACTAATCACCAAGCTAGAAATGTGGTGAGAGAAAAAAAAAGGGCAAGAATATCTTTGGCTTATCACCTCCCACTTTTGCCTACTAATCTGATGCTGAAAAGAAATGCTCACTGGAGCATTTTAGATTTTGAATCTTTCAGATTTGGGATGCTAAACCAGTAAGTATATGACAAATATTTCAGAATCAAAAAATGTCAGAAATCCAAAACACTTTTTGTCCTAAGTCTTATGCATAAGAAATACTCAATCTGTGTGAACTATAGGTATCAAGCTCGACAGCCAATCTCTATAACCTCCCCACCTTGCATAACTGAAACTGCACACCCATGAACAATTTCTGATTCTCCCCACTCCCAGCTCCTGGAAACCAGCAGTCTCTTCTCATATTCACTCTGGAATCCACTTACATGAGGTCCCTAGAGTAGTCGAACCCATGGAATCAGAGAGTAGAATGTCCAATGAAATAAAATATTTGCAAAACTTCTCTCTAAATTTGTATCATATCCATCAAACACACATGGTCCATGAGGACCAGATTTCCAGCAGTTCATTCCCACCCTTTCCACCAATCAGTTCTGCATATGCAAATGTCCACATGTATTTCTGGAAAGATCCACATGGTCCTCACCTGCCCTCTGCAGAAGGAGAGGAAACTTGAACGCAGGACAGGCAACATGGTTCTGCTCCAAAGCCTCCAGCTCTTGCCTGTCCCCTTCACTCTTTCTAGATCATTCCTTGCACTCTGCTCTATCTTTAGAGGTCACTGGTTCAAGTAAGTCATCATGAAACACCTGCAAAAAACTGCCCCACCTTTTGCCTCCACTGCCTGTAGACTGAACTGACCTCCAGGCTTGACTATGGTCTCTGCTGTCTTATTTTTGCTGAAACATCCAGTCCCAGGCCAGGCTGCTCAGTATATTCAGGGTTTCAGGACAATGGGAAGTCCCATTATTACTCATCTCTAGAATGTCCTTGGAAATGGAAGCTGCAGAGAAATCACGTCTAGGGGGACAAAGTAGGATGGAATTTGGAAGGGGCCCAGCAGTTGCATATTCCAGGTAAGGAACCCAAGGTGAGCCAGCCAGTCAACTGATTAGGGAGGGACTGGGAGGGGTACCAGGGGCTGTGACTCCTACTGATGTGTCTGTCCATGACCCAACACTGCTGCTCAATTGACACTTGAGAAAGTCTATGCTTCCCTAAGACAGAGCAGGCGGCCTCACAGTCTTTGAGCCCTTAGATCATCATACATCTGTCTTGTGACACATGCACCAGCTATTGGCTTTCAAGGACTCGCGTGGGATGACAGGTGGGAGATGCCAACTCTGATTGAGGGATGCCTGTGGAGGAATCAAAGGTGTCACACAGGACAATCTTCTCTCTGTTATCCACACAGCGAAGCTGCCCAAGCCCTACATCACCATCAACAACTCAAAACCCAGGGAGAATAAGGATGTCTTACCCTTCACCTGTGACCCTAAAAGTGAGAACTACACCTACACGTGGTGGCTAAATGGTCAGAGCCTCCCAGTCAGTCCCAGGGTAAAGTGACCCATTGAAAACAGGATCCTCATTCTACCCAGTGTCACGAGAAATGAAACAGGACCCTATCAATGTGAAATACGGGACCGATATGGTGGCATCCGCAGTAACCCAGTCACCCTGAATGTCCTCTGTGAGTATCTTTTGTTCCTCTGTGGGCCAGGACACCAGCTTAACTCTAAATGACCACAAGCCAGTCCTCTCAGTCTTTCTCCGGTCCAAGTATAGACACCTTTACTTCTGGACATCCGAGCTGGCCATGACTCCCTGCCCTGGGAAATCCTGGGTAGGCACAGCCTTAACCAAGAATATAAGGGGAGGGGACGCTCTTGTCATGGGAGACTTGGTGCCCATAGCTTGTGATTGGGGAGAAACAGGTGAATACCTCAGGCTTCAGCTCAGTGAACATAGAGGGGGTTCGGCTGGGACTTGAAGGTGTGTCTTGGCTCAGAGGGTCACTGTGTCCCTTTAAGAGACCAGGAGCATCCCCTTCCCTCGGATGACATCACCTGTGGCTTTATTCTCTTTGCTCCAGATGGTCCAGACCTCCCCAGAATTTACCCTTCATTCACCTATTACCGTTCAGGACAAAACCTTTACTTGTCCTGCTTCGCGGAATGTAACCCACCGGCATAGTACTCTTGGACAATTAATGGGAAGTTTCAGCAATCAGAACAAAAGCTCTTTATCCCCCAAATTACTACAAAGCATAGAGGGCTCTATGCTTGCTCTGTTCGTAACTCAGCCACTGGCAAGGAAAGCTCCAAATCCATGACAGTCGAAGTCTCTGGTAAGTGGATCCCAGCATCCTTGGCAATAGGGTTTTAGGTGGAGTCTATCTGGCTTTCAGAGAAGAGTTAGGAAAACATTTTTATTCCCAGCCTGTGTCCCATGGGCACAAGCAAATCCCAAATTCTCCTCCTGAACCCTCCCAATTTGTCTCTACAGACTCTCTTCTTGTTTTTGTTTTCTCATGGCTGACCTTGTGTCTGGCCTAAGAAAGTTAGGGAGGGGGCTTTATCAGCCCTGAGCCCTATGTGGTAGAAGAGACTTCAGAGACGGATGAGAAGGAGAGTCCTCAAGATCAAGTTGCTTCTCGATGTCACCAACACATCCCCTTCTGCCACGTCTTTGTTTTCTTGTACCTCTTCCATGAGCTACAAGGAACATCTGAGGCTTTGAAACAAGCTCACACTGTTCCCCCAAATGAGACGGGGAAGCCCCTTGGGTGAGGGAGGAGCAGCTCAGACTCTGCTTCCTGCTCTGCTCCAGGCTCCTCTGGTGACTGGCCCTGCCTGACTCCACCTGGGGTGGGACCAGCATGTGTGGAGAAAGAGCCCTGGTGGCCTGTCCTGAATTTGGCTAAATCGAGCTGCCAGTTGAAGCCAAGCCTCCCCCGGGCCAGGCTGCAGGGAAATAAGAAGAGAGGGAGCCTCAGGGCAGACTCCTGAGCTGCGTCCTGGCTCTGAAGTCACCGGCTGTATGAGGCTGTGGGCACAGCATGTGGGACACAGCACGGAGGATAGTGACTGATGCAGAGCTGGAGAAATAGGGAGATTCACCCCTGGGGCTCTGCATCGCAGGAAAGGGGCAGTGCCAAAAAGTGTGTAATTATAGAGAGGGTAAGACTACCAAACACTTTATATATATCTAATATAAGACTTACCATTAACTATTTCTAAGTGTGCAATTTAGTGTTGTGTAACCATCACACTATCCATTTCCAGAACTTTTTCCTCTTACCATATTAAACCTCTGTACCCAATGAACAGTAACTCACTCCTTCTCCCCATAACCCTTAGCACACAACATTCTACATTCTGTCTCTATGTAACTGGCTATTCTAACTATCTTTTATAAATGGAATTATATGATAATTATCCTTTTGTGTCTGGCTTATTTCAGTTAGCATAATATCTTTAAGGTTCATCCATTTTGCACGATGTATTGGAATTTTATTCCTTGTTAAGGTTGAATAACATTTTAATTGTAGATACACCTCATTTGCCTACCCACTTATCTTTCAATGGACTTTTTGGTTGTTTCCATTTTTTGGCTAGTGTGAGTAATGCTTCTCTGAACATCAGAGTACAAATATTTCTTCAAATTTCTTTCAATTCTATGTGGAGTATGTCCAGAAGTGGAATTGCTGGATCAAATGGTAATTTATTGTTTAATTTTTTGAGAAACAGCCACACCACTTTTTACAGTGGCTATAACATTTCCCATTCCCATCAAGTGTGTGAGGTGGTGTAACATTGTGGTTTTGATTTGCATATCTCTAACTATTCATGATGCTGAGGAACTTTGCATGGGCTTATTGGATATTTGTATATCTTCCTTGGAGAAAACTCCATTTTAATCCTTTGTTCATTTTTTAATTGGGTTTTTGGATGTCTGCTGTTGTTGACTTGTAGCTTTTCATGTATTCTGGAAATTAATTTCTTATCACACATATAATTTGCAAATATTTTTATCATTTCATGGGTTGCCTTTTTACCTTCCTGATAATGTTCTTCGATATACAAAAGGTTTTGATTTTTGTGAAGTCCAATTTATCAATTTTATTTGTTGCCTATGCTTTTGTTGTTACAACCAAGAAATCATTGTGAAATCCAGTATCATGGACCTTTTCTTCTAAGAGTTGTATAGTTTTTGCTCTTACATTTAGATCTTTCATGTATTGTGGGTTAATTTTTGCACATGGTGTTAGGTAAAGGTTCCACTCTTCTTGCCCTTGGATATCCAGCTTTTCCAATATCATTTGGTGAGAACACTGTCCCTTCCCCATTGAACGATCTTGGCACACTCGATGAAAATCATTTGGCCATATATGCAAGCATTTCTTTCTAGGTTATTATATTTCATTAATTTCTATGTCCTCCTTTATGCCAGTACCACACTGTATTGATTACTGGGGCTTTGTAGTAAATGCTGAAATCAGGAAGTGTGAGTCCTCCAGCTTCATTCTTCCTCTTCAAAGCTGTGTGTCTATTTAGAGTCATGAGATGCAATATAAATTTTAGGACAGATTTTTCTTTTTCTGCAAAAATGTCACTGAGATTCTGATAAGAATTGTATTGAATCTGCAGCTCACTTTGGGTAGCACTGTCCTCCTAACCAAATTGAGTCTTCCAATTCATGAAAACAAAATGTCTTTCAATTTATTGATGTCTTCTTTCATTTCTTTCAGCAATATTTTGTAGATTTCGGGTATAATCATTTCACCTCTTTGGTTAAACTTATTCCTAAATATTTTATTCTTTTTGATGTTAATAGAAATTGAATTTTTTTTTCTTAATTTCCCTTCAGATTGTTCATGGTTAGTGTATTGAAATACAACTGATGTTTGAATGTTGATTTTGTATTGTGCAACATTACTGAATTTATTTATTAGTCCTAATAGATTTGTTCCATCTTTAGGATTTTCTACATATAAGTTCAAGTTATCTGTAAACAGAAATAATTTTACTCCTTCCTTCCAATTTGAATGTCTTTTTTAAAATTCTTGCCTAATTTTTCTGACTAGACCTTTCAATATTATATTGAATAAAAGTGTCAAAAGCAGGCATCCTTGTCTTCTTCCTGCTCATACAGGGAAAGCTTTCAGTCTTTCTCTATTGAGTATGATGTTAGCATTGGGTTTTTCACATATTGCCTTTATGTTGAGGTGGTTTCCTTCCATTCTTAGAATGTTTTTATTATGAAAAAATACTGAATTTCATCAATTACTTTTATTGATTCAATCTTATTACTGATTATAGTTCTATTCATATATTTGTGTGTTTCTAAGAGTTTGTCTACTTCATATAGGTTATCCAATTTATTAGCATACAATTATTTATACTACTTTCATAATCATTATTTTATTAGAATTGGTAGTAATCGCTTCATTTTTCTTTTTTTTTTTTTTTTTTTTTTTTTGAAGAGAGAGGGACAGGCTCTCACTCTGTAGGCCACCCTAGGATGGAATACAGTGGTGTGTCTATGGCTCACTGCAGCCTCAACCTCCTGGGCTCAAGCAATTCTCCTTCTTCAGCCTCCCAAGATGCTAGGACTACAGGTGCATGTCACCATGCCCAGCTAATTGGTTTTTTATTTTTTGTAGAGACAGCATCTCCCAGGGTTAACTATGCTGGCCCAAACACTTGGTCTCAAGAAATCCTTCCGCTGTGACCTCCCAAAGTGCTAGGATTAAAACACGACCCACCATGCTCAGAGTCCATTTTCATTTCTGATTTTAGTAATTTTAAACTTTTCTCTTTTTTTCTTAGTCAATCTAGTTAATGGTTGTCAATTTTGTTGATTTTATTTTGAAGAATCAACTTTTGGTTTCAGTAATTTCCTCTATTATTTTTCCATTCTCCATTTTATTTATATCCACTCTAATCC
The DNA here is from genome assembly GCF_000001405.40 of Homo sapiens. Lineage (NCBI taxonomy): Eukaryota > Metazoa > Chordata > Mammalia > Primates > Hominidae > Homo > Homo sapiens. The sequence continues at coordinate 42,840,756 of NC_000019.10, read as the reverse complement.
TTATTATTTCCCTCATTCACTGTGCTTGGGTTTAGTTTGTTCTTCTTTCATATCCTGAAGTATTAAAGTAGGTTGTTGACCTGAGCTCTTTCTTCTTTTTTAATGTAAGAGTTTACAGTTATAAATTTCTTGCACAAGACTCAACTTCTCTGAACCTCTGATTCCTCACCTGAAAACTGCAATGAGGCTACTTTCTTCATACAATTCTTTTAAAGGTTTAATACAGTCAATGAAACAAGATGCCACACACAGAGGAACCAATGTCAGCTACCATATTACTACCATTATCATTAGCCTTGAGGTCAAATAGTCCTAGAATCAAATCTCAGATCCACCTGTCACTAGCCATATGACACCAGGAAAGATTTTACACCACGCTAAGCTTCTGTCTTTTCATTGCCAAAATGGAAATAATGTCTACCTGACAGGGTTATTGTGTGGCTTAAATGAGATACAGGTAAAGTATTGAGCACAGGGCCTGGCACATAGGAAGTGCACCTCAACAGTACCTTCCTTTTTCCATACATATGGAAAAAGAGGTAACACATAGAACACTAGAACATGGCTACTGACTACTTGTGGGAGAGAAAGAAAAAAAGCTAAGTGCAAAGAATCAAGCCTGGTATGTTAGTTTTTACCAATTGAGATGCATCCAAGATGGGATTAGACATACAAGATAATTTATCAGGGAAGACACCTCTGAGGGAATGTGGGGCAGGCATGAAGGTAGTATGGGAGAACCCACAGACCACTATCCAGGGCTGATTCCTGTGAAAAGGAAAGAGAAATAAGTTTTAGGTACCAATGCAATTCTAAGAGTTTTTGCAAGGCTGATGGGGAATCCTCCAACCAGTCACCCATTGGAGTTAAAGAGATCCTCAGAGAACTAGGCTTGCTTTCACACCCTTCCTGGGAGCCTGTAGGAAAGAAGCTTTCTGTGCAAAGGAGGTGGTGAATTTGAAATGTACTGATCTGGGCCTTCTGTAAATCAGGTGCCTGCCATGGAGACCTGGCAGGGTCTCATTCGTGACTGCCATAACAGAGACACTGAGAAAAAGATGCAACCATGGAAAGGTGCAAAGGTGGCAAGTTCTAATGACATAGAAAATAGCAATCAGCCTTTCTCACATCTGAAAGCCTTCCAAAATATCTGAGTGCAGTAGAGAATTGACAGAGGACTGATCACCAACCTAGAAGTATGGTAAGAGGGAAAAAAAACTGCAAGAATATAATCATCTCCCATCAATTTTCCAACAGAAATAATGTAGTCCTTGAAGAAACAATTATAGAGTACCTCATGCTACATGCCTGTTCCTCAAGCTCCCCCATGTAAAATAACATCATCTTCATTCCTTCTTTTCTTTTCTTTCCATGACAGCTCCTCCAGGAATAGGACGTCTTCCTTTCTTTACTCCAATAGAGCAGCGGTGATGTCATTTCTGTATTTCAGGAAGACTGGCAGGTATGATGGCCTTTTCTCTTATCCTGGTTCCTGCAGGGCTGACTGCCATGCTTGGGAGAGGGAAAAGACTTATTTGCTTGTATCTGGGACTGCATCTCCTCCTTCCTCCACTAAACTCCTGCTTCTCAGCACTAATTCCTACAGTTCCCTTTCTCCCTGGCCTTTATGCTCCCTGTACCCCACTGTCTTTTAGACATAATTATCTCCAGCCTCTGCTCATTTGTTTCTCAGATTCAAATGAGAAACACAATTTCACATGATGAAACCCTCTTCGTTACTTTTAACATCTCTCAATACTGTAATTCTCTCAATTCCCATAAAGCTCAACCACTTCTCAAAGTATTGCTTGACTTCTTGTCTCCAGACTTTGAAATCTTCCTTGCATATGACTGCCTCATTACCTTTCTAAAATCTAGTTAATTCACTTAATCAAGAATCTCCAGTGGTCTACTCTAGCCACTTTGATAAGTTCACATTTCTTCTATTTACTAAGCCTTCTCACTTCCTTTACCTCTACTTCCTAGTATAATTCCTTCATCCTAATTAGAACTGTCTTCCTACACATCCCTGCCCCTTCACCCATATAGACATAAAATTCTTAGTTCCAATGCTATGTCTAAAAACAGTGAAATCCCTTCCACCATCTGCACTGCAGACTTAACCACACCCTTCATCACAAGCAACATCTGACCTCGTGGAGAACAAAGACTTTAGGATTAACATGTGAACCTGAGACTCAGGACACAACCTATGTGTGGTTGAGACCTTTTCCTGATGACCAGTTCATGTGTTTAAAAAAGATACAGAAATGAAGAAGGCAAGGTCCCTACGCCAGGAGACATAAAGCCTAAGACAGGAAATGAGACCTGAAAATAATCATGATACCAAAATAGAAAAAATTGAATGCCACAAGAAATCAGAGAAATCTGATGGGAAATAGAGCTACACATTGGAATCACTGGAAAACATTTTTAAAAGTGGATGCTCAAGCCCCACCCATTAGTTCCAGTTTAAAGGTCTGGAGACGGACCCAGGCATTGGTAATTTTTAAGTCTTCCCTGACACTACTAACATGTAACAAGGATGGAGAACTCTTATTGTAATAGGTAGAACTTAAAACTAAATCAATGATTTTCTGCTGGAAGTACTGGAATTACCTAAGGACCTTTTTCAACATACATAAGACTATACTTTTTTGGTCCTATTTATGAATGGGCTACACCAACAACTCAGTAATCCTCTTGAGAAACAGAAGCTGAACGGAAAATCCACCTTATTTTATATATTAAATTTATAGAAAGCATTTTCAAATAAGGGATAATTGATGCTAAACCTTCTCTAAATAATATTTATGGGAATGTTAATAATATGAGTATTCTAGGCTGGGCGTGATGTCTCACGCCTGTAATCCCAGCAATTTCAGAGGCCGAGGTGGGCAGATCACGAGGTCAGGAGATCGAGACCATCCTGGCTAACACGGTGAAACCCCATCTCTACTAAAAATGCAAAAACAAAATTAGCCAGGTGTGGTGGCAGGCACCTGTAGCCCCAGCTACTCAGGAGGCTGAGGCAGGAGAATGGCATGGACCCAGGAGGCGGAGCTTGCAGTGAACTGAGATCGCACCACTGCACTCCAGCCTGGGTGAGAGAGTGACACTCCATCTCAAAAAAAATTTTTTTAATGAGTATTATAAAAATTATATGAAATTTCTGGAAATCAAATATGTTATCATAGTGTCTTATGCCACAGAAGTAACTAGATTTCTATGTGAGCTGTGTCTTTACCATAATAAATTCTCATTAGATTTTTAACCATAGTCATTTTAAATCTTTGTCATTCCCAGACAGTTGCTTTGATTCTTCCTCAAAGTATTTACCATCAGCTACAGTCCAAAATTGCTTTTTCTTCAAGGAGATTTATGGAAAAGACTCTGACAAGGACTCTGGAATACAAGCTCCTGATAACTTCAAGATCATACCACTGGACTAAGAACTTTCAAAATTTTAATGAACAGGCTGATACCTTCATGAAATTCAAGACAAAGAAGAAAAAAAACTCAATTTTATTGGAATAAATAATCAAAAGGATAATGTTTTCATAATTTTCTATTTGAAAATGTGCTGAGTCTTTGAATGTTTTATTCTCCAGATTTATGAACTTTTTTCCTTGAACAATTGGTAAAGTATACTTTTGTAAACAAAAATTGAAACATTTGCTTTTGCTGAGTGCCCCAGAATTGGGAAACTATTCATGAGTATTCATATGTTTATGGTAATAAAGTTATTTGCACAACTTCAGTAAGGATCTGCTCTCTTTATAACAGGACACATTTGAAAACATCGGTTATATTACCAAGGCTTTGACTGGGATGTTATATTTGAGAATATACATAGAATAAACCCATAGGGAATGCAGGCAAAGTCTGAAGTTGCCCTTGGTTTGGCTTCCTAGTCTCAAGAGGTTTTTGGAAGTTTAATCTGAGATTCTTATTAAAAACTTCTAGCAAAGCGAAGTTTAAAAAGAGCCTCTATGGTCCATTGCTACTCTTGCCGCACTTAGGTAAAAAGTCTGGGCAAGTTCGGTGAGACTCAACCTATTTTGCAAACAAATTCATCCTACTGGAATTATCTTTGGTAAAAATAGAGACTCCTATAGACAGAAAAACTATGTTGAAAAGCAGAACTGTAGTACACCTGTTACCAGATTGAACCACTGTTCATTATCTTTGAGTATTTATAATCCACTGGTAGACTGGACTGGACCCTGAATTCTTTTAGTTCTTCCAATTCAATTTTCTCCAATGAAATAATTAAGAACAAGAGTGGCTCTGTTCCTGAAGCCATATAAGCTGGAGATGGACAACTCAATGTAAATTTCATGAGAAAACTCTCATGTCTGAGGTGTGGGCCGCTAAGAACTCACCAAATGTTCAACACCATAACTTAGAGACACTCAAACTGCAAACCAAGACAACAAGTTGATGACTTTACACTGTGGACAGTTTTCTCAAGATGTCAGAACAAGACTATCAATCATGATGGGAATCTTACCTCTCTTAATTTGTCCTTGCTTATGCCTGTCGCCTTTGCTTCCCAGAATAATGCTGTACTTAGGATTTCACAAGAAGTAGCTTCTGAGAGTAAGTTAACAGTGTCAGATATATCATGTCAACCACACTTTTATTTTATAAGATGGAGTTTCGCTCTTGTTGCCCATGCTGGAGTGCAATGGCACATTCTTGGGTCACTGCAACCTCCACCTCCTGGGTTCAAGTGATTCTCCTGCTTCAGCCTCCTGAGTAGCTGGGATTACAGGCATGCATGACCACACCCAGCTAATTTTGTATTTTCAGTAGAGACGGGGTTTCTCCATGTTGGTCAGGCTGGTCTTGAACTCCCGACCTCAGGGGACCCACATGCCTCAGCCTCCCAAAATGCTGGGATTACAGGCGTGAGCCACCGCACCTGGCCCACACATTTTTACATACCAAGAGATCCTTTAGTCCACCCAAAGGCTGACATTAGCTGCATCTGTAACACAATGTTTTCCTCAAATGTATGGAGTTTTTTTTAGGCTTCCACTTCTATACTTGCCTATTCTCGCTCCCTGTTTTAATTTAACATAGACATGCAATGCTAGATAATAGAATTGCTCTCTATCAGCTGAACAGAGGGGAGCCTGTGCAGTTTCTGACGCTTCTTGTTGCACATGGATAAATACATTGGGTATTACAGACTCAGTTGTAAAAATCATTAAATGTGCTGCCTAGTTAAAATGACTAGACTCTTCTGGCTTCTTCTTTGATCTATCCTATTGTAGTTGGTTTGCATCTTGCCTAAGGTGCATATTCCAAACTCTTGATATTTTCCTCCTGATAGTCATACTGGTAGTCTCCCTCGTGTGGTGCAATCTACAGATGTTTTCACTGGTGTGCAGCCATTCTTCAAATATCAAATGGTTTCTCTTGTGCTGGAATTACAAAAACTCAAAGAAATGTGTTAATTATTGGCGAGGCACAGTGGCTCACATCTGTAATCCCAGAACTTTGGGAGGCCAAGGCAGGCAGATCACAAGGTCAGGAGTTCGAGATCAGCCTGGTCAATATGGTGAAACCCTGTCTCTACTAAAAATACAAAAATTAGCCGGGCATGGTGGCGCGCACCTGTAGTCCTGTAGGGAGAAGCCCTGAAACTATTGCTACAGAACAAATGATGAAATGCTCCTGATTATTGTAAATATAAAAGAGCATGCAGGATTGTGTAAATACAATGCCAGGTTGGGCTGCCAGAATGAGCCTACAGCACATGATGTGCTTCTGTTACATGGATGGGAGATAGAATTATGAGTTTAGAACATAGATTACAAATGCAACCTGATTGGAATACTTCTGATTTTTGTATAACTCCATTCCAACATAATGAGTCTGTTCACAACTGGGAATCAGTAAAATGCCATTTACAAGGAAGTGAAGATAATTTAAGTTTAGACTTAAGCAAGCTAAAAGAACAGATTTTTGAAGCTTCTCAAGCACACTTAACTGCTTTACCCAGTGCTGAAGTTTTAGACAGTATCTCTGAGGGGTTATCTAATCTCAACCCCATTCAATAGGTAAAATCTTTGGGAGGATCCACTATCGTTAATTTTGTTCTGTGTATAATTTGTGCTATTGGTTTATTGTTCATGTGTAAAATTGGAAAAAAATATTCTTCAATCCAATCGTGATCAGTGCCAAGCTATGATTGCTATGGTTCATTTAAATTGGAGAAAAGGGGGAGATGTAGGGAGACCCCCTGAAACTATTGCTATGGAATAAAAGATGAAATGCTCCTGATTATTGTAAATACGAAATTGCATGCAGGATTGTGTAAAGACAAATGCCAGGTTGGACTGCCAGAATGAGCCAACAGCACGTGATGTGCTTCCCCCTGCAGAGAGCCTATGAACGGACATGCAGTCAGGGAGGTTTCACATTACCAAGATTCCTATCCCAGAAAAGCAGATGTCCATAGCTCTGGGAATGGAATGCGACCCTTGTGGAGAGCCTATAAATGGCCCTAAATCTCTCACTAACCTACCCCCACTCTCACTAAACTTAATAATAAATGCTGGTATATCCAGTGCATTGGCAGCATCGCAGGACCAGAAGGCGGTGACCCCTCTGGACCCAGCTTTCACTATCTTGTGTGTGTCTTTTATTTCTCAACCTGCCGATCTGCCTGAGAACAAAGAAAGAGCCCCATTGCATTGCAGGCTGCAGGCCAGATCCCGCAATATAGTCCCAGCTACTTGGGATGCTGAGGCATCTGTAGAGGGAGAGCTGCCCCAAATCATAAATCACAAATAAAAGCCAATTACATCTATAACTAAATTAGTTATAATTTTGTCTTATCACACATGTTCACAGGAAGCAATGGCCAGTGGAGTCTCTCAGACTGCATCATTCTCACCCTGAGCCTCCTGCCTTGCTCTTTCACTTACAAGGACCCTTATGATGAAACTGGGAGCCACCCAGATAAGCCAGAATAAGCTTTCCTTCTCAAGATACTCAACTTCATCACCTTTGAACAGTGTTTTTGCCAAGAAAAGTAAATGCATGTGTTCCAAGAGTTAGGATGTAGATTTTTTTTTTTTTTTTTTTTTTTGAGACAGAGTTTCACTCATGTTGCCCTGGCTGGAGTGCAGTGGGACAATCTAGGCTCACTGCAATCTCCGCCTCCCAGGTTCAAATGATTCTCCTGCCTCAGCCTCCCAAGTAGCTGGCATTACAGGCATGCGCCCCCACGCCCAGCTAATTTTTGCATTTTTAGTAGAAACGGGGTTTCACCATGTCGGCCAGGCTGGTCTCGAACTCCTGACCTCGTGATCCACCCGTATCAGCCTCCCAAAGTGCTGGGATGACAGGCGTGAGCCCCTGCATCCAGCCCGGATGTGGACATGTTTAAGAGGCCATTATTCTGCCTCATAAGGGTCACTTTCATAAACATCACCCACAACAAAAATGTTTTGCCTTCCTTCCATGTCTCACTTTTCTGTCGGCACAAACCACAGTGAAACACACTAGCTCTGCTATGAAGTGGCTGGATGACCCTGTGCCACTCATTTGACCTCCCTCAGCCTCTTTCCTCATCTGCAGTGTAAGGCTGACTCTTACTGCATCAGAAAATGACAGTGGAAGAGTAAATTAACATGTGTAAGACATTAGTCACAGAGCCTGGTACCTGATGAGCCCTTGGTAAACATTCCTTTCAGTCCTTTCCTTTCACCTTCCCATTTTTCTTGCCCGCACCCATCTTCTCCTTCAACTCCTTTCTCTTCAGTAACTTACTCAGTCTAACCTGCCAATTAAAGAAGCCACACTAACCATTCTCTCATGACTCTGCTGGAATGTTCTTGTGATGCGGTCTGCTATCCACTCGAGGCAATAGGTATTATTTATATGGAGAGGTCTGTTTGCAACAAGAAATCCTTTTTCTGTTCACACAAAATTTATACACAATTTCTCTTAACTTACACGTACCAGTCTCAATTCTACCCTGTTATTTCATACACGTACTTTATTATTTTATTCTTCAGTCTTTCTCCTTATACCTTAAAAATTAGGATAGTACTAAAACAAAAATAATGGCCTGGGCCAGAAAAGGGGATTCCTTTAGCAAGATGAATGCTTTCCTTTTTCAAGATGAATGAATGCTATGTGCCAGGCAGCCCTGAAGCCCATTTCTGGGTTTGGCTTACATCAAAGCCATTTGACTCTAGGACACATTTTTAGATTCCCAGGAGATAATGATTGTCACGGAAGACACACCCACTCTGAGTATTCCTACTGTTGGGTAAAGGAATGTTTACAGAATGTTGTGCATTCTGTTTACTCCTCCTAAATTCTTCCACTCCTGGAAGTTAAGCGTCCCCACTAATCAGCTTCATCTCCAGCTGGCCTGCCTGGACTCTGACCAGAAAATATCTCCCCACTCTGGATGGCCAGGGTGGCACCTTTGTCTATTCCCATAATTATAATAGCTCACACTGATGCAGCATTCACTATGTACCAGGCACTATCCTGAGAGCTTTCCAGTTAACTACGGTCCTCACCAAAAAATCCCAAGTACCACAATCCCCATTTTTACAGATTAAAAAAAAAAAAAAAACTGAGGCAGAGAAGTATGTACCCACTGTCACCTAACTCCATAATTCAACCTCATCCTCCACTTCATCTGATAAGAGGACACTCTAAGATTTACAAGGTCTCCTGAATGACATCCTTCTTCAAAAATGATTTTTGTCCCATTCACTTTCAGGATTTGACAAACAGCCAGCATTTTGTTTTCTATCTCACCCTTCACTTATGCACCTGTTCCATAAAACTACACTCACAACTGCACAGCCCTGCATAAAAGCTAGCTTTTAGAAACCTCAATCTCTTTTGGAAAAAACAAAGGCCAGCTACCAAGTCTCACAAAACGTCATTGTTTATTCTATTGTCAACTATTTGCATGGCCATTCTCTGGACATAAACAAGTGCACTAGAAACAGAAAATGTAATGAGAAGAAAGTAGGAGGAGGGTGAGTTTCTAGATAGACACACAGGGAAAAGATTTTGAATCCAGAAAAATTCATACAATGCACCCAGTGTGTGTGGCTTTGAGCAATGACAGCTCTACCTGCCACTTTCCACTGCTGTTGGCCTCTTACTTCCTTCTCAACCTGCCCCTCCTGGTCTTGCTTTCTTAGACCTATACAAACAACCTGGGAACTGGGGTCAGATCAGAGCACACAGCACTGAGTGGTAGGGTTGGGAAAGACAGAAAAGGAAGACAAGTGTTTGGCTCATGAAGATATGACTCATCTAGGTACACATCACCTAGGCAGGCAATAGATTACTGAAGGGCTTTGCAGGACTCCTGGTGGTTATCCAGAATGACTGACTGAGGCAAGAGTCTTGACCAGTTGAGTTTTATTGAGCCAGAGCCTGATAGTGCACCCTGGGAATACATGAGTTGCAAAAAACCTCTGTGGTTTGTGTTTTCTCTGAAGAGGTTTCAGGAGGCTTAGTATTTATACATTTGATTAAAGGGGAGAAGGCAGGTTGGAAGAGATGGAGTGGGCAGAGAAACAATTGATCTAATCTTGTCTTTCTTCTTTGCCTCAGAAAATAAATATTATCAGAATGAGAGTTAAAATACTTCGGTTTTAGGAGCTGGATTTGGATTGCTCACTTAAAGTTACAATTGGCATGTCCTTCTTTTACAAAGAAATATACATCTTGAAAGGTTTTGAAGCCAAGAAAAAACAATTTGTTCAGGGAATCATCTGGAGATGCCCGAGATCTTTGGCTTTCCTGTTTACCCCGTTCCTTTCCTTTCCTTTTTTTTTTTTTTTTTCTTCTTTTAGAGACACAACCTTGCTCTGTCACCAAGACTGGAGTGTACTCACTGCAGCCTTGAACTCCTGGGCTGAAGCAGTCCTCCCACCTTAGCCTCCCAAGTATCTGAGACTATAGGCATGCACCACTGCACCTGGCTAATTTGATTTGTTTTATGTTTTGTAGAGACGTGGTCTCCCTTTGTAGCTCAGGCTGGTCTTAAACTCCTGGTTTCAAGTGATCCTCCTGCCTTAGAGTCTCAAACTGCTGGGATTACAGGCCTCTGCCAGCACACCTGGCCCCCCAATTCTTCAAAAGCTTTCAGATAAAGCATCATAGAAGACATGACTTTGTGACTGTATGTTTCATCTCATCCTACATCACTAGGAAGGCTCATTCTTAAGAAGTCATGCCCCATGGAAAAGGGGATGAAGACAAATCAGAAAAGGGCAAAGGGAAGTCACAGCAAAAAAGGGACAGTATAATCCTGGAACCTTATTAAAGTCACACAACAGCTGCTTCAATTAGAGCAATTCGTTTGGCAAACATCACTCTAACCCTATAGACTAGGTTTTCTAGAGTTTCTGAAGCATCTTCCAATTGCAATGGCAATGTGACACATTTTTCTGAATTGCAGTCTGAATACAGTGTTCATGTGTACCTTTTGTGTAGTCCACACATCAGCAGGCACAAAGGTTGTTTATATATAAGTTGCTATGATTTATCCAGAAGTTTACATAAGTCGTCGAGTTTCAGCTTGCAAGTTTTAATCTATCCATCTGACAAAAGGCTAATATCCAGAATCTACAAGAAACTTAAACAAATATACAAGAAAAAAAACAAATAAGCCAATCAAAAATGGGTGAAGCAGATGAACAGATACTTCTCAAAATAAGACATTTATGTGAGCAACAAACATAGGAAAAAAAGCTCATCATCATTGGTCATTAGAGAAATGCAAATCAAAACCACAGTGAGATACCATCTCATGCCAGTTAGAATGGTGATCATTATAAGGTCAGGAAACAACAGATGCTAGAGAGGATGTGGAGAAATAGGAATGCTTTTACACCGTTCGTGGGAGTGTAAATTAGTTCAACCATTGTGAAAGACAGTGTGGCGATTCCTCAAGGATCTAGAACAAGAAATATCATTTGACCCAGTAATCCCATTACTGGGTATATACCCAAAGGATTATAGATCATTCTACCATAAAGACACATGCACACATATGTTTATTGTGGCACTATTCACAATAGCAAAGACTTGGAACCAACCCAAATGCCTATCAATGATAGACTGGATAAAGAAAATGTGGTACATATACACCATGGAATTCAATACAGGCATAAAAAGGGATGAGTTCATATCTTTGCAGGGACATGGATGAAGCTGGAAACCACCATTCTCAGCAAACTAACACAGGAACAGAAAACCAAACACCGCATGTTCTCACTCAAAAGTGGGAGTTGAACAATGAGAACACATGGACACAGGGAGGGGAATATCACACACTGGGGCCTGTTGAGGGGTGGGGGACTAGGGGAGGGATAGCATTAGGAGAAATACCTAAGGTAGATGATGGGTTAATGGGTGCAGCAAAACACCATGACACATGTATACCTATGTAACAAACCTGCAGGTTCTGCACATGTATCCCAGAACTTAAAAGTGTAATTAAAAAAAGATAAAAATTTAAAAAGCACAGTTTTAATTTATAATATACCAAAATGGAAGAAAAATGGAAGAAAATTCTGAAACCATTAGTTTTGAAATTTGTAGCCAGGAAAAAATTTAGGATTCAGTCCAAATTGTAGGTAAATAACAAAATTTAAAAAAAATGAACAGATCTAAAATGTAATAACCATTTTTCTGTTGTTTCCTTCTGAAAAATAATTTTCCCCCTCCTGTCTCCCATTTTTATGAAATAGAAATCATATGGGACCAATATATTTCCAAAATAAGTTTTAGTCTTATACCTGGATTGTTTACATAAAGTGCAGCAAGAATGTAGATTCAAGGCCTCTATGAATACATAAATTTTATATATATATATATATATAAATATAAGAATATATATATTCTATCATGTAGAATGGCACTAAACTATATTAATGGCAGCAAATCTGTACAAGTCTGTAGCAGCCTCAATTCTTGCTTCTTCAGAAGAAAGAATTCAACTAAGTGTCATAAGGCAGAAGAAGAGACTTAGGCAAATTTTAGAGCAGGAGTGAAAGTTTATTTAAAAGCTTTAGAGCAGAAATTAAAGAAAGTAAAGCACACTTAAAACAGGGCCAAACAGGTGATGAGATTTCAAGTGTGTGGTTTGACCTTTGACTTAGGCTTTTGTATGTTGGCATAATTCTGGGGTCTGCATCTCTTCTCCCCTGATTCTTCCCTTAAAGTGGGCTGTCTGCATGTGCAGTGGCCCACCAGCACTTAAGAAGGGAGCCTGTGTAGTGTGTTTCCTGGAGTAAAGTTGGAAAACAGAGACCAAAATAAAAGCTATGTATGGAAATAAAATTGGTCTCCTTATAAAATCCTGTTATAAATTTCTATCATTTTTGTGTTACCTTGGCATCTACTTTTAATCTTCCTTGAACACACCCAAACTCCTTCTCTCTGTGTGTGTGTGTGTGTGTGTGTGTGTGTTTGTGTGTGCTTTGAGATGTAAATTTACTACCTACTTTCTCTAAAACTCAGCAAGGGCTTCCTCAGATAAATGTTAACTTTTTCTATTTACAAAAGCACAACTTAAATCCAGCTATTTTTTTTAACAGTGAGTTTTATGTGTTCATGCATAAAGTTTTAAAATCAAAAATCTGAAGTATTTCTGTCTCCCTCTATCTTTATGTGCACAAGTATATGTTCTATGCTGTATCACATATCACATATGTATATGTCCATACCTATGTTTATATATTGTTTATACATGGTATCAAATTAATGTAAAAATAAATGGGTACTCATCAATTAAGTAAATAATACCAAATGCTTTTCAACACATGTGATTTTAGTAATCTTCAATAAGGGAAGAACACCTCAAATGAGCATGCATACCCACCTGCAGCCTCCTTAAAAAAAAATTATCAGGCCAGGCACGGTGGCTCACACTTGTAGTCCCAGCACTTTGGGAGGCCAAGACGGGTGGATCACAAGGTCAGGAGATCAAGACCATCCTGGCTAACATGGTGAAACCCTGTCTCTACTAAAAATACAAAAAAAATTAGCCGGGCCTGGTGGCAGGCGCCTGTAGTCCCAGCTACTCGGGAGGCTGAGGCAGGAGAATGGCGTGAATCCAGGAGGCGAAGGTTGCAATGAGCCCAGATCGCACCACTGCACTCCAGCCTGGGTGACGGAACAAGACTCCATCTCAGAAAAAAAAAAAAAAAATTATCAGCCAAGAATTTTGTATCCAGCAAAACTAAAGTTCATAAATAAAGGAAAGATAACAGTCTTTTTCAGACAAACAAATGCTCAGAGAATTTGCCACTACCAAGCCAGCACTACAATAACTGCTAAAAGGAGCTCCAAATCTTGAAGCAAGTCCTGGATACACATCAAAACAGAACCTCTTTGAGCATGAATCTCACAGGACGTATAAAACACAAATACAATAAATAAATGAATAAAACCAAGGTATTCAGGCAACAAATAGCAGGATGAATGGAACAGTACCTCACATCTCAATACTAACATTGAATGTAAGTGGCCTAAATGCTCCACTTAAAAGACACAGAATTGCAGAATTGATAATAGTTCACCAAGCAAGTATCTGCTGCCCTCAAGAGACTCCCCTAACCATAAAGTGTCACATGAACTTAAGGTAAAAGGGTAGAAAAAGACACCCCATGCAAATGGCCACAAAAGTGAGCAGGAGTAACTATTCTTATATCAAAAAAACTAACTTTAAAGCAACAGCAGTTAAAAAAGACAAAGAGGGACATTACATAATAATGGAACAGGGAGTGGCATTTGATGCTTGGTGTCATCCTAACCCCCACAGTCCCTGTAGTAGTTTGCTAGGGCTGCCATGACAAAATACTGCAGAGGAGTAGATAAGCAACAGGAGTTTATTGTATCACAGTTCTAGAAGCTAGAAGTCCATGAACTTTCCTCCTCTGTAAGAGGTTACAGTGCTTCCCATGAGCTCATATATATGGCAGAGGGAGATACAGAAGGAGCAGGTGCCACGGGAGTCTGATTCACCCATTGGGTCACTGGTGCCCTGGGACCTGCTTGAGCCTGACCCCATACACAGCTCTCCCTGGGATGCTGGAGGCTGCTGTGCACGCCCCAGGTAACTCAGATGTCACCAGGACACGATGTGCCACTCAGGTCCTAAAGCCCTTGGTGTCCTATGGTCAGGTATTCCAATTCCACTAAGCCCAGGGATAAGCCAAGAGCTGCTTCCTGAATGAAGAGTTACCTGCAGGAGGAGGCGTGGTCTTTCTCTAGAACGTCCAGTTCTGCACGGTGAATCTTTTGGAGCTTGTGAAAGCCTGCATAAAATAATACACTGCATTTGGAACATAGATGCTCTTACATTCATTAATTTCTTTTTTTTTTTTTTTTTGGTTGAGATGGAGTTTCACTCTGTCATCCAGGATGGAGTGCAGTGGTGCCATCTTGGCTCACTGCAACCTCCACCTCCTGGGTTCAAGCGATTCTCCTGCCTCAGCCTCCCAAGTAGCTGGGATTACAGGTGCCTGCCACGATGCCTGGGTAATTTTTGTATTTTTAGTAGAGACGGGGTTTCACCATATTGGCCAGGCTGGTCTCAAACTCCTAACCTCAAGCGATCTGCCCGTCTAGGCCTCCCAAAGTGCTGGAATTAGAGGTGTGAGCCACTGCTCCCAGCCTCATTAATTTATGAGTAGGCTCTTCCAGGAGTTATTGAGAAGAATATTTTACAATTCTAAGTGGAATATTTTAGCAGGAAGGACCGTGGTTTATTTCTACGATAATTCTGTTGTGGCTTAAACAGTTTGTTCTTTTATAATTTGGGGTATTCCCTCTACCACCTATTGTTTACTTTTGACCTTTGATATTTACCCTATGCAAATTCATCAACCCCTGATTTTACTTCTTCAAAGCCAGCATGAGGCTAGTCAAGCCTGGTTTCCTCTCACAGGAAGTAAGGCTTTTGCCCCATGGTATTTGTGTAGCCAGGTTACAGGAATTAAAAATCTATTGCAAGTGACAGTAATTAAAAAAAAAATCAAGTGCGGGCTACTCTGGAAGAAGAAACATTGGAATGTAGATTTTATTTGTTTATTTGCAGAGAGATGAACCAGCTTATACTCATTTGATTTCCACATTATTCATGGAGAGTCTAAAATCAATTTCTGGGAACAAAAAACCAACTTGAAAAGCTGTTTAAATTCTGTTAGTGGGACTTCCAAAGGTACAAGGGTTAAGAAAAAGAGAGGAGAAAAGAGAAAAGACGGGCAGGGAGAAATGAAAAAGTGACACCAATGTGAGCCAGACAATGGAGATGGAGAAAAAGCAGTCGAGAGGGACAGAGGGCACGGTGGAGGTCTGCAGGATCTGAAGATCCGCCTGTCTTCTCCGGACGCTCACCTCTTACCTGATCCCAGAAACAGACTGAGCTTTAACTCTGACCACACACTCCTCAGGGTGACGGAGAGTGGGGCCACCTGCACCCTGCCAGCCTTCCACAGCCCCTCTGCAAGGGCTCTGCTCCACACTCTACACGTGCTCTGAGGCCCCTTATTGCAACATATGACTTCCTCGGGCTTCCATTCCCTCCACCGCCTCTTTCTTCTCGCTCAAGCATCTTCAATGGTCTGGATACGTTTCTTTGCTTCCATTTGTCACCTTCCACTCACTCGTCCTTGTCCACTTCCATCTTCCCCTTTCTCTAACATTGCTTGTACTGAGATCAGCAACATCCTCCTTTATTGCTAAACCTGCCAGGAACTCAGAGGTTAGTTTTGCATCCTTTGACACTGAGGGCCACTTCTTTTCCTGGAATAATCTCTGTGAGGCAAATATACATTTTTAAAAACTTTGTTTAGCCTGTTGCAAAAAGATAAAGAGACTCTCCTCTTTTCACTCAGAGCATTTTCTATTCATTCATTTATTCATTCATTCATTCATTGACAGAGTCTCACTCTGTCACCCAGGCTGGAGTGCAGTGCTGCCATCTAAGCTTACTGCAGCCTTAACATCCTGGGCTCAGGTGATCCTCCCTCCTTAGCCTCCTGAGTAGCTGGGACTACACGCACACCCCACCATGTCCAGCAAATTTATTATTATTGTTGTGTGTGTGGAGATAGGATCTTGCTGTGTTGCCTAGGCTGGACTTTGAGATCATTTTTTTTAGAAGAGGTGTAATTGAAAACTCTTTCTCTATCCCTTGAAGATGTATGCAAAGCTTTCTAAAGCATACATAAGTATCTTGCCTGCCTCACAACCCAGAATTCTCCTCCTCAAGGCCATAGGAGACCTCTCTTTGAAAGGCAGGCATCCGGGCAGAAAGCACCCCTGTCTCCCAGTTTCTGTGAGAAGGAAGGAACCTCAGTTCTGGGGGCATCTCACTCCCAGTTGCAAAACTACCTCCTGTCATAGATGAGAGGTTTCTTTTTCCTGTGGATAAAGCCAATTAACCACACAGAGAATCAACACAGTTACTGGGTGAATTTAGGATGAACTACGTGTGACAAATGGTGCCGTTGAGTCCTCTCAACTGGGAACTAGTCACCATCTATCTGGAGACCATGTGTGTAACGGGTTGCACCTGCTTGGCTGGATACAAAGGTGGGATTTCTTTCTGTCTTTGTCATCTCTTAGCAGATTGCATCACATTTTGGCTTAATGCTTACTCAATCATAAGACAAGTTTCTTTTACTTCTATGGATGTGAGGGGGGTTTCTGGGCTGAGCAGAAATTTGTTTCTTAATTATATTTTTCCAGCAACCCCCACCCAACCTACCCCACCTTCTCTGAAGCTACTTCCCCCAGGCTTTAAAGGAGGCTGCTCCCCGGGGTTCCTCCCGGGCCCTGCCTCTCCTGGTTCATCTGATCTCCCACCCTCGAGGCATCGTAGATTCCCTCCCTTCCATGTGCTGATGCCTCTCGGATCTCTAACTCTAGGCAGAAACCGGCTTCTCAGTTCCTCAGCTCAAATACCCACCTTGGGACGGGCTTCTGCACCGGGACATCCCGCCAGGAACTCTCCCGGTGGAACACAGTCCATGTTCTCTGGCTGCCCTGCAGTTTTTAAATGCCACCAGTACACATGGGGAATGTTCTGCCTTCGCAAGGAGGAAGCTGGAAAGTTCATTTTCCCAGCACTCCTTGCAGGAGGGACACCGACACGGGTCCAGGCTTTCCCCATCAGGTGCTCCCGTGAAAGACTCAGGGTCCCGAACAGCACCAGGAAGCAGAGGGTGCATGACACCGATTTGTTATTGTTTTTGTTTTAATTTTTTGAGCAGGGATGGGGGACCGAAGCTTCTGGTGTAGAAGCTTCTGGACTCCAGCGCCAGCCTCAGCAGTGCAGGGTGCAGGGTGTGGTTTCTGCCTCCTGCAGTAGCCAGAAGATCTTGACCGGAGCTGTCCTGTGCCTGTGGTTTGTCCTTGCCCTGGGCCCTGTGGCCTCCAAGCCGGATTCATGAGGGCCCTTGGAGCTTGGTGACCTTCCTACCCTCTCCTTTAACCGGTCCTTTTCTGATTCTTGCTGGAGTGAGCTGGGCGGTTTTCTCTGAATCTGCTCCTGGGGTTCTCCCTTAGGGAAGGGCACCCTAGGCACCCAACCCCTCAGCCGGATGCCCAGCAGATGTTATCATGCTTCCACTTTCCTTGCCCCTTTATGTCCTGTGGTCACTCCTTTCTGTCCCTTCCATGTCCTACATCTCTCTCTGCTGTGTCCTGTCTTCTGCACCCTGTGGCCTCCACCCAAGTTTGCATCACCACCCATTCCTCCTTGAATGAATACAGTTGTCTCCCCGGGTCTCCCTGTCTCCATAGGGGCCAGCAGCATCCGAGCCAGCTTCTTCTCTGTGGCAGAGATGATCTTTTTCAGGCCTCCTCCGGCCATGGCCCTTTCCTGCTCCTCTTTCCAGAGCTCCCAAGTCCCCGGGATGCACTCCAGCTGCTAAGAGAGGCCTCGAAGGTTAGGCGATGTGGCCTCCACAGTCCTCCTGAGCAGCCACCCCACCTACCCTCATCCTTCAGCCCCATTACATTTCCTTTTTCTGTTTGATTTTTTGAATAGGTGTTGTATTTAGATGGCTCAGTAATTTCCATCTGTGTGTATCTGTATATGTGTGCAGGCATGAAGAGCCTGTGTCTCATCCCTGTTCCCTATGCACCCAGGTCCTAGCCCCACGCCAGCCCCAGTGGCCAGCTGTGCTGTTCATGACCTGCAAAGCTTTCTACAGCTGTTTTATGCAAAACAATAGGAATTATTGTAAATTATTGTGAAATATATATAACATAGAATTCACCATTTTAACCATTTTTTTCCTTTCTTTTTTTTCTGTCTTTTTTTTTTTTTTTTTTGAGAAGGGTTCCTCTTCTGTCACCCAGGCTGGAATGCAATGGCATGATCTCAGCTCACTGCAAACTTCACCTCCCGGGTTCAACCACTTCTCCTGCTTCAGCCTCCTGAGTAGCTGGGACTACAGGTGCATGCCACCATGCCCAGCTAATTTTTTGTATTTTTAGTAGAGCGGAGATTTCATCATGTTAGCCAGGATGGTCTCAATCTCCTGACCTCATGATCTGCCCACCTCGACCTCCCAAAGTGCTGGGATTAGACGCAAGCCACCTCGCTCGGCCCATTTTAACCACTTTTAAGTGTACATCCAGTGGCAGGAAGTACATTTAGGTTGTTGTTCAACCACCACCACTGTCCATCCCCACCCAGAACTTTTTCATATTCCCCAACTGGAATTCTGTACCCATTAAACACCAACTCCTCTTTCCCCCTCCCTCCAGCCGCTGACAACCACCTTTTCATTTTCTGCCTATGCATTTCATGACGTTACGCACCTCTGTTAAGTGGAATCATGTAGTAGTTGTCTTTTTGAGTCTGATTATTTCACTTAGCAGAAAGAACTCAAGGCTTAATCATGTTGAAGCACACATCAGAATCACCCTTCTTGTTACAGCTGAATCCCATTTGTTTGTACGCATAGACCACTTTTTGTTTATTCATTCATGGATGGATGGACACTGGGCTTGTTTCCAACTTTTAGCTATTGTGAATAATGCTGCTATGAACAAAGACATGCAAATATCTGCTGGGGCCCCTGCTTTCCGTTCTTTTTGGAATACACCAGAAGCCGAATTGCTGCATCTTGTGGTAAGTCTATGATTAATTTTTTGAGAAATGACCACAGTTGTTGTGCCATATTACAAACCCACAAACACTACACAAGCATTCCAATTCCTCCTCGCCAACACTTTTCTTTTCTGTTTTCCTTTTTTTTTTTTTATTGGGAACAACCATCGTAAAGGATGTAAGGTGGTATCCCACTGTAGTTGTGATTTTTATTTTCCTAATGATTAGTGATGTTGAGCATCTTTTCATGTGTTTATTGGCCATTTGTAAATTAATTTTACATTTCCTCCTTTGTAATGCAAGAGGTAGCACACCGTGCATTGTTCTGCTTCTTGTTTTTCTCACTGTGCAGTGTATCTTGGAAACCTTTCCCGGTGCACAGACAGAAGGATACCTCATTCATTGCCACAGCTGCACAGTATCCATGATGTGGATCATGGCTCATGACCCAGTTCCCTACGGATAAACGTCAAGGTCGTTCCTGGTCTGTGGCCATCACCAACACTGCCGCGACTAGTCTAGAATGGGTGCCATTTCATGCATTTGCAATTCCCAGAAGTACACTGGTTAGTCAGCAGGTGAGTGCATTGGTGAGAGGATGTGACTCCAATCTCAGGAAATATGGAAACCTTCTTCCCTTTCTAGCTGCAGCACCCCTAGTCTGGACAGCATATGGAAAGCACCCATGATCATTTGAAAATCACAAAATAACTCTAAATTTCTGCACAAGTAGGTCATCTACCACTTGTCATTCTAATCCCACACTAGGCACTTTAAGAACATGCACCCCTGGGCTTTTGCTACACTCTTTTCTTATGCTGGTACCCACCTTGTGGTGACTGAGGGTTCTCTTAATATCCCCAAGTCTGAGGAAACTGAGGCACAATTCGATTATCCACTTATGAAGTGGTGAATCTGTGGATTAAACTTATAAGACATATCCACTTCACACTCCAGAAAACTTCATCATTCCCAACATTATTGTCTTCCACCATTGGGAAAGAAATATTTTCCTTGGTAATTAGAGGAGAAAAGGTGTTTGGTGTTTCATTGTCACTTTCCTGGTGTGGAAAGTATCTACTTGCGGGTCTTTCCTAGGGCCAGCGAGTCCTAACATGTTTGAACATCTACCCATGCTATTTAAGGCAGCACACCAAACACATTCCTGCTTCGACTGCAGTATCTGTTTCATCAAGAAGAGTATTTTCCTTAAATAAGTTTGAGGTGCCTACTACTTGGGGAAATACTAAGCCTTTGGTATGCTTCTGCTCATCTAGGCATGAGACGGCTCCATCATTACTTTGGTCTTCAGTTTTCTGAATCTGCTTCTGGAAAACACTGCAAAATGTCATTTTTGAGAACTGCTGCTTTGCAAATACTTTTCATGCCTATGTGATGTGCTGTTATTCTCTCTCATTTCCTTGCTAACGTACAGTCATGCATATGAAGCAAGTTATGAGCCAGTTAAGACTGGATCTGAGTCAACTAGATTTGCATGCATTTTCAGCCACAGTACAGGTTCCTAAAAGTCATCACATGTCTAGTCTCAAAGTACTTATAGAATAGCATCTGATTATTATTAAGTAGATTTTTTAAGGCCTCTCAAGGATAAAGATTTGAGGTGTTATATCCATTGCTTTCCTCCCTCACACTGTTTTTGACTTTTAATTCTTCCCTTTCTCCACTTTAATTTCTAGTCTCCCACTGCTAATTCTCCATATGACCCATCCCCACCACCACCATCCTCAACAGCCACCAGTGAGAATTCTTACTACCTGAACTTCACTGTGACAAAAATCAGCCTTGGACCTGTGGGCTAAATTGTTCCAAAAGTCCTGATGAAGTTCTCAGATTCAGGCAAAGCTAGGTCTCCTGATACCCTGTCTCAGTCAGTTTTGCATTGCTATAAAGGAATACCTGAGTGAGGCTGGATAATTTATAAAGAAAAGAGGTTTATTTGGCTCACAGTTCTGCAGGCTATACAAGAAGCATTGCACCAGCATATGCTTCTGGTGAGGCCTCAGGGAGCTTCCACTCATGGTGGAATGGGAAGTGGAGCTGCTGTGTGCACAGATGACATGGTGAGAGAAGAAGCAAGAGAAAGAGGAGAGGAAGGTGCCAGGCTCTTTCTAACAATCAGCTCTTGCAGGACTGAAAAGAGAACGCACTCATTACCATGAGGGCAGCACCAAGCCATTCGTGAGGGATCCGCCCCCATGACCCAAACACCCCCCTGTAAATCCTCATCTCCAACATTGGGGATCAAATTTCAACGTGGGGTTTGCATTTTCCTGCAAACTCATGTGCTGTGCACTCCCTCATGTCATCTATGAATGATCACCTGCCCCAGGACTTCCTTGAAGGAATAGCTCAAATTATTTTCTAAGAGTTCTGGGGGTAAAAAAGCAAAAAAACTAACTCTACTGACACCCTTCTTTGTCTCCCAGTGTTTATGGAGCGTAACCAGTGTTCATAGCCCTCTGCCAGGCATCGCAGATACAGAGGTCAAGGAGATAGACATAGCCCTGCCCCTGTGGAACTTGTAATATAGTTGGGGAGACATATGAAACCATTGCTCATGTAAAGGTCTGATTGCCAATTATTACACAGGCTAGCAAGGGAAAGAACAGAGTCGATGACAGAACGGCTCTGGGCACCTAACTTAATTCAGGTCTTATAAGGCCAAGGAGTGGGCCTCACTACAGAAATGGTGTGGAAGGTGAAATCAGGAAGCAGTTGAAGTCCAGCTTCTGAAATGTTAGAACACAGACTCATCATACAACACAGCAATTCTATTCTTTGATGTCTACCCCCCCCAATAAAAATGAAAACATATGTCCACCCAGAAACTTGTACATGCATGTTCACAGCAGCTCTATTGATAATAAAAGGAGGAAATGACAAGAAACTACCAAAAGAGAACAATGTGAAGGACTGGGTGGAAGCTGGTTCTTCAGTGAAATCTCACAAATTCCAGTGTTTCTAGTACTTCTTACCAACACTTACATGTATTCACCCTAATTAGCTCATGTGAAAAGGATCCTCCTGTATTTCTTTTTTTTTTTTTTTTTTTTTTTTTGAGACGGAGTCTCGCTCTGTCGCCCAGGCTGGAGTGCAGTGGCGGGATCTCGGCTCACTGCAAGCTCCGCCTCCCGGGTTCACGCCATTCTCCTGCCTCAGCCTCCCAAGTAGCTGGGACTACAGGCGCCCGCCACTACGCCCGGCTAATTTTTTGTATTTTTAGTAGAGACGGGGTTTCACCGTTTTAGCCGGGATGGTCTCGATCTCCTGACCTCGTGATCCGCCCGCCTCGGCCTCCCAAAGTGCTGGGATTACAGGCGTGAGCCACCGCGCCCGGCCCCTCCTGTATTTCTAACAAGTGTAATTTGGAGAGTAGATAGATCTCAGGTGAGGACTTTGGAGCGTGCCAAATGAATTAATGGACTCAGTCCATTCTCTAACTTAATATCACTCGCTTATTTAACAATACATGATGTTGGTAAGAAGAACCAGCGGAGGACACAGGAAGCAGAAGATGAGCTCACATCTGTCCATGATTTATATTGCATTTCAGTTTATGTTGTCATTGGAGACTCAGTTTGTGAAGGTACGCCAATCCTTGCTTTGAAGAAAATATACATCTTTAGGGGATGATGGGTCTTACTAGATGAAAAGATAATAAATGAAAAGAGGGAGAAGGCAATGCACTGTGGCCCCAAGAAGCCAGAGAAGACAATTACATGAACATGGACATCAACTACCAAATGTTGTATAGGTCAAAAAAGAAAAGCAAAGGACTGGAGACCAAGCAGAAGGGCTCACACCCCTACCAGCTACTCAGGAAGATGAGGCCGGAGGATCTTTAGAGCTCAACAGTTTGAGATCAACCTGGGCAACAGAGTGACACCCCTGTCTCAGAAAAAAAAAAAGAGAGAGAGAGGAATGGGAAGTAGAAGCTGAGATGATATGAGGGTCACCTGTGGCTTGGACAGGATTAATGCAGGGACCATTGGACATCAGGGACAAACTGGAGAAGGTTGCACTGAAGAAGCAGAGATCATGAATGTAGAAAGCTTGAGAAGTTTTTCCAATCAGGAAAGTCAAGACATGGGGCTGTCACTACAGGGCAAAATGGAGCCTGCAGGGAGTCATGCAAAATTATTTGTCTCTTTTGAAGTTTGGTGTGACATGAGGGATTCAAAGAGAGTTGACAGAGGAGGGGAAGCTTTTAAACTCCAGATGATGAAAGAGCTCAGAAAGGAATCTTAACTTTCTTCCAAAGGGGATGAGATGGACGGAGTTTAAATTTCTCTTTAAAAAATGATGCCTTCAAGGGAACAATAAGAGGAGAGCAGGCTAAGAGGTCAGCCAAGTGGACAAAAAGCATGCTTTTTACACTTAAATGTGTGTAGTCCTGCAAGTGTAACACAGCCAGATAATTCCAGAGCTCCTGGGTCACCATTGCCTCTATCTTCTCAGACTTCACTCAGCAGAAGAGATGTTTGTTTATGGCTCCACCCAGGAAGCAACTGCAACCTCCTATGACTTCAGCATCTGAAAAGCACTTCAGATCCAAACTCTCACTTCCTGCCCTGAATGGAGCTCATCCCCAATCCCCTGTCACTCTGCATAAGATTCCAGGGTGGCATTTTCAGATGTGGTCATTAATCTCCTTTTAAAAATGCAAATCCCCTCAGAATGTGACTCTGCTCATCACCTGTTTAATCAGATCGCTTCCTTCTCATTTGTAGCTGAGAAGTGCTTTGAAGAGGGAAGCAGGGAAGAGGGCAAGGAAAGAAGGTGAGGATGAGAAGCAAAGCACTTTTGAAGAAGCAGCACAGCAGGGGAGGAAATAGGTTTGAGTGGGTACTTGTTAGGATGCTGGAGAGGTTGAGTGTAACAGGCCAGAAAGAAAGAGGGAGCTAAGAAGAGGGTTGTCAAGAGATTTGGAGAGGGGGTCTCAGGAAGGGGATGACAGTAGACAGCATGACGTCCTGAGCACTCATGTCTGTTATTCAGTTCTTGGGTGGAGGAGGTAAATGTGCATATGGGAAGACAGGATTAGAAAACTACCATCTGAGCTGTTGGGGGCCTTTCTTGAATATCAGAGGAGCCTGGTACCATTCTTAAAAGTAGAACACTGCATGCATGCTACAAAATTCAAGCACTTATTTTCCTTGCACAATTCAGGGCCTGCTGTCTTCTTTGAAAACTCAGTGGCACCACTACTGTGGGCAGCACAAATGTAGCAAGATCAGGTTTGGAGAGCAGCATGCCCTGTACTCTCCAGGGAAGAGTGTCCAGTGTCTGGAGGCAAATCACTGCGACCTTTTTTTGTCCCCCTGCCCTTTCCTGGGACACTTCCACAGGGCAGCTTTTCCATGTGTGAAGAGCCCTGTAGTAGCAGGCACTTGGCTGGCTCTTTTCTATGGTGGGCACAGATTGGATGGGAGTATCCTGTCCTGAACCAGCTCCTAGAGCAGACCCCCAGCTCTGGGTATTCACAGGTGCCCACACATGAGGGTCTGCATATGAGGGTGATGTTGTGTGGGTCCAGCTTTCCAGGGAAAGCAGAATTGGGGCCCAAGTTCATAAAGAATCCCACCCCCACACCAGTGCCCAGGGTGGGGATGCAGGTCAAGGGGATGACCACGGGTGCTGGGAGAGTTTCTCCATGCTGAATTTTCAGCCTTTGTTTGGATAGAGAGTTATATGAAAATGGCAGATGTCTGTGTGATGGTCCCTTACCTGTGAAGGTCAGAGGTGGTGAACTCACAGAAAGAAACCCAAAATTCTGTGTTTTAGGATGGGAATGGTTAATATTCCTCCTCCTAACCCAACCATGTTATGGCCTGGAGGGCATATTTAAACATTATTCTGTGCCATTTTCTGCACTGATTGGAGTCTGCATTTCTCCCGAAGAATGTCAATATTATCCCCCAAATTAGACACTCACTCATAGCAGCACCCATAAAGATAAAGTTTTGAACTCAACACTGGATAGTCATTTCCAAACCAACATTGTTATACATTATTTAAAGAAAGTCTTTGCACTCCCATTAGGCTGCTCAGGCAGCCATAACAAAGTCCCACATATGGGAATGCTTAAACAGCAACAATTGTTCTTACAGTTCTAGAAGCTAGAGGTCTGAGATCAAGGTGTCAGCAGGGATGGTGCCTCCTGAGGCCTCTCTCCTGGGCTTGTAGATGGTGTCTTCTCCCTGTATCCTCACAGGGTCATCTCTCTGCGTGTATCTGTGTCCTCATCTCCTCTTCTTATAAGGACACCAGTCCTATTGGATTAGGGCCCACCCATGTGACCTCATTTTACTTTAATTTACTCCTTAATGACCCATCTCCAAATACAATCACATTCCAGGTACTGGGTGTTAGGATTTCAACATAAGAGTTTTGGGGTAGGTGTGGCACAATTCAGTCTGTAACATTTCTGTTATATAATGCACTTGTAAATATCAGATTAATTTTCAAGTAAACCTTGTTGATGGTTGCTCAAATCTGCCTTTCTTTTAAAAATATCTGTTGTGAGATATTCAAAGGAAAACCTTCCTTCATTAGAAATGAAGGGACACACCTGTAATCCCAGCACTTTGGGAGGCCAGGGCAGAAGATCGCTGAGCTGAAAAGTTAAAGGCCAGCATGGGAAACATAGGGAAACCCAATCAATACAAAAAAAAACTTAAAAATTAGCGGGGCATGGTGGCAAACACCTGCAGTCCCAGCTACTCAGGAGGCTGATGCAGGAGCATCACTTAAGCCCAGGAGTTCAAGGCTGCAGTGAGCTATGATTGTGCCACTATACTCCAGCCTGGGCAACAGAGCAATACTCCATCAATCAATCAATAAATAAATAAATACAGAAATAGATCCCATCTCTAAATAAATAAATACATACATAAGTGAATGAATGAAATGAAGGCACAATCCGAGGAAAGAACAATATTCATCCCAATGGGATCTTGAGCTCTGAGTAAACCTAGGATTTTCTTCCATCCTTTAAATGTATGACTTTTTTTCGTATAATTTCCTTTTTGTTGTGTTAATATAAGTATATGGTAACATGATGTGACTAAGTAATATGTATTCATTTCTTCCCAATCACAATGGTATGAGTTTTGAGAATAATATTGGTCTATTTATCAATTTTGAACTTTTTTTCCCTACCCATTGCCCTATACCACTGGGAAGAATCCCTGTTCTTTTTAAACCTTTTAGTTTGTTTATGTCGGTCAAATGCTACAAGCAAGAGGTATCAAAACTAATGCCTTTCTGTAATCTCTCAGAAATCTACACACTTCACCTAATTTTAATTATTTTTAAAGATTATATTAAACATCATGAAAATGAAAAGAACCCCCTATGTGTTCACTGTTGGGGGCTCTAAGGGTGATTTATACAACAAATTGGAATCCTCTGTCGTGTATCGCCAGCCTAAGTCACATGGCCCAGATGGATGCTCCCTAATATTTCATGTAAATATCTGCTAGGCTCACCTGGGCCAAATGTCTGCTGCACTCATCTGGGCCAACATTTTGGGAACTCCCAAGAGAAGGCTTTCTGCACAACAGCATGTTGAGCTCAAGTGGGAAAAATGTACTCTATAGCACTGATAAAATGGGAGGGAAAGAATAAAATGGAAGCTAAGGTAAAAGTATATATATATATCTGCATCTTCTGGTGCATTTCAATCAAATACCTTAGAATTGAATGTGGCTGTGTATATAAGCAATCTAATTGTTTTGGATTAAAGAAAAAAATGATGGCTATATACATCCCTCTAATAGAATTACAGTTCCTCATCAGGTTTGTTCCTGTAGCTCCTCATCCTCATTAATAGCATTTTTGTATAGTCTGTCCTTATATAGCATTAAAACTGCCATCATTAGACTGGTAAAATTTTCTGTGCCTTATACCTGTGACTTTTTGGACTTGAGTAGATTGGACATTCCCTTCAGTGCTCCCCTCACCCCATGAGATTCACTGGAAAGAAAGAAAAAGGAATGAATTTGAAAGAAGGAATTTATCTTTTCTTTTCAAATGGTAGTATAAATATATTTTTGTCTCATTTCCTTTATGAAACCAATCCAAAGCAAACAAGAGAAGAAGAAACAAACAAATGTTATCTTGAATGAAGCTACAGATCCCCTATAACACTGGATAACAGTAGATGCAGGAAGATAACCAAGTGTATGAGAAGTGGATGGAGGTATTTGGGAACTCCAAGAGAAGGTGTCTTTCTATGTGTGACTCAGGCAGAGTGGACCCAGCTCATAGTTATCCAAAGTGGATGGGTGGCACACATTGAAAGGAAATGTGTCTATCCCATGCTTAGAAAGTTAAGATCAAGGTTCATGGCCTGGTTTTGGAAGCCTACATCATGTTTCAATCATGGTATAGGATAGAAGGAAGAGTCAATAAGATATAAGCTACCTGGCCGTCTTTGCCCAAAGCTGTCTGGTGAAGATAAGTCAAGGTGAAATAATCACATTAAAATGTTCTGTAAAATGCACAGCCTCCTTGTGAGCCCGGAAGATATCCTGCTATGCTGGACCAGATAACCCACAGGCCAAGTCCAGCTGAGAAACATCCTAGAGATAACAGACTGAAACCCAATCTTCCCGTTTGTTTGGCACTTTCTTCTTCCCCTTTCCCCAGAGCTTTGCCCAAAATTCTAGTCCAAAAAGATGAGGAACAATGCTACTTAAAAAGGGTGGAGCCAGTGGGGGGCCTTTAAAATGATGCTGAAATAAAAAAGAACAGAACATGATTTACAAAGATGAGAAATGGAAAGATTATATACCACAACGCAGCCAAAAACCATGAACAAAGTTATTTCTAAGGAATCAATTAAAGACACTATTGTTTCTCTGAAATGAGAATTTAAAGAAGCAATATAAGGCTTTAAGGAAGAACTGATAATACATTAGGTTAGACGGGAATGAAAAGTGAGTGGGTAAAGCCTCAGAAATAAATTAGTAATAAATGAGAATGAAAAGGGAGTAGACAGAGTCTTGGAAACAAATTAGAAACAAATGAGAATAAAAACGGAATAGGCAGAGCCTCAGAATCTCAGAGAGAGAGAGACAAAAAGAGACCAAAATCAAAGGTCATGATAGAAGCAGCAAAAGGGAGATGAGACACCACTGAAGGAATTCGAAGGATGGTTTTGAGAAGAAAAAATGAGCATGTGAGATGGAAAAGAACGAAAAGTAAAAGACGGAAGACAGAGATAGAGAAAAAGAGGGGGATGGGAGGGAGTGGTAGGGAAGAGATCAAATATCTATAACACTAAATGCCTTGCATGGGTTAAAAAATGAATGGAACATGAAAACAAATTTTCAAAGATACAATTCAAGGTGAAATTCCTGAAATACAGTGAAATTTGAATCTGCAGACAGAAATAGCCCAAGAATTACAAGGCTGTGTTTATATTGAATAATTAACAAATACCCCAATAAATTCCTGGTATTTGAAGTTATGGAAAGAATTCTGTGGATATTCAGAAAAAAAAAAAACCTAGGAGACTAAGATTTCTTTATGGGACACATGAAATGCTAGAAGACAGTGGGGCAAGATATAAAAAGTCCTGTCCCTTTTGTGTTGCTATAAAGAATACCTGAGGCTGGATAATTTATAAAGGAAAAGGGATGATTTGGCTTATGATTCTGGTGTCTGGAAAGTTCAAAATTGGGCATCTTCATCTGGTGATGGCCACAGTCTGCTCCCATTCATGGCAGTAGAGGAGGGGAAGCCAGCATGTGCAGAGATTACATGAGAGAGGAAGCAAGAGAGAAACCGGGGAGGTGGCCCGCTCTTTTAACAACCAGGTCTTGCAGGAACTAATAGAGGAAGAATTCATTCACCATCAGGAGAGGACATTAATCTATTCAATGGGAGGGATCTGTCCCCATGACCCAAACACCTTGTATTAGGCCCAGCCTCCAATATTGGGGACTAAATTTCAACATGAGCTTTGGAAGGGTCAAATATCCTAACCTTAACAGTCATCAGGGAAAGAAAATATACCCCAAGAATGCAACCAAAAAAACTTCCATAAACTTCAAAGGCTACAAATAGCTATGTACAAACATACAACACAGGAAATATATATTCATGAAGAAAACACATAAGTAAAGGTTCGATCCTCAGCAACTGAGAGGAGCTGTGTCTAAAAGATTTCTTGTAATCTTTAAGGATGCATTATGGTTAAATCTGTGCAAACTATGGTCACAGAGAAGAAAACAAATACCATCAACTGTGACAATGTACAGATAATGTAAGTAACCAATTAAAAATAAAATAGCAAGTGCAGTTGAAACTGAAACTGACATCAAGGGGACACTGATTTTCTCATTTTTAGTTCCAAGATTCCAATATACGTTGTTTTAAAACTTATATCAGGCAAAACTGCATGTACAGCATGTGTATTCATTTCAGAAAAATAATTGCATAAGTGGTTAATGACACCAGGAAACCTAATTTTTGCAGACTATATATATATATTACCTCAAAATAAGAATATTATAGCATTATATTCATTTTAAGAATATTTAGTAGTAAACCCATATGTATCTTATAAAAAGTTATAGTCCTTGTTGACTTTCTGTCTCGTTGATCTGTCTAATGTTGACAGTGGGGTGTTAAAGTCTCCCATTATTAATGTGTGGGAGTCTAAGTCTCTTTGTAGGTCACTCAGGACTTGCTTTATGAATCTGGGTGCTCCTGTACTGGGTGCATATATATTTAGGATAGTTAGCTCTTCTTGTTGAATTGATCCCTTTACCATTATGTAATGGCCTTCTTTGTCTCTTTTGATCTTTGTTGGTTTAAAGTCTGTTTTATCAGAGACTAGGATTGCAACCCCTGCCTTTTTTTGTTTTCCATTTCCTTGGTAGATCTTCCTCCATCCTTTTATTTTGAGCCTATGTGTGTCTCTGCACGTGAGATGGGTTTCCTGAATACAGCACACTGATGGGTCTTGACTCTTTATCCAATTTGCCAGTCTGTGTCTTTTAATTGGAGAATTTAGTCTATTTACATTTAAAGTTAATATTGTTATATGTGAATTTGATCCTGTCATTATGATGTTAGCTGGTTAGCTCGTTAGTTGATGCAGTTTCTTCCTAGTCTCGATGGTCTTTACATTTTGGCATGATTTTGCAGTGGCTGGTACCAGTTGTTCCTTTCCATGTTTAGCGCTTCCTTCAGGAGGTCTTTTAGGGCAGGCCTGGTGGTGACAAAATCTCTCAGTATTTGCTTGTCTCTTAAGTATTTTATTTCTCCTTCACTTATGAAGCTTAGTTGGGCTGGATATGAAATTCTGGGTTGAAAATTCTTTTCTTTAAGAATGTTGAATATTGGCCCCCACTCTCTTCTGGCTTGTAGGGTTTCTGCCAAGAGATCCGCTGTTAGTCTGATGGGCTTCCCTTTGAGGGTAACCCGACCTTTCTCTCTGGCTGCCCTTAACATTTTTTCCTTCATTTCAACTTTGGTGAATCTGACAATTATGTGTCTTGGAGTTGCTCTTCTCGAGGAGTATCTTTGTGGCGTTCTCTGTATTTCCTGAATCTGAACTTTGGCCTGCCTTGCTAGATTGGGGGAGTTCTCCTGGATAATATCCTGCAGAGTGTTTTCCAACTTGGTTCCATTCTCCCCGTCACTTTCAGGTACACCAATCAGACGTAGATTTGGTCTTTTCACATAGTCCCATATTTCTTGGAGGCTTTGCTCATTTCTTTTTATTCTTTTTTCTCTAAACTTCCCTTCTCACTTCATTTCATTCATTTCATCTTCCATTGCTGATACCCTTTCTTCCAGTTGATCGCATTGGCTCCTGAGGCTTCTGCATTCTTCATGTAGTTCTCGAGCCTTGGTTTTCAGCTCCATCAGCTCCTTTAAGCACTTCTCTGTATTGGTTATTCTAGTTATACATTCTTCTAAATTTTTTTCAAAGTTTTCAACTTCTTTGCCTTTGGTTTGAACGTCCTCCCGTAGCTCAGAGTAATTTGATCGTCTGAAGCCTTCTTCTCTCAGCTCGTCAAAGTCATTCTCCATCCAGCTTTGTTCCGTTGCTGGTGAGGAACTGCGTTCCTTTGGAGGAGGAGAGGCGCTCTGTGTTTTAGAGTTTCCAGTTTTTCTGTTTTGTTTTTTCCCCATCTTTGTGGTTTTATCTACTTTTGATCTTTGATGATACTGATGTACAGATGGGTTTTCAGTGTGGATGTCCTTTCTGTTTGTTAGTTTTCCTTCTAACAGACAGGACCCTCAGCTGCAGGTCTGTTGGAATACCCTGCCGTGTGAGGTGTCAGTGTGCCCCTGCTGTGGGGCACCTCCCAGTTAGGCGGCTCGGGGGTCAGGGGTCAGGGACCCACTTGAGGAGGCAGTCTGCCGGTTCTCAGATCACCAGCTGCGTGCTGGGAGAACCAATGCTCTCTTCAAAGCTGTCAGACAGGGACATTTAAGTCTGCAGAGGTTACTGCTGTCTTTTTGTTTGTCTGTGCCCTGCCCCCAGAAGTGGAGCCTACAGAGGCAGGCAGGCCTCCTTGAGCTGTGGTGGGCTCCACCCAGTTCGAGCTTCCTGGCTGCTTTATTTACCTAATCAAGCCAGGAATTGAACTCAGCTCTGCACCAAGTGGACCTAATAGACATCTACAGAACTCTCCACCCCAAATCAACAGAATATACATTTTTTTCAGCACCACACCACACCTATTACAAAATTGACCACATACTTGGAAGTAAAGCTCTCCTCAGCAAATGTAAAAGAACAGAAATTATAACAAACTATCTCTCAGACCACAGTGCAATCAAACTAGAACTCAGGATTAAGAATCTCACTCAAAACCGCTCAACTACATGGAAACTGAACAACCTGCTCCTGAATGACTACTGGGTACATAACGAAATGAAGGCAGAAATAAAGATGTTCTTTGAAACCAATGAGAATGAAGACACAACATACCAGAATCTCTGGGATGCATTCAAAGCAGTGTGTGGAGGGAAATTTATAGCACTAAATGCCCACAAGAGAAAGCAAGAAAGATCCAAAATTGACACCCTAACATCACAATTAAAAGAACTAGAAAGGCAAGAGCAAACACATTCAAAAGCTAGCAGAAGGCAAGAAATAACTAAAATCAGAGCAGAACTGAAGGAAATAGAGACACAAAAAACCCTTCAAAAAATCAATGAATCCAGGAGCTGGTTTTTTGAAAGGATCAACAAAATTGATAGACTCCTAGCAAGACTAATAAAGAAAAAAGAGAGAAGAATCAAATAGACACAATAAAAAATGATAAAGGGGATATCACCACCGATCCCACAGAAATACAAACTACCATCAGACAATACTACAAACACCTCTACGCAAATAAACTAGAAAATCTAGAAGAAATGGATAAATTCCTTGACACATACACTCTCCCAAGACTAAACCAGGAAGAAGTTGAATCTCTGAATAGACCAATAACAGGAGCTGAAATTGTGGCAATAATCAATAGTTTACCAACCAAAAAGAGTCCAGGACCAGATGGATTCACAGCTGAATTCTACCAGAGGTACAAGGAGGAACTGGTACCATTCCTTCTGAAACTATTCCAATCAATAGAAAAAGAGAGACTCCTCCCTAACTCATTTTATAAGGCCAGCATCATTCTGATACCAAAGCCGGGCAGAGACACAACCAAAAAAGAGAATTTTAGACCAATATCCTTGATCAACATTGATGCAAAAATCCTCAATAAAATACTGGCAAACCAAATCCAGCAGCACATCAAAAAGCTTATCCACCATGATCAAGTGGGCTTCATCCCTGGGATACAAGGCTGGTTCAATATATGCAAATCAATAAATGTAATCCAGCATATAAACAGAACCAAAGACAAGAACCACATGATTATCTCAATAGATGCAGAAAAAGCCTTTGACAAAATTCAACAGCCCTTCATGCTAAAAAATCTCCATAAATTAGGTATTGATGGGACATATCTCAAAATAATAAGAGCTATCTATGAGAAACCCACAGCCAATATCATACTGAATGGGCAAAAACTGGAAGCATTCCCTTTGAAAACTGGCACAAGACAGGGATGCCCTCTCTCACCACTCCTATTCAACATAGTGTTGGAAGTTCTGGCCAGGGCAATTAGGCAGGAGAAGGAAATAAAGGGTATTCAATTAGGAAAAGAGGAATTCAAATTGTCCCTGTTTGCAGACGACATGATTGTATCTCTAGAAAACCCCATTGTCTCAGCCCAAAATCTCCTTAAGCTGATAAGCAACTTCAGCAAAGTCTCAGGATTCAAAATCAATGTACAAAAATCACAAGCATTCTTATACACCAACAACAGACAAACAGAGAGCCAAATCATGAGTGAAATCCCATTCACAATTGCTTCAAAGAGAATAAAATACCTAGGAATCCAACTTACAAGGGATGTGAAGGACCTCTTCAAGGAGAACTACAAACCACTGCTTGGGGAAATAAAAGAGGATACAAACAAATGGAAGAATATTCCACGCTCATGGGTAGGAAGAATCAATATCGTGAAAATGGCCATACTGCCCAAGGTAATTTATAGATTCAATGCCATTCCAATCAAGCTACCAATGACTTTCTTCACAGAATTGGAAAAAACTACTTTAAAGTTCATATGGAACCAAAAAAGAGCCCACATCGCCAAGTCAATCCTAAGCCAAAAGAACAAAGCTGGAGGCATCACACTACCTGACTTCAAACTATACTACAAGGCTACAGTAACCAAAACAGCATGGTACTGGTACCAAAACAGAGATATAGATCAATGGAACAGAACAGAGCCCTCAGAAATAACGCTGCTTATCTACAACTATCTGATCTTTGACAAACCTGAGAAAAACAAGCAATGGGGAAAGGATTCCCTATTTAATAAATGGTGCTGGGAAAACTGGCTAGCCATATGTAGAAAGCTGAAACTGGATCCCTTCCTTACACTTTATACAAAAATCAATTCAAGATGGATTAAAGACTTACATGTTAGACCTAAAACTATAAAAACCCTAGAAGAAAACCTAGGCATTACCATTCAGGACATAGGCATGGGCAAGGACTTCATGTATAAAACACCAAAAGCAATGGCAGCAAAAGACAAAATTGACAAATGGGATCTAATTAAACTAAAGAGCTTCTGCACAGCAAAAGAAACTACCATCAGAGTGAACAGGCAACCTACAAAGTGGGAGAAAATTTTCACAACCTACTCATCTGACAAAGGGCTGATATCCAGAATCTACAATGAACTCAAACAAATTTACAAGAAAAAAACAAACAACCCCATCAAAAAGTGGGCGAAGGACATGAACAGACACTTCTCAAAAGCAGACATTTATGCAGCCAAAAAACACATGAAAAAATGCTCATCATCACTGGCCATCAGAGAAATGCAAATCAAAACCACAATAAGATACCATCTTACACCAGTTAGAATGGCAATCATTAAAAAGTCAGGAAACAACAGGTGCAGGAGAGGATGTGGAGAAATAGGAAGACTTTTACACTGTTGGTGGGACTGTAAACTAGTTCAACCATTGTGAAAGTCAGTGTGGCGATTCCTCAGGGATCTAGAAGTAGAAATACCATTTGACCCAGCCATCCCATTACTGGGTATATACCCAAAGGACTATAAATCATGCTGCTATAAAGACACATGCACAGGTATGTTTATTGCGGCACTATTCACAATAGCAAAGACTTGGAACCAACCCAAATGTCCAACAATGATAGACTGGATTAAGAAAATGTGGCACATATACACCATGGAATACTATGCAGCCATAAAAAATGATGAGTTCATGTCCTTTGTAGGGACATGGATGAAATTGGAAATCATCATTCTCAGTAAACTATCACAAGAACAAAAAACCAAACACCACATACTCTCACTCATAGGTGGGAATTGAACAAAGAGATCACATGGACACAGGAAGGGGAATATCACACTCTGGGGACTGTTGTGGGGTAGGGGGAGGGGGGAGGGATAGCATTAGGAGATATACCTAATGCTAGATGACGAGTTAGTGGGTGCAGCGCACCAGCATGGCACATGTATACATATGTAACTAACCTGCACAATGTGCACATGTACCCTAAAACTTAAAGTATAATAAAATAAATAAATAAAAAAATAAATCCAAAAAAAAAAAGAAAAACAATTTTTTTTTGGTTTAGCATCCTTTGAAACTTCATCATCCATAATAAAGCCCTTGTGTACCTATTAGACTTTGGAATTTGTATAGTTTTCTTGGGGTTTCAAAGAATAAGATAATCGGTAATGAATGATGAAAATCCCCACAATCCTTTTACATTAGGCAGCAGCATGATGACCTTCATTTAATAGAGGACAGAGATTAAAGGACTAATCCTGAAGTCTGTCTGTGTCATCAGTCGTGGAGCTGGCAGCAGGATTTGGACTTCTGTGCATGTTTTGGTGCCAAATGATTTGCCTGCACAGGAAATACGAGGAATGATTTAAGCTAAGTCCCCACTTGCAGTGCTCATATGGCTGGATCTGGTGAAATTATCAGGGGAGAAGTAGCAAAGTGGCATCTTCAGAGATGCCTCATCACTCAATATAACTGAGTAGACAAAGGGAGTTCACTGAGCTATATTGTCCCAACACACCACTTGTGTCATGCACTCTGTGTGTGTGTCAGAAACTGCTGGTGTTTTACTTATATTGCATCATTTAACCCTAACTGTGATGACTTGGGGGAAACCAGCTCAAGTTCCACATAGAACTGATATTTACAGGGTTTTTGAATAAACATAGAAATTGACCCATCTGGTCTTAAAACTTGAAACTTAACATTTGTCAGTCATCTGAGTTAGGAAACAGACCTTCAGGCAAGAGACTGAAATTCACCAAATCACCATCAGACAATGAGACACCAGACCCCTCATTTATCATGATTGCTTCCTTACCCCTCCTTAATTGCTGTTTTCCCTGCAGGTAGCTACCTCCCTTCCCAGCTATATAAACCCTCCAATTTGAGTCGGCTGGAGAGATGAATTTAAGACTGATCTCCCACCTCCTTGGCTGCAGCACCCAAATAAAGCCTTCTTCCCTGGCAATGCTCATTGTCTCAGTGGTTGGCTTTCTGTGCAGTGAGCAAAGGGACCTAGACCCAACCCCTGGTGTTTCAGTAGCATGGGAAAACCAAGGCATGTTTTTATCTCACAGAGCTAGGATTTGAACCTCAGATTCTGGACCTAGTGTCTTCTTGCCTGGCCACTGTGCCATTGTCTATTTTTCTGCTTACTTGCTCCTTGAAGGTGATTCTGCATGTTAGAATCACCTTCTTCCAGTGGAAAGTCTCCCTCTCCACCTATTCTTGTGTCAGTCTCATGTGTAGCCTGCTCACTGTCATCAGGCTGAAATTCTTTAGCAGAGAGCAGTCACACCATGTTCTTGCTCCTGGACCCTTTGTGGCTTCTGGTGAAATTCACACTGAATTTTGGAAAAGGCATTCAACCCCAGCCATGATTGAAACCAAACACACATTCTAGTACCTCATACAACTTCTTGTGAAATCAATGGCCCAGTATTAGTGAAACATCACTGGTATTCAAAGATTGCCTTCTCTACCTAAACAACAGCAAAAAAAAATTCAACCCAATTTAAAAAAATAGGCAGATGACCTGAATAAACATTTCTCCAAAGAAGATGTACAAATGGCCAGCAAGCATAGAAAATATTGATCAGTATCACTAATCATTAAGGAAATGAAAATGTAAACCACAATGAAATTATACCTTATGCCAATTTAAATGGCTACTCTCAAGTACAAAGCAAAAGCCCCAGAAAATAGTAAGTGTTAAGGAGACTGTGGAAAAATTGGAACCCCTGTGCACTATTCATAAGAATTAAGATGGTGCAGCCACTGTGAAAAACATTATGGTGGTTCCTCAGAAAACTAAAACTACAGGTACTGTATGACTTGGCCATTCCACTCCTGGGTATAAACCCAAAATAATTGAAAGCAGAGACCCAAACAGATATTGGTACCTCCATGTTTATAGCAGCATTATTTACAATAGCCAAAATGTGAAGGCAAACCAAGTGTCCATGGATAGATGAATGGATAAACAAAATTTGGTCCATCCGTACAACGAAATATTATTCAGCCTTCAAAAGGAAAAAATTCTCACATATGTTACAACATGGATGAACCTTGAGGACATTATGCTAAGTGAAATAAGCCAGTCACAAAAAGATACACAGTGTATGATCTCATTTATATAAGTCCCTAGAGCAGTCAAAATCATAGAGACACTGGAATAGTGGTTACCTGGGGTGGGGAGGAGGAAGAATGAGGAGTTAATGTTTCATGGATATGAATTTTCCCTGTTACACGATGAAAAATACTCTCTGAAGATGGTTGCCGCGGATGGTTGCACAGTGCAAATGTACTTCTCAACTGTGCACTTAAAAATTTTTAAGATGGGGTCAGGTGCAGTGGCTCATACCTGTAGTCCCAGCACTTTGGGGCTAAGGCAGGAGGATCATTTGAGTCCAGCAGTTCGAGACCAGCCTGGGCAACATAGGAAGACCTTGTCACTCCCAAAAATATAAAAATTAGCTGGGCATGGTGGTATATGTTTGTGGTCCCAGCTACTCAGGAGGATGATGTACAAGGATTGCTTGAGCCCAGGAGGTGGAGGATACAGAAAGCCATGATTGAGCTACTGCACTCCAGCCTGGGCAACAGAGCCAGACACTGTCTCCAAAATAATAATAATAATATGGCAAATATTGATGTGTATTTTATACCACCATTAAAAAATTAAAACTGCTCACCCTTGCCTCACTTCTGTACCTCTGCTCACTTTCACTCTTCCTGCTTCCATATCCTTGCTTTTAAATTCTACCAACTTTTTAAGGTCTAGTCCAACATGACCTCCTCCATAAAACAGTCCTTCTTGCAAACTGTGGAATGGAACTCTACCTTCTCTGAACAGCAATCAGTTTACTTAGGTTTTGATAGCCCTTGACTCACAAGTCCATACTTAGCGCTGCTCCAGGCAGGTCACACCACCACCCCTAGTGGCCCCCACAAGACTGTGAGTTCCCTAGGGGTAGAAGTCATATTTCCAGCCTCTCTTCATCTGCCGATTGACTTATACATACATAATAAGCATTCGAGTTGAAGAATTTGATAGTTATTTTCCTTTTTGTCAGAACTTTAGGGAAGATACTGGAATTGTCTCCTGTGCTTCTAAGGCTTTGCATTCTTTCATCATTGGACTATATATGGTTTCTCAGATAGCAATTTACATTTTGCAGAAAGACCTCAAACTCGCCTAAAGCTCTTTGAATGAATCCAGATAAGCTGTTTCCTAAAGAAAGAACCTCCTGACTTCCTAATACTCCTTGCATACCCTAATCTTTAAACAATGTTTCTAGCAATAATTCCATTTTCCACATATGTAGCAGAAGATCTGAGTATCATCTAAAGATAAAATCACTATTTTTCAAATTTTATTAGGTTTCTGCTTAATGGAGAATTATTGCTGTCAGTACATCAGATCTAAACATATGGTCATTTAAAGGAATAAAAGGGAAACCTTTCATTATGATCTCTATGTTGTGGTAAGTTGCATATGTTTGTATAGAAAATTTTGGAAAATGAGCAAACTGTTTGGGTTGGATCAACTATTTCATATCAGTCTTTGTTTGTAAGCCACGTTATTGTTAAGGAGTCAGTCAGAACCACCCATTTTGGTAATTTTACCTGGCTCATACTTGGCAGACCTGGCTGTGAGCAGGGTTTAAAATTGGCTTACTATATGGAATTATTTTTAGGACACCTTCAATGCACTCTACACTGAGCTAAAACAAAAAAAATATGAGGCTTAGCTCCTGACTCTGGACAATCTAAATCTACATTTGTTACATCCAAAGCAAATAATTTCATTTATTTATTTATTATTACATAAGGAGTTCATTCTTATTATAAAAAGCATGAAACCGGCAGGAGAGGTGGCTCACACCTGTAATCCCTGCACTTTGGGAAGCCAAGGCAGTGAATAACTTAAGTCTAGGAGTTCAAAACAAGCCTCAACAACATGGTAAAAGCCCATCTCTACAAAAAATACAAACATTAAGCATGCATGGTGGTGTGTGCCTGTAGTCCCAGCTACTCAGGAGAGTGAGGTGGGAGGACTGCTTGAGCCTGGGAGGCACAGGTTGCAGTGAGCTGAGATTGTGCCACTGCACACCAGCCTAGGCAACAGAGTGAGACCCTATCTCAAAAAATAATTGGCTAAAACCCTTGCTGTCTTTATTATTTATTCCTTCTCCTCTTTTTTTTTCCATGACAGCTGCTTCAGGATAAGAAAGTTCTTTTGGTCTCTCAGTTGGGGCCACTGTCAGCATCATGACTAGAGTACTGGCTGGAGTTACTCCCTTTCTTATACCAAACTCTTATCAGAGTTTTAGCAATAGTCATTTTACATGTTGGTCATTCACAGATAGTTGTTTTGATTCTTCCTGAAACATTTGCAATCAGCTACAGTCCAAAATTGCTTCTATTTCAAAAGATTTATGGAAAAGATACTGACAAGTACTCTTGCATACAAGTTTCTGAGCAGTTCAAGATTATATCACTGGACCATCTATAGACTTTCAAAACTTTAACAAACAGGATGATGCCTTCATGAAATGTGCCAACCTAGACCAAGCAGAACAAAAATACTTTCATTGAAATAAATGATAATGTGGATAATGTTTTTATAATTTTTATTTGAAAATTTGATGATTCTTTAAATGATTTTTTCCAGATTTATGGAATTTTTCTTCTTTTAAGCTAGTTATATCTAAAGAAATTTGGTAAAGTATACTTTTGGAAACAATAATTGAAGCTCATTGATTTTTGCTCTTTACCTAACTGTCCCAGGACTGGGAAACTATTCATGAGTATTCATATGATTATGATGATACAGCTATTTGCACAAGTTTAGTAAGAATCTTCTCTTTACAAAAGGACACATTTCAAAACATTGGTTATATTACCAAGGCTTTGACTAAGATGTTATATTTGAGAATATACATAGAATGGACACATATGTACTGCAGGCAAAGTCTGAAGATGGCTTTCATTCGGCTTCCTCATCTCAAGAGGTTCGTAAAAGTTTAATCTGAGACTACTTATAAAAACTAGCGAACCAAACTTTAGGAAGAGCCTCTGTGGTCCACTGCTACTCTTGATGCGCTTATGTAAAGAATCCTGGCAAAGTTTGATAAGACTAAACCTACTTTGTAAACAAATTTGTCCTACTGGGATTTTCTTTGGTAAAAATAGATATGCCTATAGAGAGAAAAATAATGTTGAAAATAAAAAGTGTAGTATACCTGCTATGAAATTGCAGCTCTGTTCATTGTTTTCGAGTTTTTATTATTCACCGGTAGACTGGACTAGACCCTGAATTCTTCTAGTTCCTCCCATCCAGTTTTTTCTTATTGAATCAGTAAGAACAAAATCTGCTCTGTTACTGAAGTCCTATAAGTTGGAGGTGGAAAGCTCAATGTAAATTTCACAGGAAAACCCTCGTGCCTGAAGAATGAGTCACTCGGAGCTCACCAATATGTTTGACACCATAACTACAGACACTCAAACTGAAAACCAGGGTAAGAAGTTGACAACTTCATACTGTCAAAAGCTTTTCCCAAGTTGTCAGAACAAGTCTTCACATCAAAATCAGGCTCTTACCCCTCTTAATTTGTCCATGCTTATGCCTGCCTCTTTCATTTGGCAGGATGATGGTATCATTAGAATCTCATGTGAAGTAGCTTCTGAGAGTAGCATAACAGAGTGACAGATATATCATGTCACCCTCAAATTTTTACATAAGATATCATTTAGTCCACCCAATGGCTGACATTAGCACCATCTTTAACACAATTGTTTCTTCAAATGTACAGTGGCCCCTTTTAAAGTTACATTTTCAGACTCACTTGTTCTCACTCCCTGTTTTAATTTAATGAGCCGTCGAATGCTACATAATAAAATTGTTCCCTACCAGCTGAACAGGGAGGAGCCTGTGCAGTTTCTGACACTGATTGTTGCACATAAACAAATACATCGAGTATCATAATGACTCAATCACAGAAGTTACCAAACATACTACTTGGTTAAAATTGCTAGACTCTTCTGGCTCATTCTTTGATCTATTCTATTTTACTTGGTTTGCATCTTGCCTAAAGTGCATACTCCAAACTTTTGGTATTATCCTCCTAATAGTCATACTAGTAGCCTCTCTGGTGTGATAAATTCTACAGGTTTTTAAATTCTACATTTTGGTGTGGTGAATTCTACAAGAGTTTTTAAAAAGTTTTGTGTGCAGCCATCAACAAATACCAAAGGGTCTCTCTTTGGCTGAAATGACAAAAACTCAAAGAAATGTGTGATCAGGAAGACATCATAAACTCATAAATGATGGAAGCCCAAAATGATGGTTACTGAGATGAATGCCAATGCTTTAAATTTTGGTCACACTCTCACCTAAGTGAGAGCCTAGAGACTCCAAAATAGAACGACTCATGCTAAATGCTACAGTCTACAACTGAAGTTTTAATGAAGCAAAGAGATACCAGAACAGACCTTTGTTTTTTGTTGAAAACAGGAGATTCCACTCTACCTGAGACAGCATAATAAAAGTTTCCTCTGCTTTAACTTTTACAGAAAAGAGACCTGAAGTACCCTAATGTTAACCAATTTATTTATTTATATGGCTTTGTTTACTGGTTCCCACTTGACAAAACCCACTGTTTTGTTATTGTATAGCCCAGGGAGGGCTGTCACTATATTTGTAGAGTGAGAGCTGCCTCAAATAATAAATGAAAAATAAAATCTATAACTACATTAGTTGTAATTTTGTCTTTTGATGCATGCTCACACCCAGCATTGGCCAGTGGAGTTTCACAGGCTCATCATTCTCACACTGATGCCCCTGCTTTTCTTTGTCACTTACAAGGACACTTCTGATTACAATGGGCCCACCCAGATAATCTAGAATAACATCTACATCTTAAGATTTTAATTTTATCACCCCTGCACTGTGTTTTTACCAAGAAAAGTAAATGCACAGGTTCTGGAGCTAGGGTGCAAACATTTTAGGAGTCCATTATTCTGCAAACACAGGTAACTTTCATAAATGTCACCCACAGCAAAAACTTGCTTTGCCTTCCATGTCTCACTTTTCTGTCTGTGCGCAAATGTCAAGGTGAAACACACAAACTCTATGAAGTAGCTGGATGACTCTAGACCACTCATTTGAGCTCCCTCAGCCTCTTTTCTCATCTTCAGCAGAAGGGTGACCCTTTGAGCATCAGAAAATGAAAGTGGAAGAGTAAATCAAAAGTGTAAGATATTAGTCACAGAGCAAGGTACCAGATGAGCCCTTGGGTGAACTTTTTTTTTTTTTTTTTTGAGATGGAGTCTCACTCTGTCACCCAGGCTGGAGTGCAATGCTGCATTCTCAGGTCACTGCAACCTCCGCATCCCAAGTTCAAGTGATTCTCCTGCCTTCAGCCTCCTGAGTAGCTGGGATTACAGGTGCATGCCACCACGCCCGGCTAATTTTTGTATTTTTAGTAGAGATGGGGTTTCACCATGTTACTCAGGCTGGTCTCAAACTCCTGACCTCGTGATCTGCCCGCCTCGGCCTCCCAAAGTGCTGGGATTACAGGTGTGAGCCACCATGCCCAGCCGGTAAACATTTTTATCAGACCTTTCCTTTCACCATTCCATTTCTGTCACCCTCACCCATCTTCTCCTCTGACTTTTTTCTCTTCAGTGACTTACTTGGTCTAATACGCTGTTTAGCATCAAAAGCCACACTACAAATTCT
Source organism: Homo sapiens (assembly GCF_000001405.40). Classification (NCBI taxonomy): domain Eukaryota; kingdom Metazoa; phylum Chordata; class Mammalia; order Primates; family Hominidae; genus Homo; species Homo sapiens. Next base: position 42,797,719 of record NC_000019.10, on the reverse strand, counting down.
TTTGTGACTCTCTTAGAATGTTCCTGTGATGCCCAGAACCTTGGAAGCCTAAGCCTTACATCAGTGTGCCCTGAATATGAGATATGGGGTCAATGGAGATTATTTTGGAGCTTTAAGTTTTAAAGACTGTGCTGCAAGGTTTCAGACTTTCATGGGGCATGTATCCTATTTCTTTCAGCCTATTTCTTCCCTTTGGAATGGGAGTATTTACCCAATGCCTAGATCTCCCTTGTGTCTTGAAAGTAACTAACTTGTTTTTGAATTCACAGACTCATAGGTGAAAGGAACTTGCCTTGTCTCAGATGAAACTTGCTATTTTGGGCTTTTGAGTTAATGCTGGAATGAGTTAAGACTCTAGAGATGGTTGGGAAGCCATTCTTATATTATTAAATATGAGAAAGGCATGAGATTTGGGAGGGAAGATGGAGAGAATAATAATTTTTTGGACCTTTACCCCCACCCAAATCTCATGTCAAATTGTAATCTCCAAAGTTGGAGGTGGAGCCTGGTTGGATGTGATTGGATCATGGAGGTGGTTTCTCATATGTTAACACCATTCTCCTTGGTGCTGTTGTAGCAACAGTGAGTTTTTATCTGGTTGTTTACCAGTGTGCAACCCTTGCTCTCTTCCTCCAGCTCCCATTATATAAGATGTCTTCCTCCACCATTGGCTTTCTCCGTGATTGTAAGTTTTCTGAGGCCTCCTCAAAAGCTGAGCAGATGCCAGAATCATGCTTACTCTACAACCTGCTGAATCATGAGACCATTCAAACTTTTTTCTTTATAAATTATTCAGGTTCATTTATTTGTCTGTAGCAATGTAAAAACAGACTTATACAGCCTTATTTTCAGTAGAAAAAAACTAGGGAGTAAATCATTCTAACTATGTACCAGATGCAAAGCCCAAGACAAAGAACAGAGCTATGAAGAAAATGCCTGGATAATCTCACCTCTCCCAGCATGGCCAAAAGGCACAGCCAGAGGCTGGGATGGGTTTTGTCCCCAGTTCTTACTATGGTCACTCATCTAGAACTCAGAATTTAAAGCTTCAAATATAAAGACATAAGCTCACAGACAAATTAAGAAAATGTATATATATGGAAGCAACTGTTTGATGACCTTAAAACATCTAGTAAAGACAATATAAACCTGCCTGCCAACAGACCTAGGCAAAAACGTATAAATTAAATTATGAAGACGTTTATACTTTATTTTCCAACAATTTTAAAACTATCTATATTCACCAAAGGTTATTAAAATCACATGTATAGAAAAGCATTTTGGCTTATTCACTTAATTTGTGAGTACTCATTTATTTTTACATTAATTTGAAACTATGTGTCAACAGTATATAAATGTGTGACATATACATATATGTGATAAAACATATAACATATACATGTTCACATAAAGATAGAGAGAGACAAAAGGATTTTAGAATTTTGATTTTAGGACTTTAGGCATGAGATCAGTAAAACCCACCAGTTTAAAGGATAGTTGGATTCAAATTGCTTTCTTGTAAATGGTAAAGGTTAACGTTTATCTGAGGAAGGCTTTACCGAGTTTTAGAGAAAATAAATAGCACATTTACATCTCAAAGCAAAGAGAGAGAGAGAGAGAACTTAAGCTTTTTCAAGAAAAAATTTGGTGTGTTCAAGGAAGATTAAAAAGAGATGCCAAGGTAACACAAAAATAATAGAAATTTACCACGGGGTTTTATTTATTTATTTTTTAGTATACTTTAAGTTTTAGGGTACATGTGCACAACGGGCAGGTTAGTTACATATGTATACATGTGCCATGTTGGTGTGCTGCACCCATTAACTCGTCATTTAACATTAGGTATATCTCCTAATGCTATCCCTCCCCTCTCTTCCCACCCCACAACAGGCCCTGGTGTGTGATGTTCCCCTTCCTGTGTCCATGTGGTCTCACTGTTCAATTCCCACCTATGAGTGAGAACATGCGGTGTTTGATTTTTTGTCCTTGCGATGGTTTGCTGAGAATGATGGTTTCCAGCTTCATCCATGTCCCTACAAAGGACAGGAAGTCATCATTTTTATGGCTGCATAGTGTTCCATGGTGTATATGTGCCACATTTTCTTAATCCAGTCTACCATTGTTGGACATTTGAGTTGGCTCCAAGTCTTTGCTATTGTGAATAGTGCCGCAATAAACATATGTGTGCATGTGTCTTTATAGCAGCATGATTTATAATCCTTTGGGTATATACCCAGTAATGGGATGGCTGGGTCAAATGGTATTTCTACTTCTAGATCCCTGAGGAATCGCCACACTGACTTCCACAATGGTTGAATTAGTTTACACTCCCACCAACACTGTAAAAGTGTTCCTATTTCTCCATATCCTCTCCAGCACCTGTTGTTTATTTAGAGATGTAGCTTTTAATTTGGTCTCTTTTCTTCAACTGAATCACTGTGCTCAAGGTAGAGCCCATTAAGGAAGAGGGCCAACAAAGTCTTTGCAATTTTTAGATTCTAATCATTTAAATATGTAAAAAAGGGCACCAGTTGGAAGGGACAACATTTAGACATTAAAAATCAAGGATTTCACTGAATCCCAGGTCCCCAAGAAGAGGACAATGCAGTGGGGACCATACTGTGCAACACTTCCACAGAGTACTTTGCTACAAAGGCATTTCCCTAATTGTTTAAACTGTGTCTTTTGCATCTAAACATGCAAGGAAATGAGTAGCCCTCTGAAGCCAGAATAATTTATTATAATCACTGTTAGTCACTTTCAAAACCATAGCTCTTACCACTGACCCAGCAACCATTACACACACAAGGTCAAATATTTTTACAGTTCAAAGTAATGTAAAAGGCAAAGAGGTCAGGTAACACAATGGAGAAAAGAGCAGAGTTTTAGACCTGAGAGAAATCCGTTCACTTGCAACTCTTGGGGCTCCATGACAAAAAAACTATGGTTACTTTCCTACAGGAGAGTCTGTGTCTTCTTTTCTGTTTTCCTAAAGGGGTCCTAATACAGGAGTTATTGAGAAATTATTTTTAGGCAGCTAGAAAGGGTAAAAGAATTCTTGGTGGAATTTTCCTTTAATAAAACGCAGCCCCCAAACCATTTCTAACAGAAAACAGACTGAATGATCAGGCTGCAAGCATAGATAAGCATATACAGATGCAGGCAACTAAGAGCCAGGTACTCCCAATATGGCAGTTCCTGCACTTTTTTCCTTGTCACCATATGTGCAGGTGTCATGATGACCACCAGGTAGAAGCCACAATGGCATAATAAAAGATTAAGGTGGGAGGGCCAGTCTTTTCTCGGGCTACGTAAACAGCACACCTGGTCAAAACAATACCCTGGACCCTATGTAAATCAATCACTGCCTCCTCAAGTCTCTGTACAAAATCAATTGCATTCCACCACAAATTGGAGACCCTCTCTCGGGTGACTGCTTTCTCAGTATGAGAAAGCTTTTTCTCTCTCTCTTCTTTATTGTCTGTTAAATTTTTCACTCCTAAACCCACTCCTCACGTGTTTCCATGTCCCGAATTCTTTCTCAGTGTGTGACAAAGAACCATGAATAGATTCCCAAACAGAGCCATTTTATTTGGGAGTTCTCATCTGGGATTGTGATCAGAACAGAAGATAGAAACATCAGAATGGTGAGTATGGAGCAAACCTCAAATCTGTCCTTTAATTTCAAGGTTCTCTTCAAACTAGTTTCCTTTCATGGAGAACCTCACCATCACATGACGCTGGGGGATGTCATGGAGCAGCTGAGAATTTCTGGCCAGGAAACACCCTGATGTTATTCAAAGGCTTCTGGACTGAACACAGCTTCCGGCAGCTCATCCAGATGTTGGTAATGGGTCTCCTAATTTGCTATCCTGTTGCAAATTTGTTCTTCCTTTCTATCCATGGTCTCTATGTCTCCTGTTCTTTTTGTGTTTGCAATATGTGGAAATTTTTACGGTTCAGGGAAACAGTTCTGTTAGGAAAGATCGGTACATGGTATAATAACTAACCCAATAGGTCCCTCCCTCTCTCTTTCTCTCTCTCTCTCCTTCCTTTGGTAAGCACTTGGTATTTCTAAGCCAACAGTGTCACCTAGTGGAAACATAAATCCTCCTTATGAGGCACATTGTTGGTCCTTTGCCATAACACTGCACTTTTCCAATTCTCTCTTTTTGCACTGATAGAAAAGCCCTTTCTGTGAATGGGAAAGCTCTGCTTTCAACAGTTAGGAGTAAAATGTCTTCCATAGCCAAATTTTAGTTCCGATACTGTCCCATCAGCAGGAAAAACTGCCATTAGGTCCCTACGTTCATTTAAGGTACTTATTCTATCTCCAATTAGAACAGTATTTAATTAGTAAGGACATTTTAAGAACAGAGTCAACCAGGACCACTTTTCTGAGGGTAAGTGTTTTAGCATGGGCCATAACTGGCAACTGGCACATTCCCTCTCTTAAAGAAAGCTTGCTCAAAGGCAACTATTACAATTTCACCAGAGATCCATTTTTCAGGAGGCCAGGCAGATCACAGGCAGATAAGCTAAGGCTGCATGGGTAAAGTGTGGCTAATGTCATCACTTCATTTATCCAGTTCCATGGCTTAGAGGGCCACACCTACAACCATGGGTGGCAAATTTAACACAGTGCCAGGACTCAGGAACCAAGGAGAGAAAACAGTTGGGGGGATGCTCCCACTGTCTTCCACATGACTCTGGGTAACAATGAAAGAAGGGGGACTATAAGGACACTTTTATTCTCACTTCTTTTTCTCGATGGCTAACAGAGCATCTTCAGTTTGCACCCCTCTGGAGTGCACTCTGAGGCACTAGAACTCTTTTAACCTCAGGACTTTGAAGAGAAAAGCAACTCATTCTATTTTGCACAATGACAGGGCATTTTTACTAAAACTTTAGAAGCATTGTAACAGCAACCCAGATTTTTTTAACAGCCATATCAGGAAGGCCTATAAAGAATAATCCCCTAGAATTAGAAAAGCAACTTCCCAGGGAACCATCTGAGAAGAATCCCCATAATTTGGGGTCCCTCCAAGTTCCCTTCTCATTACAGGACCTTAGGCAAATAAAGTAAGACTTAGGCTGATTTTCAGACAATCCTGATAGGTATATAGAAGCTTTCCAGAATTTAAGTCAGGTGTTTCACCTCACATGGAAGGATGTTATGCTGCTCCTAAACCAAACCCTAACTGTAACTGAAAAACAGCCAGCTCTACAAGCACCAGAGAATTTTGAAGATGAGCAACATATCTCCTATAATACACCAAAAGGGAAGGAAGGAGATACAGAAAGTGAAGAAATAGCAGAAACACCATTCCAAATAAGAAGTGAAGCAGTACCTCTTGGCAACCCTGATTGAAGCCCCAATAGCTCAGCAGATGAATGGAAAAGAAAAACTAAGGCCAGACCTCTTAATTCCTCTAAACTGTCTATGATAGACTCAAAGCCAGAGGAGAATCCTGCAGCCTTTATGGATAGGTTAAGAGGGGCACTATTAGCACACACCTTTTTATCTCCTGATTCACTCAAGTGACAGCCCATTCAAAAAGATAAGTTTATTATACAGAATGCTCCCAATATTAGAAGGAACCTACAAAAGGCAAGCTATAGTAGCACATAGCACCTTGGAAAACCTTCTGAGGGTAGCCACTTCAGTCTTTTATAATAGGGACCAGGAGAAGGCCCAGAAGAAAGAGAGAAAGCTCAAGAGAAGGACAAAGCCTCTAATAGCTACTTTGCAGAGTTGCAAAGTCCAGGATCCCAGAGGTGTATCCACTAGTTGCTCTCGGTGTGGCAAGCCAGGGCATTTTTAGGAAGGAGTGTCCAAACAGCAAGAGGAAGCCACCTTGACAATGACCAGCCTGTGGTGGAGACCACTGGAGATGCAACTGCTCCCAGAGTTGGAGGTCACTGGGTTCAGTACCAGTCTCACAGTGGTCCAGCAAGACTGATGGGTCCTGGGGCTCAAACCCCTGGCTCCAGCAGCTCAAACTGCCATTACAGCACAGGAGACACAGGTCATTCTGGAAATTATAGGGAGGAAAGTAGACCTCCTTCTAAACACTAGATCTAGTCTCTCTCTTTTCTCCTTTCTTATCCAGGCCTCCCCTCTTCCCATAGCACAACCATAAGGGGTGTCTCAGGAAAAATTCTAATCCAATATTTTTCTCAACCTCTTATTTGCCATTAGGAGGACCTATTGTTTACATCTGCTTCCAAACCACTGTCACAATAGCTCTACTAGTCAGAAAAGCCTCCAAATTAACCCTAGGAAAGAACGGTTTACATCCCCACTTAATGTGGCAAAATTACTTTCCTCTAGAGGGAGCTCTTAGCTAACAAACAGCTGGTAAAGCAAGAAATATATATGGCAGGATAAGCAGTAGTCACTCTAAATAACATCTCCCTTCAGGTGCAGGTGCTCAATCAGCTAAACAAATGGTTCTTACAAGAGCACTTAAATTAAGCAAGGGAAAGGTAGCTAACATTTACACTGATTCCAAGTATGCTTTTTGAGTTCTTCATGCTCATGCTGCCATTTAAAATAAAAGGCATTTTCTTACCACTAATGGATTTCCTGTAAAATATCACCAAAAAATTAACAGGTTATTATCCTCAGTTTTCTTCCATGAGAAATAGCAGTGATACATTATAGGGAACATCAAAAGGGGAACAGATGATGTAGCCAAAGGAAATAGGTTCACTGATCAGGCAGCTAAGTCACTGGCAAGGCATCAACACACCTCAAAGCCTTCTAATCTAGGAAGACTCCATAAGATAAATTAAACCTCAGTACCTTCCTGCAGAAATAAAATAGGCCCCTTCTCAGGGTATTCTTTCCAGTCCTCAGAATGGCTGCAGTCAGAGGATAGCAAACTCCATTTGCCAGCCTTCAGCCAATGGGAAGTCCTTAAAATCTTTCACCAAGCTTTTCACCTAGAAAAGGATAAAACTTATCAGTGTGCTCACAGATTATTTTCATATAGAAAATCTCTACATTGGTTAAGCATGTAACCTCTCTACCTCACTTCCAACAGGAACTGACACATCTAGCAAAAGCCCAACCCCAGGAAATAGGACCACCCTTATTTAACCCAGATTTGGTATTAGCAGAAACTCTCTTCTCTCTCTCTCTCCCCTTAAGTGGTTAAAATGGCACATTTTATATATACACACACACACACACACACACATATATATACCCATATACATATATATACATATACATATATACATATACATATATACACATATACATATATGTGTATATTTATAGAAATGTATCTGTATATTAAATTTATATAAATAGTCAAATCTAATGAATATAAGTATGTATGTGTTTCTATATACACACTCAACCACAATTTGGTGAAAAAAAAAAACCCACTATGTAAAACACACCCATCCTAATCAGAGAGCCCTCATATACTTCCATGCAGACCTCTCATGACATTATCTGCAGACAGGTTCAAGAAGTTAGGGACATGAAACAGTCCAGGAAACAGCACATGCACAACATAAATGTATTTGCAGAGACTGAGAACTAACCTGGAGGCAGGAACCTCAGTACTGCCAGGACACATACCCTCCCTCCATGGATTCTGACTTTATCTGACCAAGCCCACTATCCAGATCTTGTTGTGGGGCTGGGGTAGAGAAAGTCACAAAGCCTGTTCCCTGGACACTCTGTGTGACACTCAAGACCACCCCCACCCCATCATTAGGTCTCCCCACACAGGTCTGACCATCAGGCATCGTGAGGAGGACTCTAGCATGGGCTCAGAAATCACACAAAAGAATTAGCCACAGAGAGAAACACTGAGCTAGAGGAGCTGGTTGCTGACATGGAACAGAGTCCCTGCAGTTCACGAGTCCAACCTGGTCTGAATTCCCCTCAATTCATAAGCCAGGCACCCCTGAGAAACAGCTTTTTCCCATGGTCTCCTCTGTGGTAACACACTAGGGTCCCTCGCTTTCAAGATTCCAGAGATGGAAGAAACCTGGACAGCACACATCCCAGCTTCACCCTTCCTCTCTCTCTTCCTCCCTCCCAGGAATCAGGGCTCGGGGCTCTGGGCTCAGAAGGAAAGGCAGAGCCCAGTGAGGCCAGAGTTGGTGAGACATCTGAAAGGTGTTCAGTGAAAAAAGTGCATCCCCCTTTCATTCTACCTGATGAGCCCTGTCCTGCACAGCTTCCTCCACCCTGAGGACTTACCCAGACACCCTCTCTAACAAGATTGACGGTTCCATTTCCTTCCTGCTCACACTGAGGCCTGTCCTGCCTTCTGGGAAATGAAAAATGCACCAAAATCAGCCAGAGTAGCCACCCCTGCCAGGATCCATAATGAGGCAATGTCCCCGGGTCACCAGGAGAATGAGCTTCCACTGTGTCCCAGTCCAGGGCTCTTTCCCTCTGAGAGGCTGACTCATGAAACAGGCCACCTGAAAGAGATCAGTGACTCCTCCATCCATTCTTACAATCACCTGACAGGTTCTTGCCCTCTGCACAGGCAAAGCCAATTTATTGTGAAGGTGATGTGTAGTAAAGAATGGTTTTGCTTAGCCCAAGGCTGCCAAAAAGGAGGACAGAAATTTATTATGACTCAAATCACCTTCCCCAATGGCTCTGAGGTTAGAGTTTTTCAAAAACTTTGAAGGGGCAAAGGTCTAAGGAATAAGTACTGTTGACCGGCTGGAGATGAAATGATGCACGTAGGCAAAATGGTATGTATTTGTTGAATCTGCCTCTGAGTGGGGGCCACATGACTGGTTTAGCCATTGGTCATGAGTCTAGATGAGGTCAGCTGGTTGCCAGAATGCAAAAGTCTGAAACATCTCAAAAGATAAATCTCAGATTCTACAGTAGTCTTGCTATCTATAGGAGCAACTAGGAAAGTCACAAATCTTGTGACCTCTGGATACATGACTCCTGAGAAGTAAGGGATTATAGAAACTATGCCTGCATTTTAGCAGAATTTGGGCCCCTCCCATAATTCGTGGTCTTTTCTTAGATTTACCAAGGTAGCCCCCGACAAGGAGGAGCTAATTTTAGGGAGGGACTATTATCATCCTTGCTTCAAAGTTAAACTATAAATTCCTCCCATGCTTACCCTGGCCTATGTCCAGGAATCAGAGAAGAGGGCCAGTTTGAGACTAGAGGTGAGATGCGGTCAGCCAAGCTAGCTTCCTCTCACCATCTTATGCTTCGCAAAGGTGGTTTCACTTTCTTCATGGACTCACCAGGGGGTCAGAGGCAGAAGGACAGATCTGCAGTTTCCAAAGCCCATGGGCTCATTTCACCCATTTCACTCATGACTCCATCCTCAACCTGCTGTGGGGCTCATATCCTCCAGTCATGCCCTAGACACTTCGAATTTCCGTCAGGCATGTAAGTAGCTTAAAAATTTTCACTCAGTTCTAACAACAAGTAAAAAGCTGAACAAACTGAAAAATCAACAACTCATTTAGATTTCTCTGGAAGCAAGGTCTCAGTGCTAACTGGCCCACATATTGGAGAGACCCACAGGCAAATACAGAGCAGCGCACCGTACCTGAGCAGAAACACAGGCACAGAAACCTCAGCGGGAACAAGTGCTGGGGTCAGAAAACCTGAACTCTAATTGAGGAAATTCTGGAGGCTCAGTGTGGACACAGTGCAGAGATAAACACACCAGTGGATGGATTAGTCTTGGGAGTAGGGGGACAGATTTATGACTCTTAGCTCCTGGAGCTCTACCAGTTTCTCACAGTCAATATCCAAAAAGAATCCACATCCTTCTTCTAGGAAGAAGGGAAAAAAACACTTGGAAAGTTGTCAGTGAATTATATTCTTCTTGGTAAGACCTAAATTTAAGAGAAACTATTTTACTGCAGCCTAATTAGCTGGGGTTTGATGGGAGCTTAACTGGCCAGGGGGAGGGGAAGTATCCAACTCCAGCCTCCTCAAGTCATCATATCCCACCTAATGGAAAGAAAAACCTGAGAGGCACTTGTGACATTCACAGCCCAGGACACAGATCTCATCCAGAACCACAGAACCCTTCCCTCCCAACACTCACCACCGTGTCACTGAATGCCCACCCACTCAAGTCCCTTTTACCCAGTACATCATGTGTGGTTTTCAAAAAAATACAAGACAGACTATGGCAAAAAAAAAAAAAAAATGCAGTTTGAAAGACAGAGCAAGGATTGGAACCAGACACAGATGTGGTAGGGATGTTGAAATTATCAGACTGGAAATTTAAAACAACTCTGGTTAAGGATTATGATGGAAAAAGGAGACACCTTTCAGGAATAGATGGGTGATTTAAACAGAGATGGCTATTCTAAGAAAGAAGCAAAAGAAATGCTAGAGATTAAAAATACTTTAAGAGAAATAAAGAATGCCCTCCATGGGCTTACTGGTAGGCTGCACACAGCTGAGGAAAGAATCTCTAGCTTAAGTGTGTGTCAATAGAAACTTCCAAAACTGAATCAGCAAAGCTTAACAAGAGTGAGAAAAAGTGGAACAACATATTCAGCTTCATATTCAATATTTTGTATTGACAATAGCATATTTTATATTCTGTGATTGTATTTTATATTTTGTAGCCTAAAAAGCTGTAACATACACATAATGGGAATAATGGTGGTTCCTAGGACCAGGTGGAGCTGGCCAGGTGGGTGCTGTCTGATTTACTGCCTGTTTCATTCACACCTGTGTATTCATAATAACCACATTGTCATAAGGTGGGGTGCTTCGGTTGGGGAGATGCATGAGCCACTGCTGCCTCACTTGGGCTCTGCTCAATTTAAACAAAGTTAATCAAACTCTAATTGTTTGACCCTGCTCAATTCACACTTCACCAATATTGCTGCTCAATCCACACTTCAGAAGTCTGTGCATCTCCCACACAGAGCAGGTGGCCCCATGGCCTCTGAGCCCTCAGATCATCATGCATCCATCTGTCTTTTGACACACAGACCTGCTGTGGGCTTTTAAGGACTTAGATTTGCTGAGAGGTGGGAGATGTCAACTCTGATTGGAAAATGCTCATGGAGAAATCAGTGGTGCCACACAGGGGAATCTTCTCTGTTATCTGCACAGCGAATGTTCCCAAGCCCTATGTCACCAGCAACCCCACAGAGGATGAGGAGGCTGTGGTCTTAACCTGTGAACCTGACATTCATGGCACAATCTACATGTGGTGGGTAAATGGTCATAGACTCACACTCAGTCCCAGGCTAAAGATGTCCAATGACAACAGGATCCTTGCTCTACTCAGTATCACAAGGAGTGACACAGGACTCTATGAATGTCAAAGGAAGAATGTAGTGAGTACCAGCCAAATTGACCCAGTCACCTGGATGTTCTCTGTGAGTATCCTCTTTTCCTTCATGGACAAGGCTGCCGGCCCAAATCCACATAACATGAGGCCAGGCCTCTCAGTCCCTCTCAGGTTCAAGTATGAAGACACTTACCCCTGGACCCCCAAGCTGGCCATGACTTCCTGCCCCAGAAAAACCTGGGTAGGCCCAGGAGGGGAGGGGCTTCTCTGGTCTTAGGAGACTCTGGTTCCACAGCTTGTGATGGGAGAACACGTGAATTTCTTAGACTACTCCAGTTCAGTGAACACAGAGGAAGTTTGGCTGGGACTTCGGGGTTGTGACTTGGCAAAAAGGAACACTGTGCCCCTTTCACAGACCAGGAGCTTCCCATTCCCTCTGATAACATTACCTGTGGCATTATTCTCTTTGCTCCAGATGGCCCAGATGAACCCACAACTTATTCTTCAGACACCTATTACTATCCAGGGTCAAACCTCAACCTCTCCTGCCTCATGGGCTCTAACCCATCAGCAGAGTATTCTTGGCTGCTGAATGGGAATAACCAGCAAATAGGACAAGAGCTCTTTATCCCCCAAGTCACTACTGAGAATAGTGGGGACTATCTGTGTTATGTCCATAACCCAGTCACTAATGGCAAAAACTTCGCAACCAAGAAAATCAGAGTCCCTGGTAAGTGGATCGCTGGAGCATTGGCAATATGCTTTCAGGTGAAGCCTATCTGGCTTTCCAAGAAAGAGCCAGGAAAACATTTTTATTCTCAGCCTGTGTCCCATGCACAAAAGTAAATCCCAAATTTTTCTCCTGAACACTCCCAATTCATATCTACAGATTCTCTTCCCTTTGTTTGCCAGATTTCTGGTGGATGACCTTGGGTCCAGCCTGAGAAATGTAGGGAAATGGCTTTATCAGCCCCAAGCACTATGCAGTGTAAGGGCCTTCACAGAGGGAGAAAGAGGAGGGTCCTCATGGTCAAGCTGTTTCTGTCACCAAAACATCCCTTCTGTCTCCTTTGTGTGTGTGTCTGTGTGTGTGTGTACTCCATGAGCTGCGATGAACATCAGAGGCTTCAAAACAAGCCCACACTTTTCTCCAATGAGAGGAGGAAGCCCCTTGGTGAGGGAGAAGCAGCTCAGACTCTGCTCCCTGCATTGCTGTGGGCTCGCCCAGTGACTGACCCTGCCCTGACTCCACCTGGGCTGGGGCCAGGGCATGTGGATAAGGTGCCTGGGTGGCCGGTTCTGAATCTGGCTAAATCGAGCTGCCAGTAGAAGCCAAGCCTCCCATGGGTAAGGCTTTAAAAAATGGGAATAGGGCTGTGTCCTGGCTCTGAAGTCACTGCCTGTCTGAGTCTGTGGACAGAGCTCCTGGAACACAACACAGAGGACAGTGAGTGATGGACACTTGGAGAAATAGGGAGATTAACTCACAGAAGCTCTCTATGGCAGGGGAGGAACAGCGACAAAAAGTGTGCATTTACAGAGAGGGTAAGAGTACCAGACACTATACATCTAAGACTTACTATTAACTGTTTCTAAGCGTGCAATTTAGTGTTGTGTTACTATCAACACTATCTATTTCCAGAGCTTTTTTTATCCTACTATACTAAACCTCTGAACCCAATAAATGATAACTCTCATTCCTTCTCCCCTTAACCCCTGGTAATCACCATTCTAATTTCTGTCTCTAAGTAACTGACTATTCTAACTATCTTACATAAATGGAAGTATATAATAATTATCCTTTTGTGTCTGGCTTATTTCACTTCGCATAATGTCTTCAAGGTTCATCCATTTTGCACCATGTGTCAAAATTTTATCCCTTGCTAAGATTGAAGAACATTCCAAAGTATGGATATACCTTTTTGTTCATCCACTTATCTTTCAATAGACTTTTCAGTTGTTTCCACCCATTGGCTATTGTGAGTGATGCTGCTGTAAACATCAGTGTACAAATATCTGTTCAAATATTTTTCAATACTTTTGGCTGTATGTCCAGAAGTAGAATTGCTGGTTCAAGTGGTAATGCTTTAATTTTTTTTAAGAAACTGACATACCATTTTCTTTTCTGTTGTTGATGTTGAGACAGGGTCTTGCTCTGTCACCCAGACTGGAGTGCAATGGTGCAATCTTGGCTCACTGCAACCTCCACCTCCAAGGTTCAAGTGATTCTCATGCCTCAGCGTCCTGAGTAGCTGGGATTACAGGCGCATGCCACCATACCCAGCTAATTTTTGTATTTTTAGTAGAGATGGGGTTTCACCACACTTGCCGGGCTGTTCTCAAACTCCTGACCTCAAGAGATCCACCCATCTCGGCTCCTAAAGTGCTGGGATTACAGGCATGAGCCGGCCGTGCCATGCCATTTTTTCCACAGTGGCTATAACACTTCCCATTCCCATCGGCAACACACAAAGAGCTTCAATTTTTCCACGTACTTGAAAACACTTGTTTTGTGATGTTGTTGTTCATGTTGTTTTTATCAAAGCCATCCTAATGTGTGCGAGGTCATGTATCACCGTGGTTTTGCTTTGCAAATCTCTAAATATTAGTTATATTGAGAATCCTTGCATGTCCTCATTGGCCATTTGTATATCTTCTTTAATAAAATCCCTCTTTCAGTCTTTTGTCCATTTTTTAATTGGGCTTTTCTGTTTTTGCTGTTTTTGATTTGTAGTGTTCTTCATGTATTCTGGAAATTAATCCCTTATTAGATATATGATTTGCAGATATTTTCCCTATGTCATAGCTTGCCTTTTTACATTCTTGATAATGGCCTTTGATATATAAAAGTTTTTAATTTTCATGAAGTCCAATTTATCCCTTTTTTGTTGCCTATGCTTTTGTAGTTATAACAAATAAATCATTCTGAAATTCAATATCATGAAGCTTTTTCCTTATGTTTTCTTCTAAGAGTCTGGTAGTCTTCACTCTTCCATTTAGGTCTTTGATCCATTGTGGGTTCATTTTTTTGTATATGGTGTGAGGTAAAGGTTCAACTCATACTTGTCCATGGATAGCCAGCTTTCCCAGTATCACTTGTTAAAAAGACTGTCCTTTCCCCAAGGAATGGGCTTGACACTCTTGACACAAATCATTTGGCCATATATGCAAGCTTTCTTTCTGGGTTCTCTATTCTATGTCATTCATTTCTATGTCCTCCTTTATGCCAGTACCACACTGTATTGATTACTGTAGCTTTGCAGTAGATGCTGAAATCTGAAAGTGTGAATCCTCCAGCTTCCTTTTTCCTTTTCAAGATTGAAGTTTTTAATTCCATCTTGGACATGCTGCACTCAGATATTTTTGAAGGTTTTGGGATGTGAGAAAGGCTGATTGCTATTTTCTATGACTTTAGAACTTTTCACCTTTTCATAGTTGCATCTTTCTCCCAGTGTCTCAGTTGTGGCAGCCATGAATGGCCTCCATGGCAGGGACTTGACTGACAGAGGGCCCAGGTCAGGGCATTCCAAATTCACCTTATATATGATAAGTCTATATGGATATACTTATTTATATATGATAAAATTGGCATTTATATTACATATGTGAATTTTATATATAAATGGCCTAGTGTTTATGTGTTACCTTTTTTCATAGATATGGAAATATGCATATATTTTAAATTGTTATATATTCTATATTTTTAGATAATTATATATTGTATATAAATATATACAGAGAAATATGTATATGCTTTTTCCACATATATATAGAAAAAGAGAACACATAAAACACTAGGAGGCTGTGGACACAGCACATGGGACACAACACAGAGGACAGTGAGTGACACAAACTTGGAGAAGTAGGGAGATTTGGCCATAGGAGCTCTGCATGGGAAGGAAGGAAGGGGCAGTGACAAAAAGTGTGTATTTATAAAGAGGGTAAGACTACCAGACACTACATACATATATAACATATGTCAATTTTATTATATGTAAATGTCCTGGTGTTTTATGTGTTACCTCTTTTTCCATATACATATATGGAAAATATGTATATGTTTTACATTATTATACATTTTATATTACACATTTTATTATATATATTACATATAAATAAGTATATGGAAATATATATTTTTTTCCTATACACATGAAAAAAGGGTAACACATGAAACACTAGGACATGGTTACTGGCTACATGTGGGAGAGACAGAAAAAAGCTAAGTGCAAAAAAATCAAGCCTGGTATGTTAGTTTATGCCCACTGAGATGCATCCGAGATGAGATTAGACATGCAGGATAATGTATTAGGAAAAATGCCTGGGAGGGAAAGTGGGGCAGGCATGAAAAAAGTCTGGGGAACTTTGGGACCACTATGCAAATCTCATTCCTGTGAAGGAGAAAGACAAAGATTTAGCTACAGTTCAAAGAGAGCATGGGAAGACTGATAGGGGGTCTTCCCACAAGTCACCCAGGAGAATAAAACAGAGTCTCATAGAACTGGGCTTGCTTTCATATCCCTGCTGAGAGCTTCAGGAAAGTGAGGACTCTATGCAAAGTAGGTTGTCAGTTTGGAATGCACTGATCTGGGCCTTCTGTCAATCAAGTCAGTTGATTATTAATTAATCAATTATTAGCTGAGAGTGCTAGAATTACCTAGGGAAATTTTTCAACATACATAAGCCTATACTTTCTCGGCCCTATTCATTAATGGGCTCCACCAAGGACTCAGTAATCCTCTTGAGAAACACAAGCTGCCATGGAGACCTGACAGAGTCTTATTCATGCCTACCACAACTGACACACTGAGAAAAAGATGCAACCATGAAAGGGTACAAAGTTCTAGTGACAGAAAATAGCAGTCAGCCTTTCTCACATCATAAAGCTTTCGAAAATATCTGAGTGCAGCATGGTCAGGATGAAATTGACAGAAGACTGATCACTAACCTAGAAACACGTTGAGAGAGAAAAAAACTGCAAGAATATAGTTGGCTAATCATCTACCAGCAACCGTCCCACAAAATTAATGTAATCCCCGAAGGAAAAAGTAGAAACTACTAAATACTTAGTGATGGTTCCTAAGGTACCACGCTGTAAAATAACATCACCTTTATTCCTTCTCTTCTTTTCTTTCCATGACAGATACTTCAGTGAAAGGAAGTTCTCCTGGCCTTTCAGGTAGAGCCACTGGCAGCATCATGATTGAAGTACTGGCCAGTGTGGCGCTGATCTAGCAGCCCTGTTGTAGTTTATTTCAGGAAGACTGGCAGGTATGATGGCTTTTCCTTTTGTCCTGTTTCCTGCAGGGCTGACTGCCTTGCTTGGGAGAGGGAAAGGACTTCTTTGCCGGTATTTGGGACTGGATCTCCTCCTCCTCCCACTAAACTCCTGCTTCTCAGCATTTATTCCTGCAGGTCTCTTCTCCCCTGTTCTTCATGCTCCCTGTACCCCACTGTCTCCTACAAGTGATTATCCTCAGTCTCTGCTCATTTGTTTCCCAGATTCAATACCTTATAAAACCCTCTTGATCCTTTTTTATAACATTTCTCACTTTTGTCATTCTCTCCATTCCCACAACCTCAACAACTGCTAGAGGTACTGCTTGACTTATCTCCAGTCTTTGAAATCTTCCTTGTGTATGACTGTCTTATTAGCTTCCTAAATTCTAGTTAACTCACCTATTCAAAAATCTTCAGGGATCTACTCTTGCCTATTTGATAAGTTCACATTTCTTCTCTTTACTAATTTTTGTTGCTTTAAATACTTCTATTCCCTAGTATAATTCCTCCATTCTAATTAAATCTGTCTTTCTACACATCCCTTCCCCTCCACCTGATATACACATAGAATGCTTAGTTCCAATGCTATGGCTGAAAACAGGGTGATCTCCCATCTACCATCTGCAGTATGGGCTTACCCATACCCTTCATCACAAGCAACCTCTCACCTCCCAGAGAACAATGACTCAAGCATTAATGTGTAAACCTGAGACTCAGAACACAACCTACTTGTGATTGAGAACATTTTCCTGATGACCAACTCATATGTTCGTGAAAGATACAAAAATGAAGAAGGCAAGGTTTCTACCCCAAGGAACATAAAGCCTAAGATAGATGATAAGACCCAAAAAATAATTATAATACCAAAATAGAAAAAAGTGAATGCCAAAAGAAATCAGAGAAATCTGAGGGGAAATACAGCTACACATTGGAATCACCAGAAAACATTTTTTTAAATGGATGCCCAAGCCCCACCCATAGGATCCAATTTAATGGTCTAAAGTGAGACTCAGGCATTGGTAATTTTTAAGTCTTCCCAGATGCTACTAATGTGTAACCAGGATAAATAACAGCTGTTCTAATAGGTAAAATTTAGACCTAAATTCATGATTATTAGCTGGGAGTATTGGAATTATCTAGGGAAATTTTTCAGCATACATAAGCCTATACTTTCTTGGCCCAATTCATTAACAGCCTCCACCAAGAACTCAGTAATCCTGTTGAGAAACACAAGCTACATGGAAAAGCCACTTTATTTGATATGTAAAATTATATGAAAAGCATTTTCAAATCATAAATGGTAAAGGATGCTAAACCTTCTCTATGTTATATTTATGGATATGTTACTGATATGATTGTTCCAGAAATTGTATGAGATTCCTAGAAATTAAGTATGTTATCAGCCACAATGTCATATACTACAGAAGTAACTAACTTTTTATGTGAGCTGTGTTATCAATGAATTCTCATCAGAGTTTTAACCATAGTCATTTAAAATCTTTCCCACTAACAGACATTGTTTTTATTCTTCTTCAAAGCATTTCCAATCAGCTACAGTCCAAAATTGCTTCCTTTTCAAGGAGATTTGTAGAAAAGATGCTGACAAGTACTCTTTAATACAAGTTTCCGATAACTTTCACATTATCCCACAGGACTGTCTAAGAACTTCCAAAAACTTTAACTAACAGGCTGATATCTTCATAAAACTCTCAGCCTACCAAGCAGGAAAAACATTGACTTCATTGAAATATTGATAATAATGAGGATAATGTTTTTATGATTTTTATTTGAAAATTTGCTGATTCTTTAAATGGTTTGTATTCTACATTTATGGAATTTTTTTCTTTTAATCTATCTATAGCTTATAGCAGTTCAATAAACTATACTTCTGGGAACAATTATTGAAATATTTACTTTTGCTCTCTACCTGACTGCCCCAGAATTGGGCAACTATTCATGAGAATTGATATGTTTATGGTAATACACATATTTGCACAAGTACAGTAACAATCTGCTCTCTTTGTAACAGGACACATTTCAAATCATTGGTTATATTACCAAGGCTTTGACTGGGATGTTATATTTAAGAATATACATAGAATGAACCAATATGAACTGCAGGCAAAGTCTGAAGTCAGCCTTGGTTTGGCTTCCTATTCTCAAGAGGTTTGTAAAAGTTTAATCTCAGATTCCTTATAAAAACTTAGAGGAAAGAAAATTTTAAAAGAGACCCTACATGGTCCATTGCTACTCTTGCTGCACTTATGTAAAGAATCAGACCACGTTTGAAGAAACTCAACCTATTTTGCAAACAAACTTATTCTACTGAAATTATCATTGGTAAAACTAGAGATGCCCGTAGAGACAAAAATTACGTGGAAAATAAAAACTGTAGTACACCGGTTATGAGATTGCAGCTCTGTTCATTGTTTCTGTGTTTTTATTATCCACCTGTAAACTGAACATTACCCTGAATTCTACTAGTTCCTCCAATTCCATTTTCTCCCATGGAATCACTAAGAGCAAGACCCATTCTGTTCCAGAAGCCCTATAAGCTGGAGGTGGACAACTCAATGTAAATTTCATGGGAAAACCCTTGTACCTGAAGCGTGAGCCACTCAGAACTCACTAAAATGTTTGACACCATAACAACAGCCACTCAAATTGTAAACCAGGACAAGAAGTTGATGACTTCACACTGTGGACAGTTTTTCCCAAGATGTCAGAACAAGACTCCCCATCATGATGAGGCTCTCACCCCTCTTTACTGTCCTTGCTCATGCCTGCCTTTTATTTGGCAGGATAATGCAGTCATTAGAATTTCACATGTAGTAGCTTCTGAGTGTAACAACAGAGTGTCAGATATGTCATCTCCACCTCAAACTTTTACATAACATCTCAGAGGGAAATGTGGCACTCTCCACCTTGCATACAGGGCTCCCAATAGAAATGAACACAGAGATATTGCCTGTGTGTTTGCAGAGAAGATGGTTTCTATAAAGAGTAGGAAAGCTGAAATTATACTAGAGTCCCCTTTAAATCCACATAGTGTGGATGGCTCTCACCATTTCCTAAAAGATACTTTGTAAAACGTGACAATAAGACTGATTCTAGCAGAATAAGACATGTACCACATTTGCTAATACTGTTCTCTTAAAATAATTTTAAAAGAATGGGGTGGGCCCTCCCATGTGTCCAGGCCAGGTCTCTGAACAGAATCCTCCATCTGCAGTAACAATGCCTAAGAAGATGACATGGACTTCGTCCCGATATGCAGCCATTCCTGTGTACCCTTCCCCTGCTGCAGGGCCGTACCAGCCCAAGGCCCAAATCTTCAGCTGCAGAGCTGAGAGAGAACATGGGATACCCAGCATCACTTACCTTCTTCCAGTCCACTGCAGTGGCTACCGGCATCGCCCATGTACCCGTGAGGACACCCATCTGCTGACCCACGGTTTCTAAGAGTCAGACTTTCCTGGCCTCTCTGAGCCTCAGCTACTTTCACTCTGCTGAACCTTTCTTCTCCCCACAGGTGTCATTGCCTTAGCAGACACCTCTTTCAGCTGCAGCTAACAGGCAAGCCAAGACCTAGACCCCAGAGGATAAACAAGGATTTCAAAACCTACTGTGTCCAATGGAGATGCCCACTTGTGGGCGGCAAGCCACCCAGGTGCTGAGGCAAAAGACTGAGGGCACGAGCCATTCCAGTATAATAAAATATAAAAGAAGAATAGTTATACCAGATATAGATCTTAGATATGATTATATGTGAATATCATTAATCATTAGTTGGTAGCAATTACTCTTTATTCCAATATTATAAAAATCCTTGGTCTATAATCATACCCTAGGAAAAGCCAGACGATACAGAGATAGGAGCTGGGGAGACATAGTCAGAAGTGACCAGAAGACAAGAGTGCAAGCCTTCTGTTATGCCCAGACAGGGCCACTAGAGGGCTCCTTCGTCTAGCGGTAATGCCAGCGTCTGGGAAGATGCCCATTGCCAAGCGGACCGTGGTCTAGTGGTAGCCTCGGTGTCAAGGAAAAACACCCACTACTTAGCAGACCAGGAAAGGGAGTCGCCCTTTCCCCGGGGGAGTTTAGAGAAGACTCTACTCCTCCACTTCTTGTGGAGGGCCTGACATTAGTCAGGTCCACCCACAGTTATCCAAAGGCCTGACTGCCTCCCTGTGATGTTGTGCTTCAGTGGACACGCTCCTACTCCCCCTTCATGTTCCATCCAGTACACCAGGCTCTGCCCTTTACTTAGCAATAGCAAATTAGTGAAAGTACTAAAAGTCTCTAATAAGCAGAAATAATGCTGTAAGCTCTCTCTCTTTCTCCTCTCTCTCTCTGCCTTGCCTGCCAGGCAGGGAAGGGTCCCCTGTCCAGTGGACATGTGACACATGTGGCCTTACCTATCATTGGAGATGGCTCACACTCCTTATCCTGACACTTTGTCTTGTATCCAATAAATATCAGTGCAGCCTAGCATTCGGGGCCACTACCGGTCTCCGCATCTTGGTGGTAGTGGTCCCCCAGGCCCATTTGTCTTTTCTTTTGTCTCTTTGTCTTGTGTCTTTATTTCTACAATCTCTCATCTCTGCACACGGGGAGAAAAACCCACCGACCCTGTGTGGCTGGTCCCTACACCCACTGTACAGAGACATAAAGAAGTTGAGATGTATACAACTCCCCCAACAACATTGTATCCCAAAACACTGTCCTCTCTGCCCCTCATCATGGAATTCACTATCTCTCACCATGTGAGCAAGAGCTTCCAGGGTCTCACAATTCTTCCACAAGAGGCAATGCACACTTTAACATAGCACTTCAGCAAATAAAATGGTGACAGTTTACCTGCTTAGATTAAGTTTCTTAAAAGATTCTCCCAAACTTCCCCATGAAGAAGACAGAAAAGGCTTTCCCAATTGTGAAACATTGGCCTCCCCACCTTTCACAAAAGGACCCCTGAATAGCCAAAACAATCTTGCCAAAATAAATTGTAGGACTTGAACTTTCTTATTTGAAATCTCACAAAGGAGTACACTTATTAAAACAGAAGCTGCTGCCAAAGAATAGACGTAAGCTGCTGGCAAAAGAATAGACATAAAGACAAATGGGATAGAATTGAGAGTCTAGAAATAAACCCTCACACTTATGGTGAATTACTCTTTGAAGAGGGTGTCAAGACAATTTAATGGAGGAACAATTCTCCTTTCCAATGATAGTGCAGAAACAACTAGATAACCACATGCAAAACAGTGAATTTAGATAACTCTACCTCCCACCATATCAAACCATTCTCTAAAAAATTCATCAGTGAGTTAAATATAAGACCTATAACAATAAAAACATCTCAAAATAGACATAGAGGTAAATATTGATGACCTCAAATGTGCAATGGATTCTTAGATATGATACAAAAGCATGAGAAACAAGAAAAACAAGATAAATAGGGCTTTATCAAGATGTGAGCATTTTGTGCATCAAAGGAAATTATTAAGACAATAATTAATAGACATAGAATGAGAGAAAATATTTGCAAACCACATATACGCAGTTTTCATGTCCAAATAATATCAAGAACTAGCTACAACTCAATAACAAAAGGACAAACCATCCAGTTTATAAATGGGCAAAAGACTCAAATAGACATTTCTTCAAAGAAGGTATAGAAATAGTCAAGAAGGACATGAAAAGATACTCAACATCATTAGTCATTAGGAAAATACAAAGTCAAAGCTGCAATGGGACACCACACCACACCTACAAAACTGGCTACAATTCTTTTAAAATGTTAAATAACAAGTAGCAGCATTATGTAGAATTTGGAATCCTCATACATTGCTGGTGAGAATATAAAAAGGTACAGCCACTAGGAGAAACAGTTTTGCTGTTCCTCAAAAAGCTAATCACAGAATTCTCATTTGAAACAACATCCATTCCTGGGTATAGGCCCAAAGAATTTAATCCAGGGACTCAAACAGGTACTTACATGGAAATGTTGATTGCAGCATTATTCACAAAAGATAAAATACGAAAATAAGGAGTAGGAGCCAAGATGGCCGAACAGGAACAGCTCCAGTCTACAGCTCCCAGCGTGAGTGATGCAGAAGACGGGTGATTTCTGCATTTCCATCTGAGGAACCGGGTTCATCTCACTAGGGAGTGCCAGACAGTGGGCGCAGGTCAGTGGGTGGGCGCAACGTGCGCAAACCGAAGCAGGGCGAGGCATTGCCTCACTCGGGAAGTGCAAGGGGTCAGGGAGTTCCCTTTCCTAGTCAAAGAAAGGGGTGACAGATGGCACGTGGAAAATCAGGTCACTCCCACCTGAACACTGCGCTTTTCCAATGGGCTTAAAAAACGACACACCAGATTATATCCCGCACCTCTCTCAGAGGGTCCTACGCCCACGGAGTCTGGCTGATTGCCAGCACAGCAGTCTGAGATCAAACTGCAAGGCACCAGCACAGCTGGGGGAGGGGCGCCCGCCATTGCCCAGGCTTACTTAGGTAAACAAAGCAGCTGGGAAGCTCGAACTGGGTGGAGCCCACCACAGCACAAGGAGGCCTGCCTGCCTCTGTAGGCTCCACCTCTGGGGGTAGGGCACAGACAAACAAAAAGACAGCAGTAACCTCTGCAGACTTAAATGTCTCTGTCTGACAGCTTTGAAGAGAGCAGTGGTTCTCCCAGCACACAGCTGGAGATCTGAGAACTGCCAGACTGCCTCCTCAAGTGGGTCCCTGACCCCTGACCCCCGAGCAGCCTAATTGGGAGGCACACCCCAGCAGGGGAAGACTGACACTTCACACGGCCGGGTACTCCAACAGACCTGCAGCTGAGGGTCCTGTCTGTTAGAAGGAAAACTAACAAACAGAAAGGACATCCAAACCAAAAACCCATCTGTACATCACCATCATCAAAGACCAAAAGTAGATAAAACCACAAAGATGGGGAAAAAACACAGCAGAAAAAATGCAAACTCTAAAAAGCAGAGTGCCTCTCCTCCTCCAAAGGAACGCAGTTCCTCACCAGAAACGGAACAAAGCTGGACGGAGAACGACTTTGACGAGCTGAGAGAAGAAGGCTTCAGACAATCAAATTACTCCAAGCTATGGGAGGACATTCAAACCAAAGGCAAAGAAGTTGAAAACTTTGAAAAAAATTTAGAAGAATGTATAATTAGAATAACCAATACAGAGAAGTGCTTAAAGGAGCTAATGGAACTGAAAACCAAGGCTCGAGAACTACGTGAAGAATGCAGAAGCCTCAGGAGCCGATGCGATCAACTGGAAGAAAGAGTATCAGTGATGGAAGATGAAATGAATGAAATGAAGCGAGAATGGAAGTTTAGAGAAAAAAGAATAAAAAGAAATGAACAAAGCCTCCAAGAAATATGAGACTATGTGAAAAGACCAAATCTACATCTGATTGGTGTACATGAAAGTGACGGGGAGAATGGAACCAAGTTGGAAAACACTCTGCAGGATATTATCCAGGAGAACTTCCCCAATCTAGCAAGGCAGGCCAAAGTTCAGATTCAGGAAATACAGAGAACGCCACAAAGATACTCCTCGAGAAGAGCAACTCCAAGACACATAATTGTCAGATTCACCAAAGTTGAAATGAAGGAAAAAATGTTAAGGGCAGCCAGAGAGAAAGGTCGGGTTACCCTCAAAGGGAAGCCCATCAGACTAACAGCTGATCTCTTGGCAGAAACTCTACAAGCCAGAAGAGAGTGGGGGCCAATATTCAACATTCTTAAAGAAAAGAATTTTCAACCCAGAATTTCATATCCAGCCAAACTAAGCTTCATAAGTGAAGGAGAAATAAAATACTTCACAGACAAGCAAATGCTGAGAGATTTTGTCACCACCAGGCCTGCCCTAAAAGACCTCCTGAAGGAAGCACTAAACATGGAAAGGAACAACTGGTACCAGACACTGCAAAATCATGCCAAAATGTAAGGACCATCGAGACTAGGAAGAAACTGCATCAACTAACAAGCAAAAGAACCAGCTAACATCATAATGACAGGATCAAATTCACACATAACAATATTAACTTTAAATGTAAATGGACTAAATGCTCCAATTAAAAGACACAGACTGGCAAATTGGATAAAGAGTCAAGACCCATCAGTGTGCTGTATTCAGGAAACCCATCTCACATGCAGAGACACACATAGGTTCAAAATAAAGGGATGGAGGAAGATCTACCAAGCAAATGGAAAACAAAAAAAGGCAGGGGTTGCAATCCTAGTCTCTGAGGAAACAGACTTTAAACCAACAAAGATCAAAAGAGACAAAGAAGGCCATTACATAATGGTAAAGGGATCAATTCACAAGAAGACCTAACTATCCTAAATATATATGGACCAAATACAGGAGCACCCAGATTCATAAAGCAAGTCCTGTGTGACTTACAAAGAGACTTAGACTCCCACACATTAATAATGGGAGACTTTACACCCCACTGTCAACATTAGACAGATCAACAAGACAGAAAGTCAACAAGGATACCCAGGAATTGAACTCAGCTCTGCACCAAGTGGACCTAATAGACATCTACAGAACTCTCTACCCCAAATCAACAGGATATACATTTTTTTCAGCACCACACCACACCTATTCCAAAATTGACCACATACTTGGAAGTAAAGCTCTCCTCAGCAAATGTAAAAGAAGAGAAATTGTAACAAACTATCTCTCAGACCACAGTGCAATCAAACTAGAACTCAGGATTAAGAATCTCACTCAAAACCGCTCAACTACATGGAAACTGAACAACCTGCTCCTGAATGACTACTGGGTACATAACGAAATGAAGGCAGAAATAAAGATGTTCTTTGAAACCAACGAGAACAAAAACACACCATACCAGAATCTCTGGGATGCATTCAAAGCAGTGTGTACAGGGAAATTTATAGCACGAAATCCCCACAAGAGAAAGCAGGAAAGATCCAAAATTGACACCCTAACTTCACAATTAAAAGAACTAGAAAAGCAAGAGCAAACACATTCAAAAGCTAGCAGAAGGCAAGAAATAACTAAAATCAGAGCAGAACTGAAGGAAATAGAGACACAAAAAACCCTTCAAAAAATTAATGAATCCAGGAGCTGGTTTTTTGAAAGGATCAACAAAATTGATAGACTGCTAGCAAGACTAATAAAGAAGAAAAGAGAGAAGAATCAAATAGACGCAATAAAAAATGATAAAGGGGTTATCACCAGCGATTCCATAGAAATAAAGACTACCATCAGAGAATACTACAAGCACATCTATGCAAATAAACTAGAAAATCTAGAAGAAATGGATAAATTCCTCGACACATACACCCTCCGAAGACTGAACCAGGAAGAAGTTGAATCTCTGAATAGACCAATAACAGGATCTGAAATTGTGGCAATAATCAATTGCTTACCAAACAAAAAGAGTCCAGGACCAGATGGATTCACAGCCGAATTTTACCACACGTACAAGCAGGAACTGGTACCATTCTTTCTGAAACTATTCCAATCAATAGAAAAAGAGGGAATCCTCCCTAACTCATTTCATGAGGCCAGCATCATCCTGATACCAAAGCCAGGCAGAGACACAACCAAAAAAGAGAATTTCAGACCAATATCCTTGATCAACTTTGGTGCAAAAATCCTCAATAAAATACTGGCAAACCAAATCCAGCAGCACATCAAAAAGCTTATCCACCATGATCAAGTGGGCTTCATCCCTGGGATGCAAGGCTGGTTCAATACACGCAAATCAATAAATGCAATCCAGCATATAAACAGAACCAAAGACAAGAACCACATGATTATCTCAATAGATGCAGAAAAGGCCTTTGACAAAATTCAACAATGCTTCATGCTAAAAACTCTCCATAAATTAGGTATTGATGGGACATATCTCAAAATAATAAGAGCTATCTATGACAAACCCACAGCCAATATCATACTGAATGGGCAAAAACTGGAAGCATTCCCTTTGAAAACTGGCACAAGACAGGGATGCCCTCTCTCACCACTCCTATTCAACATAGTGTTGGAAGTTCTGGCCAGGGCAATTAGGCAGGAGAAGGAAATAAAGGGTATCCAATTAGGAAAAGAGGAAGTCAAATTGTCCCTGTTTGCAGACGATGGGATTGTATATCTAGAAAACCCCATTGTCTCAGCCCAAAATCTCCTTAAGCTGATAAGCAACTTCAGCAGTCTCAGGATACAAAATCAATCTACAAAAACCACAAGCATTCTTATACACCAACAACAGACAAACAGAGAGCCAAATCATCAGTGAACTCCCATTCACAATTGCTTCAAACAGAATAAAATACCTAGGAATCCATCTTACAAGGGATGTGAAGGACCTCTTCAAGGAGAACTGCAAACCACTGCTCGATGAAATAAAAGAGGATACAAACAAATGGAAGAATATTCCATGCTCACGGGTAGGAAGAATCAATATCGTGAAAATGGCCATACTGCCCAAGGTAATTTACAGATTCAATGCCATACCCATCAAGCTACCAATGACTTTCTTCACAGAATTGGAAAGAACTACTTTAAAGTTCATATGGAACCAAAAAAGAGCCTGCATCGCCAAGTCAATCCTAAGCCAAAAGAACAAAGCTGGAGGCATCACACTACCTGACTTCAAACTATACTACAAGGCTACAGTAACCAAAACAGCATGGTACTGGTACCAAAACAGAGATATAGATCAATGGAATAGAACAGACCCCTCAGAAATAACACCTCATATCTACAACTATCTGATCTTTGACAAACCTGAGAAAAACAAGCAATGGGGAAAGGATTCCCTATTTAATAAATGGTGCTGGGAAAACTGGCTAGCCATATGTAGAAAGCTGAAACTGGATCCCTTCCTTACACCTTATACAAAAATCAATTCAAGATGGATTAAAGACTTAAATGTTAGACCTAAAACCATAAAAACCCTAGAAGAAAACCTAGGCATTACCA
This sequence comes from Homo sapiens, assembly GCF_000001405.40. Taxonomy (NCBI): domain Eukaryota; kingdom Metazoa; phylum Chordata; class Mammalia; order Primates; family Hominidae; genus Homo; species Homo sapiens. Next base: position 42,770,178 of record NC_000019.10, on the reverse strand, counting down.
TTCAGGACATAGGCATGGGCAAGGACTTCATGTCTAAAACACCAAAAGCAATGGCAACAAAAGCCAAAATTGACAAATGGGATCTAATTAAACTAAAGAGCTTCTGCACAGCAAAAGAAACTACCATCAGAGTGAACAGGCAACCTACAAAATGGGAGAAAATTTTCACAACCTACTCATCTGACAAAGGGCTAATATCCAGAATCTACAATGAACTCAAACAAATTTACAAGAAAAAAACAAACAACCCCATCAAAAAGTGGGTGAAGGACATGAACAGACACTTCTCAACAGAAGACATTTATGCAGCCAAAAAACACATGAAAAAATGCTCACCATCACTGGCCATCAGAGAAATGCAAATCAAAACCATAATGAGATATCATCTCATGCCACTTAGAATGGCAATCATTAAAAAGTCAGGAAACAACAGGTGCTGGAGAGGATGTGGAGAAATAGGAAGACTTTTACACTGTTGGTGGGACTGTAAACTAGTTCAACCATTGTGGAAGTCAACGTGGCGATTCTGCAACTAGAAATACCATTTGACCCAGCCATCCCATTACTGGGTATATACCCAAAGGACTATAAATCACGCTGCTATAAAGACACATACACACGTATGTATACTGCAGCACTATTCACAATAGCAAAGACTTGGAACCAACCCAAATGTCCAACAATGATAGAATGGATTAAGAAAATGTGGCACATACACCATGGAATACTATGAAGCCATAAAAAATGATGAGTTCATGTCCTTTGTAGGGACATGGATGAAATTGGAAATCATCATTCTCAGTAAACTATCGCAAGAACAAAAAACCAAACACCGCATATTCTCACTCACAAGTGGGAATTGAACAATGAGAACACATGGACACAGGAAGGGGAACATCACACTCTGGGGACAGTTGTGGGGTGGGGGCAGGGGGGAGGGGTAGCATTGAGAGATATACCTAATGCTAGATGATGAGTTAGTGGGTGCAGCGCACCAGCATGGCACATGTATACATATGTAACTAACCTGCACATTGTGCACATGTACTCTAAAACTTAAAGTATAAGAATAATAATGATAAAAAAAACACTATTAAACAGAAAAAGAAAAAAGAAAAAAATGAAAATAATTCAAGTGCTCATCAACACATAAATAAATAAATATGGTGACACATACAACAGAATGTTAATCTGCCATACAGAGGAATGAAGCTCTGACACCCGCTGGAACATGCATGGACTTTGGAAACATTATGCTAAGTGAAATATGTCAGAAACAAAATAACATAATTGTATAATTCCATTTATATGAAACATCAAGAACAGGCAAATTCATAGAGACAGAGTAGAGAAGATCAAGGTCTAGGGTGGAACATACAGGGAGTTATTGTTTAAAAGATACAAAGTTTCAGTTTAAAATGATAAAAATTTTCTAGGAAAAATAGTGGTGATGGTAATTTAACACTGTGTATGTGGTTAATTTCATTTGATTCAGCATTTTAAAGTGGTTACAATAGCACATTATTCACAGAACTGTGAAAAATAGATTTCTATTATTTAATTCACCCAGGCTAAGGTGTTTGTTATGGCAGCCGAAGCCCATGAATACATCATCTGACCCAGTGTTTCAATGAAAGGCATCAGATTTTCAATCAAGTTAGCTGGAAGCTCCTGTCCCCAGGAGAACCAGACGCCCCAAAACAAGAGCTCCAGCAGGGGCTCAACCAGCACAGGTCCCATAAGGCAGCCTCAATGTCAGGCCCTGGATGGCATGTGAGGCTACAATAATACAACCACAACGTGAAAATGTAAGTATTTTTACTACTTACAGACACTAGGAAGCACTCGGCAAACCTGGAGACCACAGACACAGAGGTCAGTGAGCCCAGACAGGGAGGAGAGAAGAGACCGGTGAGCCAATGGCTTTATTAAGTCCAGGGTGTTATCTGACAGGTTTCCAGCAGGGAGCTTTAATGGATGTGTTCAAAGCAAGCAGCAAACACTGGGACCAGGAGCTCACGCTGTGACTGAGAGGTGGTCACTTTAAATGTGAGGGCAAATGTCAGAATTATCAGTTTAAAGAAAGCAGCTGGAGAGAGGGAAACCCAGCACACCAAGCAGCAGAGATGCCTCTAAGATTTTATCTCTGGACACCAACTGGAGCCACTTGAACCAGACACAGTATTGAAAACTGCCATGGTGACCAAGCCCTGCCTCTGATTTGAGGCAAATAAACTTACACCTTATAAAAATGAATGCCAAGACAACATGACACTATGAGCATCATGACATCCAGGGACACCAGCAGGGTGTGGTACTGTGCCCTGGAGTCAGAATCCAGGGTTCTGGTCCCTGGGAGTAAGAAAATGAAAATGACTTGTCCCTGCCCCCTGACATTGATCTTCCCACCCTGCTGCTCCCTCTTCTGCTTCCAAGCCCAATTGCAGTGCTCAGCCCCAGACATCACTGCCCCCAGGGTATACACAGTGCCGCCTACTGCACACAAACACAAACTCACAGAAGGTGACAAAAATCTGCGTTTGGGACATCTGATTGTGAAAGAGGGAGAACAGTGAACATAGAGCCACACAGACTGGGACTCACGGGGCTGGAAGGTGAAGGAGCTGTAACATAACATATGTGTGACCTCGTGTGAAGTGTGCAGATCCATGTGGAATAAAACATGCAGCCTGGCCTGGGATTGCTGCCGTTCACACTTCCCTCCCTGTCCACCAGAGGGGGACAGAGTCCCTCCCAGCCTGGAGCCTTCCCAGGGGATGCCAACCTCACTCAGCGGAACCCACAGCCCAGCAGGGTCCACCCTCACCAGGGTCACTTCGGCCCAAGTCCTCAGCGCCCTCCATGCTCCCCACACGGACTCTGCCAGCTCCACCCTGACCTGGTGGCCGCCAACCTAACACCACTCCCTCTGCAGGGAGCTCCTCCCCACACACCTGCTCCTTCCCTGGGCCCAGCTAAAGGCATCTCCCAGGGCAGCGCTGGTGCACGCGACGCCACACTAGGCGCTTTCCCCTCGTGGCCTCCCTCCATCCTCATCAACTCTTTCTGTCACTGCTCCCTAAATGCCCGCCCCTGCCCCATCTATCCTGTTCTCTGGGGCATCCCAGGCCAAGCCTAGCACTGACACAGAACAGCAGCTGCCTAAGGGCCCACAGCCTCCCCGGGAATCAGCCAGGCACCCTATGACCTGCCTGCCCGCTGCACCACGGGGTGCTCAGAGTGCGTGTGATGGTCACACACAGGCACCATCCGGGATGTGGCCACCTGCCCCAGCTGTCCCTTGGGAAGGCAGACCTCTCCTGTGCGCTTGCAGGGAGAAGCGGGATGTTATTGCTCTTTGCTCCCAGAACACAACTCACCCCCACACGCCCCCTCAGGTGTGAGCAAGGTCCCTCCAGACAGGCTCTCTGGCCACTGCCTGTTCCTCCTCTACACACAGCAGCTTGGCCAGGTCAAAACCCTCAGGACAGACCCCTGGGTATGTCGGCACATGGAGGGCTGAGCCCATCATGGCCACGGAGTAAGTCAAGATGAATCTCTCCAGCTCTGAACCCCTGCTCTGTCCCAGGCACACCCTCTTGCGTCTCAACGAGCCATCTCCCTTGGGGTTCCTGGGTGACTCCCCACTTCCTCCTGCACCACCACGGGGAAGGTGTGGTGACCACAGGACAATCAGCTGGGCAGAGAAGAGAGGACATCAAAGATGGTCAGGAAGAACATGAGAAACCCTGAGCTCCAGCTCAGTGGCCAGACCCCACGGAGTCACAGAGTGACCGAGAACTGTCCCTTTGACTATGGGACTCACAGCCCCCACTGAGCAACCAGCACAGGCCTCTCCTCCCAAGAGACATGAGAGATTCACCCTGCACACCTCCAGGAAGGACAGTTTCCTCTGGGACACCCAGGTCCTGAGTGTCCATCCTTGGAAGCTGCAGCCAAGCTAGACACGATTAGAGAAAGGAAGGGTCCCTCTCACCAGGCAACACACAGCTCACCCACAGCACAATGGGGTGTCACTGTGACAGGGACCTGGTGCAGCTCCAGCCTCCTGCACTGAAGGGGAGAGCCAGATGGGGATGAAAGAGGCCAAAGGGCATGAATGTGCACCCCGACCCAGAGCCATGGGGACAGCAGGAGGCTGAGGCCCAGGACTCTGCTTGCCCAACCTGCAGGGTATGTTTCTGACTGTGTAGGTCTGTGTGTGTCCTTCTGTGTGTGTGTGTGTGTGTGTGTGTGTGTGTGTGTGTGTGTGTGTGTGTGTGTGTGTCTGCACAAAGTGTGTGTTGAGGTTTGGTGAAAGAATCACTGCTGAAAAAGGCAGAGGCCTCCACAATTCCCAGGGACCTGAAACACAGACAAAAGGAAAAACAGGAGGGACAAGGAGGCAGGACTGAGAGAGGAGGGGACAGAGAGGTGTCCTGGGCCTGACCCCGCCCATGAACCTGAGAGGTGCTCCTGCCCCGGGAAGAAGCTCAGCGCAGAAGGAGGCAGGACAGCACTGCTGAGAGCTGTGCTCAGGAAGCTTCTGGATCCTAGGCTCATCTCCACAGAGGAGAACACACAGACAGCAGAGACCATGGGGCTCCTCTCAGCCCCTCCCTGCACACAGCGCATCACCTGGAAGGGGCTCCTGCTCACAGGTGAGGAGAGAACCTCCTGGGAGAGGACAGGAGGAGGAAGCAGAGTGACTGGATGGGGTCTCCTTGAGAGTATGGGGTACTAAAAAATGAAAGAAGCCAGCACTTTGGGAGGCTGAGGCAGGTGGATCATGAGATCAGGAGTTCAAGATCAGTCTGGCCAACACAGTGAAGCCCTGTCTCTACTAAAAATACAAAAATTTAACCAGATATTGTGGTGTGCTCCTCTAATCCTAGCTACTCGGGAGGCTGAGGCAGAAGAATCACGTGAACCCAGGAGGCAGAAGTTGCAGCTAGCTGAGATAGTGCCATCGCACGCCAGCCTGGGAGACAGTATGAGACTCCATCTCAAAAAAAAAAAAAGAGAAAAAAGAGAAAAAGGAAAGAAGGCTCTATTGGAGCCTGGATAGGGGGAAATACACCAGAGAGGGACAGGGGTCAAAACAGGAAAGTCACAGGAACCAGAATTGGTAAGAGGTAGGAAAATCTTGTGTTCTGTTTTCCTGATTAATCATCAGGGGCCACCACATTTTGAAATATGATAATAATAACTGTATCAGATGACACTTCACATAAAAATATACACAGGGCATGAAACACTGTCCTCAGCAAGAAACCTCAACAATTGGGGGGAAAAAAAAACACCAAGGGCGTGGAGGGCCCTGAGAACTCTCACATCTACAGGAGTCTGCAGCCTGTTCTGGGCACTGGGGTGCAACCAAGATCACAAAAATCCCTGTCCTCATGGAGCTCACGCTGTCATGGAGGGGAAGACAGACATGCAAAGAGATCTAGAATGTAAGGTCAGGTGTTGAGAAGAACCCTGGAGGGAGCAGAGCAGGGAAAGGTCAGAAAGGGAAGACCCAGGGTATCTGAAGGAGGTGTCAGGAAAGAAATCTAAGGATGCCCTGATGTGAGCAGGACCTGAGGGCAGTGTGGAGGGGGCCATGCGGACCCCTGGGGAAGAGGATTGCAAACAGAAAAATGCCAAGGTCAGAAGTGTTGAAGGAATGGGGGTCATGGGGCTGACCTTGACCTAGTAGGATAGTAGGACACACACACATACACACACACAGACACACATGCCGCTTTTGTGTGTGTGTGTGCGTGTGTTTGTATGTGTGTGTGTCTGTGTCTTCAAGGCTGAGGACTGAAGAGAACTTCTCAGGACCCAGGGCCCCATGTTTTCACACCAATACATAGCTCTCAATATTGACTGATGCTCTCTCCACCTCCTAGCATCACTTTTAAACTTCTGGAACCCACCCACGACTGCCCAAGTCACGATTGAAGCCCAGCCAACCAAAGTTTCTGAGGGGAAGGATGTTCTTCTACTTGTCCACAATTTGCCCCAGAATCTTACTGGCTACATCTGGTACAAAGGGCAAATCAGGGACCTCTACCATTACATTACATCATATGTAGTAGACGGTCAAATAATTATATATGGGCCTGCATACAGTGGACGAGAAACAATATATTCCAATGCATCCCTGCTGATCCAGAATGTCACCCAGGAAGACGCAGGATCCTACACCTTACACATCATAATGGGAGGTGATGAGAATAGAGGAGTAACTGGACATTTCACCTTCACCTTATATCGTGAGTGATTCCACATGATCCCTGGGTGTTGGGGGACAGGGGTCACTTCTACTTCACACACACAGGATTGTCAGGCCTGGACATTGCCTGTGTCCCTCTCTGCATTATGTCCCATGCTGGGGTTTGGGCATTTAGTGCAGGACACACACAGAGGAGACAAATTTCAACAGATCAGAATTCCTTTCCCGCATCCAGACCCTGCAGACACTCGCTGCAGAGGAAGGACAGTCTGATGGGGGGACTCAGCAGGAGGAGATCAGTCTCAGACAAGCACCTCATGCCCTCTTCATAAATTTGACCCTGAGAAAGACCCTGGAGAACTGAGTAGGGCTTGGCCTGAGGAGCCCCTGAGATACTCTCAGAGAAGCTCAGCCCTAGAAGCCTCACCCCCAGAACAGTGTCCCTAAATCCTTGCTCCAGATAAATCTGAGGAGCCTGTGCTGGGGCTGGGTTGTGGCTTCTTGGGCAGGGCTTACTGGGACCGAGGATTTACCAGCTGTCAGAGGACTGTGTCTCCTGGAGCTGTTCACCAGCCAGGGCTCAGCCCTCAGAGCCTCATCTGGGCAAGGACAGAGTTTTCTTCACCTGACACTCAGAGTGGAGAGGACAGAAAGACAAGCTTTGTAGGCCATCAGACAACTGCCTTAGGAGGCTTAGGCCAGTCCATAGAAAGTCTAATGTCCCCAGAAGCAGAAACACAAGAGAGAAGATGTACCTGGTAGCAGCTTGCCCACAGGGATCTGACGCAAAGGGGCTTTCTCATGGAAGCAAATTAATAATAAATGCTATTTGTGTGAAACCTCCACTGTGCCAAGCATTAGGTCAGGTGACTGTGAATCATTTAACATTTATTCACAGATAGCATGAAAAGCCACTGTCCATTTGCCATTTAGCTTATCTGATTGACAGAAAACTGAGGTACAGGAAGACACAGTCCCTGAGCCAGAGTCACACAATCACAAAGGGGAGATCAGGGTCACATGAGGTGTGTCCGCAGCCACAGGCTCATCCTCTCCTCCACCAGAAGTGAGGGCTCACTGGCTTCCAAGCACCCCATAGTCATTTATTGGCTCAAAACCTCTCTTCTTAGGCATCCAAACCTCAGAGGAGTGAGAGAAAATGGTCAACTGATTAGTCTGTACTCCAGAACTAAATCACCTGCCTCAACCATCAGAGTCAGTGGAAAAAACATGTCCAGGCCTCCCCCTCAGATCTTAGCCCCCATCACTGAACCTGAAATCCTGTGTTTCCCAAAGTGTCCATGTCACTGTCATGAGAGGATCAAGGAGAGGACCTTTTCTTTCCCCACTCACACCCTACACCAGCACAGGCCCAGCGAGACAGACACACACTCAGGAGCTCTCACATAACAAATGAAGGAATGGAATGAAATGAATGATCCAAAACCTCTTTAGAGACTGAATTTGCATGCAGAATCCTAGGAGTTTCTAGCCACACCTGTCCCTTGTCCTTCAGAGGCTGACACCCATGTTTCATCCCCCCACTACCTCTTGCCCCTAAAGCCACCCCAGCTCATGTAATTCTGAAGCTCTTTGGCCACTGGAGGGTTCTCAGGGCTCTTTGGTCCTGGACTGTGGAGCTGGGGGCACCTGGTCCCTGGGGTTTTTGAAGTCAGTGTCTCCCTCACTGCTCACTGCCATGGTGTCTCTGCCTCTCTCTGCTTCTCTGTGTCCCTCATCTTCCTCCCACTTCATTCTGACTGGCAAGCCCTGTCCTGCACAGCTTCTTCCCCCACCCCTAGGCCTTCCCCAGACACTCCCTCTGACTAGGCTGGCTGTTCTGTTCCCTTCCCACTAACACTGTGGCCTGGCCCACCTCCCAGGAAATAGGAAAGGTGCAGAAATCACCTGGAGTTGCCACTCCTGCCAGGCTTCATCTCGAGCCAATGTCCCCAGGTCACTAAGAGAATGAGCTTCCACTGTATTCCCATCCAGGGCTCTTTCCCTTTGTGAGGCTGACCTGTGGACAAGACAATGGGACAGGGATAGGCAGTTCCTCCATCCACTCATAATTGCCAGGCAAGTTCTTCTGGCCTCCTGCACAAAAAAAAAAAAAAAAAAAAAAAAAAAAAAAATTATTGAAATGTTGGTTTCTAGTCAAGAAAGATTTTAACGACTCCAAGTCTGCCAAACAGGAGGACAGAGGTTTATTATTACTCAAATCAGCCTCCCCAGTGGATCAGGGGTTAGAGATATTCAAGGGTAGTTTCAGGAGCACAGGACTAAAAAATAAGTACTGCTGATTGTTTGGTGATGGAATCATGTGGGCGGAGGGAAATGATCTGTTTGCCCTTAAATCTGACTCTAGGTAGGGACCACATGACTGGCTGAGCCATTAGTCATAGGTATGGATGAGGTCAGCCGGTTGCCAGAATGCAAAAGAATGAGAAACATCTCAAAAGACCAATCTCACGTTCTACAATAGTGATGTTATCTATAGGAGCAATTAGTTACAACTTTTGTAAACTCTTGCCAAATGACATCGGAGCAGTCAGGGATTATAGAAACTGTGCCAACATTTTAGCAGAATTCAGTTCCCTCCTATAACCTTAATCTCATGGTCTTTCACTAGTTTTACAAAGGCAGTCCCTGGGCAAAGTAAGGGTGTTAGTTTTATGGAGGAACTATTATCATTCTTGCTTCAAATTTAAACCATAAACTAAATTCCTCCCAAGGTTAGCCTGGCCTATGCCCAGCAATGAGTGAGGACAGCCAGCCTGAGACTAGATGCCAGATGGAGTCAGGCATGCTAGTTTCCTGTCACTGTTGTAATCTTTGCACGGACTCACCAGGGTGTCAGAGGCTGGACAGGCCTGCAGTCCCCAAAGCCCATGGGCTCATTTCGCCCATGACTCCATCCTCAACCTGCTATGGAGCTCACATTCTCTGGTCACTTCCTAGAGACTTCTGGCTTCCTGTCAGGCATATAACAAGCTTGAAATTTGTCATTCGGTTCTAACACTAAGTAAAAAGCTGAACAAACTCAAAAGTCAACAACTCGTTAAACTCCCTCAGAGATGGCTGGGCACAGTGGCTCACACCTACAATACCAGCACTTTCGGAGGCCGAGGCGGGCACAAGGTCAGGAGATAGAGACCATCCTGGCTAACATGGTGAAACCTCGTCTCTACTAAAAATACAAAAAATTAGCCAGCCATGGTGGCGGGCCCCTGTAGTCCCAGCTACTTGGGAGGCTGAGGCAGGAGAATGGCGTGAACCTAGGAGGCAGAGCTTGCAGTGAGATGAGATCATGCCACTGCACTCCAGCCAGGGTGACAGAGTGAGACTCTGTCTCAGAAAAAAAAAATGCTGTTAGAGAAATGAAGAATGCTTTTGATGCTTACTGGTAGACTGCACACAGCTGAGGAAAGAATCCCTAGCTTGAGGATACGTCAATAGAAACTTCCAAAACTGAAACAGGAAAGTTCAAAAAGAGTGGGGTAAAAAAGTGGAACAACATTTCAACTTCATATTTAATATTTTGTTTTGACAATAGCAATTTTTAAATTTTGTAGCTGTGGGACAACTACAAAGGCTGTAACATACATGTAATGGGAATACTGGTGGTTTTGGGGACCAGTTGGAGGTGGCCAGGTGGGTGCTATCTGATGGTTTTACTGCCTTTGCCACATACAACTGTTTCCTCATGTTGATGCCATTTTCATAAGTTGGAGTTCTGCGTGTGGGGAGACACATGAGCCATTGCCATCTCACTTAGACTCTTCCTAATTCACACAAACTTAAACTCTAGTGGTGTTTCCTGAGCTTAAGAGAAAATGAAGAAAGCATTTCACATACCTGTTTTGGGGTCCTCCCCATTTTTCCTAACTCTGCACAGAATTTAGAAGCAGGGAGTTCTTTCTATATTTACTAACATAACACACATCACTTCTTTTAATTTGGCATCATTCCTCCCTTTATGTAATTGACACACTACCCAGTTCGGTCCTTTTAACGGGACTCTCTCTACTTAAGGAGTTGCTAATTTCAAATCACCATTGGCATCTTTCTTTGAGCATAATGTGATCCTGCTGGAATTCATGGCACACCTAAACCTTATGTTGGTCTCAAGAGAAATACTACTACCAGCAATTGATCTTAGATGTTTGGACCATCAGTAAAAATTTCCACTCATGAAAACATTTTAATGTTTCCTCCAAATATTTTTTGTTACTAGAGTCAGAACATAACATGAGGTCTAAACTCCTGACAACTTTTTATGGGAAAATTACAGTATTACAAATTGAGCATCCCAAATCCAGAAATCCACAATCTGAAATGCTCCAAAACTCAACACTTCTGACCACTGATGTGATGCTAAAAAGAAGTGCTCACTGGCGCATTGTGCATTTTAAATTTTTCAGATTTGGGATGCTAAACCAGTACATGTACTGCAAATATTCCAAAACAAAAAAAAATTAGAAATCCAAAACACTTTGTTTTAAGCCTTCTGCATAAGGAGCACTTTATCTGTATGAACTATAGACATGAGGCTGTACAGGAGATCTCTAGAACCTCCTCATCCTGCATAACTGAAACTGCACAACCATGGAACAACGCCCTATTGCCCTGATCCCAGCTCGTAGAAACTCCTATTCTACTCTCTGATTCACTCTGGAATCCACTGATATCAGGTACATAGAGTAGTCAAATTCAGAATCAGAGAGTAGAATGTCTAATGAGAGAAAGTATCTGCAAGGCTTCTTCCCAAATATTGGTCTAATATCCACCAAACACATATGGTCCATGAGGGCCAGACTTCCATCATCTGTTCATGTTCGCCCTTTCCACCAGTCGGTTCTGCATTTGCAAACATCCACATGTATTTCCAAAAAGATCCACATGGTCCTCACCTGCCCTCTACAGGGGGAAGGGAGCATCATGGATCCAGAACAGGGAACGTGGTCTTGGTCCAAAGCTATCAGTTCTTGCCTGTCCCCTTCACTCTCTGTAGGTCATTCCTTGGACTCTGCTCTATCTTTAGAGGTCACTGGCTCAAGTCAGCCACTATGAGACACCTGGGAAAACTGCGCCACCTTGTGGCTCCACTGCCTGATGACTGAACTGACCTCCGGACTTGACTCTGTTCTCCCCTGTGTTATTTCTGCTGAAGTACCCAGTCCCAGGCCAGGCTTTCCAGTACCCAAAGGGTTTAAAGACAATTGGAAGTTCCATCACCCATCTCTAGGATGTCCTTGGCAAGGGAAGCTGCAGAGAAAACATACCTTGGGCGGCAAAGTAAGACTGAAACTAAGAAGATTCCAGCACTGCATGCTCCAAGTGAGGACCACAAGGTGGGCCAGGCAGGCAGTTGGAGACGGAGGGACTCAGAGAGGCAACAGGGGCTGTGACTGCTGGTCCTGTGTCTTTCCATGACCCAATGCTGCTGCTCAATTCACACTTGAGAAAGTCTGTGTTTCTACATGAAGCAGGCAGCCTCACAACCTCTGAGCCCTCAGATTGCCCTGCATCTGTCTTGCAACACACACACCTGCCATGGGCTTTTAAGGACTTGGGTGGGCTGAGAGGTGGGAAATGCCAACTCTGATTGAAAAATGCCTTTGGAGGAATCAAAGGTGCCACACAGGGCAATCTTCTCTCTGTTTTCTGCACAGTGGAGACTCCCAAGCCCTCCATCTCCAGCAGCAAATTAAACCCCAGGGAGGCCATGGAGGCTGTGAGCTTAACCTGTGATCCTGAGACTCCGGACGCAAGCTACCTGTGGTGGATGAATGGTCAGAGCCTCCCTATGTCTCACAGGTTGCAGTTGTCTGAAACCAACAGGACCCTCTTTCTATTGGGTGTCACAAAGTACACTGCAGGACCCTATGAATGTGAAATACGGAACCCAGTGAGTGCCAGCCGCAGTGACCCATTCACCCTGAATCTCCTCCGTGAGTATTTTCTGTTCCTCTGTGAGCCAGGCTGCCATCCCAAATACACGTGGCCAGAGACCAGGCCTCTCAGTCCCTCTCAGGTCCAAGTACAGAGACCTTTACCCCTGGACATCAAACCTGGCCATGACTTTCTGCCCCAGGCAAACCAGAGTAGGCCTAGGCTTGATCAACAATAGGAGAAAAGAGGCTGCTCCTGTCATGGGAGACTCAGCGTCCACAGCTTGTGATGGGAGAAACAGGTGAATGTCTCAGGCTCCAGATCAGTGAACACAGCTGGGATTTGGCTGGGACTTCAATGTTGTGACTTGGCTCACAGGGTCACTGTGATTGTGGTGCTTCCACAGACGAGATTTTCCCTTCCCTCTGAAAATATCGCCTGTGACATTATTCTCTTTGCTCCACATGGCCTGGATGCCCCCACCATTTCCTCCTCATACACCTATTACCATACAGGGGAAGTCCCCAAGCTCTCCTGCCTCACAGACTCTCACCCACTGGCAGAGCATTCTTGGCTGATTGATGGGAAGTTCCAGCAATCAGCACAAGTGTTCTTTATCCCCCAAATCACTAAAACATATAGAGGGGTCTATGTCTGTTTCATCCATAACTCAGCCACTGCTGGAACAAATCTCATAATCAAGAGGATCATAGTCCCTGGTAAGTGGATCCCTGGAGCATTGGCACTATGTTTTCCAGTGAAGTCTATCTAGTTATCAGGGAAGAGCCACCTGCCCTCTGCAAAGGGAGAGGGAAAATCAAAAACCCAGGACAGGGAATATGTTTCTGCTCCAAAACCACCAGCTTTTGCCTGTCCCCTTCACTCTTTCTAGATCATTCTTTAGACTATACACTAACAATGAACAATCCGAAAGGAAATTAAGGAAAGAATTTCAGTTCACATTAACATCAAAAGGAATAAAATATTTTGGAATAAGTTTAACCAAAAAGTCAAATGATTATACCCTGAAAACTACAAAAGATTGCTGAAACAAGTTAAAGACGATATCAATATATGGAAACACATTTCATTTTCATGGATTGGAGGAATCAATATTGTTAGAAAGATAATATTCCCAAAGTGAGTTGCGGATTCAATGTAACACCTAACAGAATCCCAGTAACATTTTTTGCAGAATTAGAAAACACTGTCCTAAATCTCACCTGACAGGCTCTTATTAATGACTGCCACAACAGATACACTGAGAAAAAGAGGCAACCATGAAAAGGTGGAAAGTTCTGATGACATAGAAAATAGCAATCAGCCTTCAAAGGCTTCACATCCCAAAGCCTTCAAAAATATACGAGTGAGGCATGGCCAGTATGGAATTCACCGAAAACTAATCACCAAGCTAGAAAAGTGGTGAGAGAAAAAAAAAGGGCAAGAATATCTTTGGCTTATCACCTCCCACTTTTGCCTACTAATCTGATGCTGAAAAGAAATGCTCACTGGAGCATTTTAGATTTTGAATCTTTCAGATTTGGGATGCTAAACCAGTAAGTATATGACAAATATTTCAGAATCAAAAAATGTCAGAAATCCAAAACACTTTTTGTCCTAAGTCTTATGCATAAGAAATACTCAATTTGTGTGAACTATAGGCATCAAGCTCTACAGCAGATCTCTAGAACCTCCCCACCTTGCATAAATGAAACTGCACACCCATGAACAACTTCTGATTCTCCCCACTCCCAGCTCCTGGCAACCAGCAGTCTCTTCTCATATTCACTCTGGAATCCACTTACATGAGGTCCCTAGAGTAGTCGAATCCAGGGAATCAGAGAGTAGAATGTCCAGTGAAAGAAAATATTCCCAAAACTTCTCTTCAAATTTGTCTCATATCCATCAAACACACATGGTCCATGAGGACCAGATTTCCAGCAGATCCTTCCCACCCTTTCTACCAGTCAGTGCTGCATTTGCAAATGTCCACATATATTTCTGGAAAGATCCACATGGTCCTCACCTGCCCTCTGCAGAAGGAGAGGAAACTTGAACGCAGGACAGGCAACATAGTTCTGCTCCAAAGCCACCAGCTCTTGCCTGTCGCCTTCACTCTTTCTAGATCATTCCTTGCACTCTGCTCTATCTTTAGAGGTCACTGGTTCAAGTAAGTCATCATGAAACACCTGCAAAAAACTGCCCCACCTTGAGCCTCCACTGCCTGATGACTGAACTGACCTCCAGGCTTGATTCTGGTCTCCCCTGTGTTATTTCTGCTGAAACATCCAGTCCCAGGCCAGGCTGCTCAGTATCTTCAGGGTTTCAGGACCATGGGTAGTCCCATCATTACTCATCTCTAGAATGTCCTTGGAAATGGAAGCTGCAGAGAAATCACATCTAGGGGGACAATGTAGGATGGAATTTGGAAGGGGCCCACCAGTTGCACATTCCAGGTAAGGAACCCAGGGTGAGCCAGCCAGTCAACTGATTAGGGAGGGACTGGGAGGGATACCAGGGGCTGTGACTTCCACTGACGTGTCTGTCCATGACCCAACACTGCTGCTCAATTGACACTTGAGAAAGTCTGTGCTTCCCTAAGACAGAGCAGCTGGCCTCATAGTCTTTGAGCCCTTAGATCATCATGCATCTGTCTTGTGACACACGCACCAGCTATTGGCTTTCAAGGACTCGGGTGGGCTGAGAAGTGGGAGATGCCAACTCTGATTGAAGGATGCCTGTGGAGGAATCAAAGGTGCCACACAGGACAATCTTCTCTCTGTTATCCACACAGCGAAGCTGCCCAAGCCCTACATCACCATCAACAACTTAAAACCCAGGGAGAATAAGGATGTCTTAAACTTCACCTGTGAACCTAAGAGTGAGAACTACACCTACATTTGGTGGCTAAATGGTCAGAGCCTCCCGGTCAGTCCCAGGGTAAAGCGACCCATTGAAAACAGGATCCTCATTCTACCCAGTGTCACGAGAAATGAAACAGGACCCTATCAATGTGAAATAAGGGACCAATATGGTGGCATCCGCAGTTACCCAGTCACCCTGAATGTCCTCTGTGAGTATCTTTTGTTCCTCTGTGGGCCAGGACACCAGCTTAAATCAAAACGACCAGAGGCCAGGCCTCTCACTCTCTCTCTGGTCCAAGTATAGACACCTTCACTTCTGGACATCCGAGCTGGCCATGACTCCCTGCCCTGGGAAAACCTGGGTAGGCACAGCCTTAACCAAGAGTATAAGGGGAGTGGACGCTCTTGTCATGGGAGACTTGGGGCCCACAGCTTGTGATGGGAGAAACAGGTGAATACCTGAGGATTCGGCTCAGTGAACATAGAGGGGGTTGGGCTGGGACTTGAGGGTGTGTCTTGGCTCAGAGGGTCACTGTGTCCCTTTAAGAGACCAGGAACATCCCCTTCCCTCAGATGACATCACCTGTGGCTTTATTCTCTTTGCTCCAGATGGTCCAGACCTCCCCAGAATTTACCCTTCATTCACCTATTACCGTTCAGGAGAAGTCCTCTACTTGTCCTGTTCTGCGGACTCTAACCCACCGGCACAGTATTCTTGGACAATTAATGGGAAGTTTCAGCTATCAGGACAAAAGCTCTTTATCCCCCAAATTACTACAAAGCATAGCGGGCTCTATGCTTGCTCTGTTCGTAACTCAGCCACTGGCAAGGAAAGCTCCAAATCCATGACAGTAAAAGTCTCTGGTAAGCGGATCCCAGTATCCTTGGCAATAGGGATTTAGGTGGAGTCTATCTGGCCTTCAGGGAAGAGTCAGGAAAACATTTTTATTCCCAGCCTGCGTCCCATGGGCACAAGCAAATCCCAAATTCTCCTCCTAAACCCTCCAAATTTGTCTAAGAACTTTGAAAACTTTAACAAACAGGCTGATATCTTCATAAAATTCCCAGCCTAGACCAAGCAGGAAAAACATTGATTTCAATGAAATAATTGATAATAATGAGGATAATGTTTTTATGATTTTCATTTGAAAATTTGCTGATTCTTTAAATGGTTTGTTTTCTACATTGACGGAATTTTTCTCTTTTAACCTATCTGTAGCTTATAGCAGTTCAATAAACTATACCGCAGTTTATTGAACTGTAATTGAAATATTTACTTTTGCTTTCTACCTGACTGCCCCAGAATTGGGCAACTATTCATGAGAATTGATATGTTTATGGTAATACACATATTTGCACAAGTACAGCAACAATCTGCTCTCTTTGTAACAGGACACATTTCAAATCATTGGTTATATTACCAAGGCTTTGACTGGGATGTTATATTTAAGGATATAGATAGAATGAACCAGTATGAACTGCAGGCAAAGTCTGAAGTCAGCCTTGGTTTGGCTTCCTATTCTCAAGAGTTTTGTAAAAGTTTAATCTCAGATTCCTTATAAAAACTTAGAGAAAAGAAAATTTTAAAAGAGAGCCTACACGGTCCATTGCTACTCTTGCTGCACTTATGTAAACAATCAGACCACGTTTGAAGAAACTCAACCTATTTTGCAAACAAACTTATTCTACTGAAATTATCATTGGTAAAACTAGAGATGCCCATAGAGAGAAAAATTATGTGGAAAATAAAAACTGTAGTACACCTGTTATGAGATTGCATCTCTGTTCATTGTTTCTGTGTTTTTATTATCCACCTGTAGACTGGACATTACCCTGAATTCTACTAGTTCCTCCAATTCCATTTTCTTCCATGGAATCGCTAAGAAAAAGACCCACTCTGTTCCAGAAGCCCTATAAGCTGGAGGTGGACAACTCAATGTAAATTTCATGGGAAAACCCTTGTACCTGAAGGGTGAGCCACTCAGAACTCACTAAAATGTTCGACACCATAACAACAGATGCTCAAACTGTAAACCAGGACAACAAGTGGATGACTTCACACTGTGGACAGTTTTTCCCAAGATGTCAGAACAAGACTCCCCATCATGATGAGGCTCTCACCCCTCTTAACTGTCCTTGCTCATGCCTGCCTCTTTCACTTGGCAGGATAATGCAGTCATTAGAATTTCACATGTAGTAGCTTCTGAGGGTAACAATAGAGTGTCAGATATGTCATCTCAACCCAAACTTTTACATAACATCTCAGGGGGAAATGTGGCTCTCTCCACCTTGCATACAGGACTCCCAATAGAAATGAACACAGAGATATTGCCCGTGTGTTTGCAGATAAGATGGTTTCTATGAAGAGGTAGGAAAGCTGAAATTATAATAGAGTCCCCTTTAAATGCACATTCTGTGGATGGCTCTCGCCATTTCCTAAGAGATACATTGTAAAATGTGACAGTAATACTGATTCTAGCAGAATAAAACATGTACCACATTTGCTAATACTGTTCTCTTAAAATAATTTCAAAAGAATGGGGTGGGCCCTCCCATGTGTCCAGGCCAGGTCTCTGAAAAGAATCCTCCATCTGCAGTAACAATGCCTAAGAAGATGACATGGACTTGGTCCTGATATGCAGCTATTCCTGTATACCCTTCCCCTGCTGCAGGGCCTTACCAACCCAGGGCCCAAATCTTCAGCTGCAGAGCTGAGAGAGAACATGCGATAACTGGCATCCCTTACCTTCTTCCAGTCCACTGCAGTGGCTACTGGCATGGTCCATTTACCCCTGAGGACACCCATCTGCTGACCCACAGTTTCTAAGAGTCAGACTTTCCTGGTTTCTCTGAGCCCCAGCTGCTTTCACTCTGCTGAACCCTTCTTCTCACCACAGGTGGCATTGCCTTAGCAGACACCTCTTTCAGCTGCAGCTAACAGGTAAGCCAAGACCCAGACCCCAGAGGATAAACAAGGATTTCAAAACCTACTGTGTCCAATGGAGATGCCCACTTGTGGGCAGCAAGTCACCCAGGTGCCGAGGCAAGAGACCGAGGGCATGAGCTGTTCCAGTATAATAAGATATAAAAGAAGAATAGTTATACCAGATATAGATCTTAGATACGATTATATATGAATATTATTAATCACTACTTGGTAGCAATTACTCTTTATTCCAGTATTAAAATAATCCTCATTTCTATAATCATAACCTAGGAAAAGCCAGGCCATACAGAGATAGGAGCTGAGGAGACATAGTGAGAAGTGACCAGAAGACAAGAGGGCGAGCCTTCTGTTATGCCCAGACAGGGCAACTAGAGGGCTTCTTGGTCTAGCGGTAACGACAGCGTCTGGGAAGATGCCCATTGCCAAGCGGGCCCTGGTCTAGCAGTAGCCTCAGTGTCAAGGAAAAACACCAGCTACTTAGCAGACTGGGAAAGCTACTTAGAGTCTCCCTTTCCCCGTGGGAGTTTAGAGAGGACTCTACTCCTCCACCTCTTGTGGAGGGCCTGACATTAGTCAGGTCCACCCGCAGTTATCTGGAGGCCTGACCGTCTCCCTATGATGCTGTGCTTCAGTGGTCACACTCCTAGTCTGCCTTCATGTTCCATACTGTTCACCTGGCTCTGCTGTTTAGTTAGCAGTAGCAAATTAGTGAAAGTACTAAAAGTCTCTAATAAGCAGAAATAATGCTGTAAGCTCTCTCTCTCTTTCTCCTCTCTCTCTCTGCCTCAGCTGACAGGCAGGGAAGGGCCCCCTGTCCAGTGGACATGTGACCCCTGTGGCCTTACCTATCATTGGAGATGGCTCACACTCCTTATCCTGACACTTTATCTTGTATCCAATAAAAATCAGTGCAGCCTGGCATTCGGTGCCACTACTGGTCTCTGCGTCTTGGTGGTAGTAGTCCCCCGGGCCCAGCTGTCTTTTCTTTTATCCCTTCGTCTTGTGTCTTTATTTCTACAATCTCTCATCTCTGCATATGGAGAGAAAAACCCACCGACCCTGTGTGGCTGGTCCCTACACCCACTGTACAGAGACATAAAGAAGTAGAGATGTATACAACTCCCCCAACAACATTGTATCCCAAAACAACATCATCTCTGCCCCTCATCATGGAATTCACTGTCTCTCACCATGTGGGCAAGTGCTTCCAGAGTCACAATTCTTCCACAAGAGTCAATGCACACTTTAACACAGCACTTCAGCAAATAAAGTGGTGACAGTTTACCTACTTAGATTAAGTTTCTTAAAAGATTCTCCCAAATTTCCCCATGAAGAAGACAGAAATGGCTTTCCCAATTGTGAAACATTGGCCTCCCCACCTTTCAAAAAAGGACCCCTGAATAGCCAAAACAATCTTGCCAAAATAAATTGTAGGACTTGAATTTTCTTATTTGAAATCTCACAAAGCAGTACAATTATTAAAACAGAAGTTGCTGCCAAAGAATAGACATAAGCTGCTGGCAAAAGAATGGACATAAAGACAAATGGGATAGAATTGAGAGCCTAGAAATAAACCCTCACACTTATGGTCAATTACTCTTTGAAGAGGGTGTCAAGACAATTTAATGGAGGAACAATTCTCCTTTCTAATGATAGTGCAGAAACAACTAGATAACCACATGCAAAACAGTGAATTTAGATAACTCTACCTCCCACCATATCAAACAATTCTCTAAAAAATTGATCAGTGAGTTAAATATAAGACCTATAACCATAAAAACATCTTAAAATAGACATAGAGGTAAATATTAATGACCTCAAATGTGCAATGGATTCTTAGATATGACACAAAAGCATAAGAAACAAAAAAAAGATAAATTGGGCTTTATAAAGATGTGAGCATTTTGTGCATCAAAGGAAAATATCAAGAAAATAATTAATAGACAAGGAATGAGAGAAAATATTTGCAAACCACATATAGGCAGTTTTCATGTCCAGATAATATCAAGAACTAGCTACAACTCAATAACAAAGTGAGAAACCATCCAATTTATAAATGGACAAAAGACTCAAATAGACATTTCTTCAAAGAAGATATACAAATAGTCAAGAAGGACATGAAAAGATACTCAACATCATTAGTCATTAGGAAAATACAAAGTCAAAGCTGCAATGAGACACCACATCACACCTACAAAACTGGCTACCATTCTTTTAAATTGTAAAATAACAAGTGGCAGCATTATGTAGAATTTGGAATCCTCATACATTGCTGGTGAGAATATAAAAAGGTACAGCCACTAGGAGAAACAGTTTTGCTGTTCCTCAAAAAGCTAATTATAGGGTCCTGGAGCCAAGATGGCCGAATAGGAACAGCTCCAGTCTACAGCTCCCAGCGTGACAGACAGCACCTGGAAAATTGGGTCATTCCCACTCTAATACTGCGCTTTTCCGATGGGCTGGAAAAATAGCACACCAGGAGATTATATCCCGCACATGGCTCAGAGGGCCTTATGCCCATGGAGTCTCACTGATTGCCAGCACAGCAGTCTGAGATCAAACTGCAAGGCAGCAGCGCAGCTGGGGGAGGAGCGCCCACCATTGCCCAGGCTTGCTTAGGTAAACAAAGCAGCCGGGAATCTCGAACTGGGTGGAACCCACCACAGCTCAAGGAGGCCTGCCTGCCTCTGTAGGCTCCACCTCTGGGGGCAGGGCACAGACAAACAAAAAGACAGCAGTAACCTCTGCAGACTTAAATGTCCCTGTCTGACAGCTTTGAAGAGAGCAGTGGTTCTCCCAGCATGCAGCTGGAGATCTGAAAACGGTCAGACTGCCTCCTCAAGTGTGTCCCTGACCCCTGACTCCCGAGCAGCCTAACTGGGAGGCACCCCCCACTAGGGGCAGACTGACACCTCACACGGCCGGGTACTCCTCTGAGACAAAACTTCCAGAGGAACGATCAAACAGCAGCACTTGTGGTTCACGAAAATCCGCTGTTCTGCAGACACAGCTGCTGGTACCCAGACAAACACGGTCTGGAGTGGACCTCTAGCAAACTCCAACAGACCTGCAGCTGAGGGTCCTGTCTCTTAGAAGGAGAACTAACAAATAGAAAGCACATCCACACCAAAAACCCATCTGTACATCACCATCACCAATTACCAAAACTAGATAAAACCTCAAAGATGGGGAAAAAACAGAACAGAAAAATGGAACTCTAAAAAGCAGAGTGCCTCTCCTCCTCCAAAGGAACGCAGTTCCTCACCAGCAATGGAACAAAGCTGGATGGAGAATTACTTTGATGAGTTGAGAGAAGAAGGCTTCAGACGTTCAAACTACTCCAAGCTACAGGAGGAAATTCAAACCAAAGGCAAAGAAGTTGAAAACTTTGAAAAAAATTTAGACGAAGATATAACTAGAATAACCAATACAGAGAAGTGCTTAAAGGAGCTGATGGAGCTGAAAACCAAGGCTCAAGAACTATGTGAAGAATGCAGAAGCCTCAGGAGCCGATGCGATCAACTGGAAGAAAGGGTATCAGTGATGGAAGATGAAATGAATGAAATGAAGTGAGAAGGGAAGTTTAGAGAAAAAAGAATAAAAAGAAATGAGCAAAGCCTCCAAGAAATATGGGACTATGTGAAAAGACCAAATCTACGTCTGATTGGTGTACCTGAAAGTGACGGGGAGAATGGAACCAAGTTGGAAAACACTCTGCAGGATATTATCCAGGAGAACTTCCCCAATCTAGCAAGGCAGGCCAACATTCAGATTCAGGAAATACAGAGAACGCCACAAAGATACTCCTCGAGAAGAGCAACTCCAAGACACATAATTGTCAGATTCACCAAAGTTGAAATGAAGGAAAAAATCTTAAGGGCAGCCAGAGAGAAAGCTTGGGTTACCCACAAAGGGAAGCCCATCAGACTAACAGCGGATCTCTCGGCAGAAACTCTACAAGCCAGAAGAGAGTGGGGGCCAATATTCAACTTTCTTAAAGAGAAGAATTTTCAACCCAGAATTTCATATCCAGCCCAACTAAGCTTCATAAGTGAAGGAGAAATAAAATACTTTACAGACAAGCAAATGCTGAGAGATTTTGTCACCACCAGGCCTGCCCTAAAAGACCTCCTGAAGGAAGCACTAAACATGGAAAGGAATAACCTGTACCAGCCACTGCAACATCATGCCAAATTGTAAAGACCATCGAGACTAGGAAGAAACTGCATCAACTAACCAGCAAAAGAACCAGCTAACATCATAATGACAGGATCAAATTCACACATAACAATATTAACTTTAAATGTAAATAGACTAAATGCTCCAATTAAAAGACACGGACTGGCAAATTGGATAAAGAGTCAAGACCCATCACTGTGATATATTCAGGAAACCCATCTCACGTGCAGAGACACACATAGGCTCAAAATAAAAGGATAGCGGAAGATCTACCAAGCAAATGGAAAACAAAAAAGGCAGGGGTTGCAATCCTAGTCTCTGATAAAACAGACTTTAAACCAACAAAGATGAAAACAGACAAAGACAGCCATTACATAATGGTAAAGGGATCAATTCAACAGGAAGGGCTAACTATCCTAAACATATATGCACCGAATACAGGAGCGCCCAGATTCATAAAGCAAGTCCTGAGTGACCTACAAGGAGACTTGGACTCCCACACAATAATAATGGGAGGTTTTAACACCCCACTGTCAACATTAGACAGATCAATGAGGCAGAAAGTTAAAAAGGATACCCAGGAATTGAACTCAGCTCCGCACCAAGCGGACCTAATAGACATCTACAGAACTCTCTACCTCAAATCAACAGAATATACATTTTTTTCAGCACCACACCACACCTATTCCAAAATTGGCCACATACTTGGAAGTAAAGCTCTCCTCAGCAAATGTAAAAGAACAGAAATTATAACAAACTATCTCTCAGACCACAGTGCAATCAAACTAGAACTCAGGATTAAGAAACTCACTTTAAACTGCTCAACTACATGGAAACTGAACAACCTGCTCCTGAATGACTACTGGGTACATAATGAAATGAAGGCAGAAATAAAGATGTTCCTTGAAACCAGCGAGAACAAAGACACAATATACCGGAATCTCTGGGACACATTCAAAGCAGTGTGTAGAGGGAAATTTATAGCACGAAATGCCCACAAGAGAAAGCAGGAAAGATCCAAAATTGACACCCTAACTTCACAATTAAAAGAACTAGAAAAGCAAGAGCAAACACATTCAAAAGCTAGCAGAAGGCAAGAAATAACTAAAATCAGAGCAGAACTGAAGGAAATAGAGACACAAAAAACCCTTCAAAAAATTAATGAATCCAGGAGCTGGTTTTTTGAAAGGATCAACAAAATTGATAGACTCCTAGCAAGACTAATAAAGAAGAAAAGAGAGAAGAATCAAATAGATGTAATAAAAAAATGATAAAGGGGTTATCACCAGCGATTCCATAGAAATAAAGACTACCATCAGAGAATACTACAAGCACATCTACGCAAATAAACTAGAAAATCTAGAAGAAATGGATAAATTCCTCGACACATACACCCTCCGAAGACTGAACCAGGAAGAAGTTGAATCTCTGAATAGACCAATAACAGGATCTGAAATTGTGGCAATAATCAATCGCTTACCAAACAAAAAGAGTCCAGGACCAGATGGATTCACAGCCGAATTTTACCACACGTACAAGCAGGAACTGGTACCATTCCTTCTGAACTATTCCAATCAATAGAAAAAGAGGGAATCCTCCCTAACTCATTTCATGAGGCCAGCATCATCCTGATACCAAAGCCGGGCAGAGACACAACCAAAAAAGAGAATTTTAGACCAATATCCTTGATCAACATTGATGCAAAAATCCTCAATAAAATACTGGCAAACCAAATCCAGCAGCACATCAAAAAGCTTATCCACCATGATCAAGTGTGCTTCATCCCTGGGATACAAGGCTGGTTCAATATATGCAAATCAATAAATGTAATCCAGCATATAAACAGAACCAAAGACAAGAACCACATGATTATCTCAATAGATGCAGAAAAGGCCTTTGACAAAATTCAACAATGCTTCATGCTAAAAACTCTCCATAAATTAGGTATTGATGGGACATATCTCAAAATAATAAGAGCTATCTATGACAAACCCACAGCCAATATCATACTGAATGGGCAAAAACTGGAAGCATTCCCTTTGAAAACTAGCACAAGACAGGGATGCCCTCTCTCACCACTCCTATTCAACATAGTGTTGGAAGTTCTGGCCATGGCAATTAGGCCGGAGAAGAAAATAAAGGGTATTCAATTAGGAAAAGAGGAAGTCAAATTGTCCCTGTTTGCAGATGACATGATTGTATATCTAGAAAACCAAATTGTCTCAGCCCAAAATCTCCTTAAGCTGATAAGCAACTTCAGCAAAGTCTCAGCATACAAAATCAATCTACAAAAACCACAAGCATTCTTATACACCAACAACAGACAAACAGAGAGCCAAATCATCAGTGAACTCCCATTCACAATTGCTTCAAACAGAATAAAATACCTAGGAATCCAACTTACTAGGGATGTGAAGGACCTCTTCAAGAACTACAAACCACTGCTCAATGAAATAAAAGAGGATACAAAGAAATGGAAGAACATTCCATGCTCATGGGTAGGAAGAATCAATATTGTGAAAATGGCCATACTACCCAAGGTAATTTACAGATTCAATGCCATACCCATCAAGCTACCAATGACTTTCTTCACAAAATTGGAAAAATCTACTTTAAAGTTCATATAGAACCAAGAAAGAGCCCACATCGCCAAGTCAATCTTAAGCCAAAAGAACAAAGCTGCAGGCATCACGCTACCTGACTTCAAACTATACTACAAGGCTACAGTAACCAAAACAGCATGGTACAGGTACCAAAACAGAAATATAGATCAATGGAACAGAACGGAGCCCTCAGAAATACTGCTGCATATCTACAACTATCTGATCTTTGACAAACTTGAGAAAACAAGCAATGGGGAAAGGACTCCCTATTTAATAAATGGTGCTGGGAAAACTGGCTAGCCATATGTAGAAAGCTGAAACTGGATCCCTTCCTTACACCTTCTAAAAAATTAATTCAAGATGGATTAAAGCCTTAAACGTTAGACCTAAAACCATAAAAACCCTAGAAGAAAACCTAGGCATTACCATTCAGGACATAGGCATGCGCAAGGACTTCATGTCTAAAACACCAAAAGCAATGGCAACAAAAGCCAAAATTGACAAATGGGATCTAATTAAACTAAAGAGCTTCTGCACAGCAAAAGAAACTACCATCAGAGTGAACAGGCAACCTACAAAATGGGAGAAATCTTTGAAATCTACTCATCTGACAAAGGGTTAATATCCAAAATCTACAATGAACTCAAACAAATTTACAAGAAAAAAACAAACAACCCCATCAAAAAGTGGGTGAAGGACATGAACAGAAACTTCTCAACAGAAGACATTTATGCAGCCAAAAAACACATGAAAAAATGCTCACCATCACTGGCCATCAGAGAAATGCAAATCAAAACCACAATGAGATACCATCTCACACCACTTAGAATGGCAATCATTAAAAAGGCAGGAAACAACAGGTGCTGGAGAGGATGTGGAGAAATAGGAAGACTTTTACACTGCTGGTGGGACTGTAAACTAGTTCAACCATTGTGGAAGTCAATGTGGCGATTCTGGAACTAGAAATACCATTTGACCCAGCCATCCTATTACTGGGTATATACCCAAAGGACTATAAATCACGCTGCTATAAAGACACATACACACGTATGTATATTGCAGCACTATTCACAATAGCAAAGACTTGGAACCAACCAAAATGTCAAACAATGATAGACTGGATTAAGAAAATGTGGCACATATACACCATGGAATACTATGCAGCCATAAAAAATGATGAGTTCATGTCCTTTGTAGGGACATGGATGAAATTGGAAATCATCATTCTCATAAACTATCGCAAGAACAAAAAACCAAACACCGCATATTCTCACTCACAAGTGGGAATTGAACAATGAGAACACATGGACACAGGAAGGGGAACATCACACTCTGGGGACTGTTGTGTGGTGGGGGGAGGGGGGAGGGATAGCTTTAGGAGATATACCTAATGCTAAATGACGAGTTAATGGGTGCAGCACAACAGCATGGCACATGCATACATATGTAACAAACCTGCACATTGTGCACATGTACCCTAAAACTTAAAGTATAATAATAAAAAAAAGCTAATCATAGAATTCTCATTTGAAACAACATCTATTCCTAGGTATATACCCAAAGAATTAAATCCAGGGACTCAAACAGGTACTTGCATGGGAATGTTCATTGCAGCATTATTCACAAAAGATAAAATATGAAAACAATCCAAGTGTTCATCAACACATGAATAAACAAATATGGTGACACATACAACAGAATGATAATCTGCCATAAAGAGGAAGGAAGCTCTGACACCCGCTGGAACATGCATGGACTTTGGAAACATTATGCTAAGTGAAATATGTCAGAAACAAAATAACATAATTGTATAATTCCATTTATATGAAGCATCAAGAATAGGCAAATTCATAGAGACAGAGTAGAGAAGATCAAGGTCTAAGGTGGAACATACAGGGAGTTATTGTTTAAAAGATACAAAGTTTCAGTTTAAAATGATAAAAATTTTCTAGGAAAAATACTGGTGATGGTAATTTAACACTGTGTAAGTGGTTAATTTCACTTGATTATGCATTTTAAAGTGGTTAAAATAGCACATTATTCACAGAACTGTGAAAAATAGATTTCTATTATTTAATTCACCCAGGCTAAGGTGTCTGTTATGGCAGCTGAAGCCCATGAATACATCATCTGACCCAGTGTTTCAATGAAAGGCATCAGATTTTCAATCAAGTTAGCTGGAAGCTCCTGTCCCCAGCAGAACCAGACGCCCCAAAACAAGAGCTCCAGCAGGGGCTCAACCAGCACAGGTCCCATAAGGCAGCCTCAATATCAGACCCTGGATGGCATGTGAGGCCACAGTGATACAACCACAACGTGAAAGTGTAAGTATTTTTACTACTTACAGACACTGGGGAGCACTTGGCACACCTGGAGACCACAGACACAGAGGTCAGTGAGCCCATGGAGAGAGGAGAGAAGAGACCGGTAAGCCAATGGCTTTATTAAGTCCAGGGTGTTATCTGACAGGTTTCCAGCAGGGAGCTTTAATGGATGTGTTCAAAGCAAGCAGCAAACACTGGGACCAGGGGCTCACGCTGTGACTGAGAGGTGGTCACTTTAAATGTGAGGGCAAATGTCAGAATTATCAGTTTAAAGAAAGCAGCTGGAGAGAGGGAAACCCAGCACACCAAGCAGGAGAGATGCCTCTAAGATTTTATCTCTGCACACCAACTGGAGCCACCTGAACCAGATACAGTATTGAAACTGCATTGGTGACCAAGCCCTGCCTCTGATTTGAGGCAAATAAACTTACACCATAAAAGATGAATGACAAGGCAACATGACACTATGAGCATCATGACATCCAGGGACACCAGCAGGGTGTGGTACTGTGCCCTGGAGTCAGAATCCTGGGTTCTGGTCCCTGGGAGTGAGAAAATGAAAATGACTTGTCCTTGCCCCCCTGACATTGATCTTCCCACCCTGCTGCTCCCTCTTCTTCTCCCAAGCCCATGTGCACTGCTCAGCCCCAGACATCACTGCCCCCAGGGTATACACAGTGCTGCCTACTGCACACAAACACAAACTCACAGAAGGTGACAAAAATCTGCATTTGGGACATCTGATTGTGAAAGAGGGAGAACAGTGAACATAGAGCCACACAGACTGGGACTCACGGGGCTGGAAGGTGAAGGAGCTATAACATAACATATGTGTGACCTCGTGTGAAGTGTGCAGATCCATGTGGAATAAAACATGCAGCCTGGCCTGGGATTGCTGCCGTTCACATTTCCCTCCCTGTCCACCAGAGGGGGACAGAGTCCCTCCCAGCCTGGAGCCTTCCCAGGGGATGCCAACCGCCCTCAACGGAACCCACAGCCCAGCAGGGTCCACCCTCACCAGGGTCACTTCGGCCCAAGTCCTCAGCGCCCTCCATGCTCCCCACACGGACTCTGTCAGCTCCTCCCTGACCTGGGGGCCGCCAACCTAACACCACTCCCCCTGCAGGGAGCTCCTCCCCACACACCTGCTCCTTCCCTGGGCCCAGCTAAAGGCATCTCCCAGGGCAGTGCTGGTGCACGCGACACTACACTGGGTGCTTTCCCCTCGTGGCCTCCCTCCATCCTCATCAACTCGTTCTGTCACTGCTCCCTAAATGCCTGCCCCTGCTCCATCTGTCCTGTTCTCTGGGGCATCCCAGGCCAAGCCTAGCACTGACACAGAACAGTGGCTGCCTGAGGGCCCACAGCCTCCCCGGGAATCAGCCAGGCACCCTGTGTCCTGCCTGCTCCCTGCACCCCGGGGGGCTCAGAGCACGTGTGATGCTCACACACAGGCACCATCCGGGATGTGGCCACCTACCCCCAGCTGTCCCTTGGGAAGACAGACCTCTCCTGTGTGCTTGCTGGGAGAAGGGGGATGTTATTGCTCTTTGCTCCCAGAACACAACTCACCCCCACACGCCCACTCAGGTGTGAGCAACGTCCCTCCAGACAGGCTCTCTGGCCACTACCTGTTCCTCCTCTACACACAGCAGCTTGGCCAGGTCAAAAACCTCAGGACAGACCCCTGGGTATGTCGGCACATGGATGGCTGAGCCCATCATGGCCACAGAGTAAGTTGGGATGAATCTCTCCAGCTCTGAACCCCTGCTCTGTCCCAGGCTCCCCCTCCTGCATCTCAATGAGCCATGTCCCCCGGGGTTCCTGGGTAACTCCCCACTTCCTCCTGCACCACCACGGGGAAGGTGTGGTGACCACAGGACAATAAGCTGGGCAGAGAAGAGAGGACATCAAAGATGGTCAGGAAGAACATGAGAAACCATGAGCTCCAGCTCAGCCGCCAGACCCCAGGGAGCCATAGAGTGACCGAGAACTGTCCCTTTGACTATGGGACTCACAGCCCCCCACTGAGCAACCAGCACAGGCCTCTCCTCACAAGAGGCATGAGAGATTCATCCTGCACACCTCCAGGAAGGACAGTTTCCTCTGGGACACCCAGGTCCTGAATGTCCATCCTTGGAAGCTGCAGCCAAGCTAGACACGATTAGAAAAAGGAAGGTTCCCTCTCATCAGGCAACACACAGCTCACCCACAGCACAATGGGGTGTCACTGTGACAGGGACCTGGTTCAGCTCCAGCCTCCTGCACTGAAGGGGAGAGCCAGATGGGGATGAAAGAGGCCAAAGGGCATGAATGTGCACCCCGACCCAGAGCCATGGGGACAGCAGGAGGCTGAGGCCCAGGACTCTGCTTGCCCAACCTGCAGGGTATGTTTCTGACTGTGTGGGTCTGTGTGTGTCTCTTCTGTGTGTGTCTGTGTGTGTGTGTGTCTGCACAAAGTGTGTGATGAGGCTTGGTGAAAGAATCACTGCTGAAAAAGGCAGAGGCCTCCACAATTCCCAGGGACCTGAAACACAGACAAAAGGAAAAACAGGAGGGACAAGGAGGCAGGACTGAGAGAGGAGGGGACAGAGAGGTGTCCTGGGCCTGACCCCGCCCATGAACCTGAGAAGTGCTCCTGCCCCGGGAAGAGGCTCAGCGCAGAAGGAGGAAGGACAGCACAGCTGAGAGCCATGCTCAGGAAGTTTCTGGATCCTAGGCTCAGCTCCACAGAGGAGAACACGCAGGCAGCAGAGACCATGGGGCCCCTCTCAGCCCCTCCCTGCACACAGCGCATCACCTGGAAGGGGCTCCTGCTCACAGGTGAGGAGAGAACTTCCTGGGAGAGGACAGGAGGAGGAAGCAGAGTGACTGGATGGGGTCTCCTGGAGAGACTCCTGGGGTTCTAAAAAATAAAAGAAGCCAGCACTTAGGGAGGCTGAGGAGGGTGGATCACGAGATCAGGAGTTCAAGATCAGTCTGGCCAACACAGTGAAGCCCTGTCTCTACTAAAAATACAAAAATTTAACCAGATATTGTGGTGTGCTCCAGTAATCCTAGCTACCCGGGAGGCTGAGGCAGGAGAATCACGTGAACCCGGGAGGAAGAAATTGCAGTGAGCCGAGATAGTGCCACTGCACGCCAGCCTGGGCGACAGTACAAGACTCCGTCTCAAAAAAAAAAAAGAATGGAAAGAAAAAAGAAAAAAAGGAAAGAAGTCTCTGTTGGAGCCTGGATAGGGGAAAATACACCCAAGAGGGACAGGGGTCAAAACAGGAAAGTCACAGGAACCAGAATTGGTAAGAGGTAGGAAAATCTTAAGTGTTCTGTTTTCCTGATTAATCATCAGGGGCCACCACATTTTGAAAAATGATAATAATAACTATATCAGATGACACTTCAAATAAAAATATAAGCAGGGCATGAAACACTGTCCTCAGCAAAAAAACCTCAACAACTGGGGGAAGAAAAAACACCCAGGGCATGGAGGGCCCTGAGAACTCTCACATCTACAGGAGTCTGCAGCCTGTTCCAGGCACTGGGGTGCAAAGAAGATCACAAAAGTCCCTGTCCTCACGGAGCTCACGCTGTCATGGGGGGGAAGACAGACATGCAAAGAGTTCTAGAATGTGAGGTCAGGTGTTGAGAAGAACCCTGGAGGGAGCAGAGCAGGGAAAGGTCAGAAAGGGAAGACCCAGGGTCTCTGAAGGAGGCGTCAGGAAAGAAGTCTAAGGATGCCCTGATGTGAGCAGGACCTGAGGGCAGTGTGGAGGGGGCCGTGCGGACCCCTGGGGAAGAGGATTCCAAACAGAAAAATGCCAAGGTCAGAAGTGTTGAAGGAATGGGGGTCATGTTGCTGACCTTCACCTAGTAGGAGAGTAGGACACAAACACATATACACATGCCCCTTTTGTGTGTGTGTGTGTGTTTGTATGTGTGTGTGTGTGTCTCTTCAAAGCTGAGGATTGAAGAGACCTTCTCAGGACCCAGGGCCACATCTTTTCACCCCAATGCATAGGTCTCAATATTGACTGATGCTCTCTCCACCTCCTAGCATTACTTTTAAACTTCTGGAACTTGCCTACCACTGCCCAAGTCACGATTGAAGCCGAGCCAACCAAAGTTTCCAAGGGGAAGGACGTTCTTCTACTTGTCCACAATTTGCCCCAGAATCTTGCTGGCTACATCTGGTACAAAGGGCAAATGAAGGACCTCTACCATTACATTACATCATACGTAGTAGATGGTCAAATAATTATATATGGGCCTGCATACAGTGGACGAGAAACAGTATATTCCAATGCATCCCTGCTGATCCAGAATGTCACCCGGGAGGACGCAGGATCCTACACCTTACACATCGTAAAGCGAGGTGATGGGACTAGAGGAGAAACTGGACATTTCACCTTCACCTTATACCGTGAGTGACTCCACGTGATCACTGGGTGTTGGGGGATGGGGTCTTTACTTCACACACAAAGGATTGTCAGGCCTGGATTGTGCCTGTGTCCCTCTCTGCATTATGTCCCATGCTGGGGTTTGGGCATTTAGTGCAGGACACACACAGAAGAGACAAATTTCAACAGATCAGAATTCCTTTCCCGCATCCAGACCCTGCAGACACTCGCTGCAGAGGAAGGACAGTCTGATGGGGGGACTCAGCAGGAGGAGATCAGTCTCAGCCAAGCACCTCATGCTCTCTTCATAAATTTGACCCTGAGAAAGACCCTGGCAAACTGAGTAGGGCTTGGCCTCAGGGGCCCCATGAAATACTCTCAGAGAAGCTCAGCCCTAGAAGCCTCACCCCCAGAACCATGTCCCTAAATCCTTGCTCCAGATAAATCTGAGGAGCCTGTACTGGGGCTGGGTTGTCGCTTCTTGGGCAGGGCTTACTGGGACCAAGGATTTACCAGCTGTCAGAGGACTGTGTCTCCTGGAGCTGTTCACCAGCCAGGGCTCAGCCCTCAGAGCCTCATCTGGGCAAGGACAGAGCTTTCTTCACCTGACACTCAGAGTGGAGAGGACAGAAAGACAAGCTTTGTAGGCCATCAGACAACTGCCTTAGGAGGCTTAGGCCAGTCCATAGAAAGTCTAATGTCCCCAGAAGCAGAAACAGAGGAGAGAAGATATACCAGGTAGCAGCTTGTCCACAGGCATCTGACATAAAGGTGCTTTCTCATGGAAGCAAATTAATAATAAATGCTGTTTGTGTGAAACCTCCACTGTGCCAAGAATTAGGTCACGTGACTGTGAATCATTTAACATTTATTCACAGATAGCATGAAAAGCCACAGTCCATTTGCCATTTAGCTTATTTGTTTGAGAGAAAACTGAGGCACAGGAAGCCACAGTCACTGAACCAGAGTCACACAAACACAAAGGGGAGATCAGGGTCACATGAGGTGTGTCTGGAGCCAAAGGCCCACCCTCTCCTCCACCAGAAGTGAGGGCTTACTGGGTTCCAATCACCCTATAGTCATTTATTGGCTCAAATCCTCTCTTCTTAGGCATCCAAACCTCAGAGGAGTGAGAGCAAACGGTCAACTGATTAGTCTGTATTCCAGAACTAAATCACCTACCTCAACCGTCAGAGTCAGTGGAAAAAACATGTCCAGGCCTCCCCCTCAGATCTTAACCACCATCACTGAACCTGAAATCCTGTGTTTCCCAAAGTGTCCATGTCACTGTCACAAGAGGATCAAGGAGAGGACCTTGTTTTCTTTCCCCACTCACACCCTACACCACCATAGGCCCAGCGAGACAGACACACTCAGGAGCTCTTACATAACAAATGAAGAAATGGAATGAAGAAATGAATGATCCAAAACCTCTTTAGAGACTGAATTTGCATGCAGAATCCTAGGAGGTTCTAGCCACACCTGTCCCTTGTCCTTCAGAGGCTGACACCCACGTTTCATCCCCCCACTACCTCTTGACCCTAAAGCAACCCCACCTCATGTAACTCTGAAGCTCTTTGGCCACCGGAGGGTTCTCAGGGCTCCTTGGTCCTGGACTGTGGAACTGGGGGCACCTGGTCCCTGGGGTCTCTGAAGTCAGTGTAGCCCTCACTGCTCACTGCCATGGTGTCTCTGCCTCTCTCTGCTTCTCTGTGTCCCTCATCTTCCTCCCACTTCATTCTGACTGGCAAGCCCTGTCCTGCACAGCTTCTTCCCCCACCCCTAGGTCTTCCCCAGACACTCCCTCTAACTAGGCTGACTGTTCAGTTCCCTTCCCGCTAACACTGTGGCCTGGCCCACCTCCCAGGAAATAGGAAAGGTGCAGAAATCACCTGGAGTTGCCACTCCTGCCAGGCTTCCTCTAGAGCCAATGTCCCCAGGTCACTAAGAGAATGAGTTTCCACTGTATTCCCATCCAGGGCTCTTTCCCTTTGTGAGGCTGACCTGTGGACAAGACCATGGGACAGGGATAGGCAGTTTCTCCATCCACTCTTATAATTGCCAGACAAGTTCTTCTGGCCTCCTGCACACACACACACACACACACACACACACACACACACACACACACACAAATGTATTGAAATGGTGGTTTGTAGTAAAGAAAGATTTTAATGACTCCAAGTCTGCCAAACAGGAGGATGGAGGTTTATTATTACTCAAATCAGCCTCCCCAGTGGATCAGGGCTTAGAGATTTTCAAGGATAGTTTCAGGGGCACAGGACTAAAAAATGAGTACTGCTGATTGGTGATGGAATCATGCGGGCGGAGGGAAATGATCTGTTTGTGCTTGAATCCACCTCTAGGTAGGGACCACATGACGGGCTGAGCCATTAGTCATAGGTATGGATGAGGTCAGCCGGTTGCCAGAATGCAAAAGAATGAGAAACATCTCAAAAGACCAATCTCACGTTCTACAATAGTGATGTTATCTATAGGAGCAATTAGTTACAAATTTTGTAAACTCTGGCCCAACGACATTTGAGCAGTCAAGGATTATAAAAACTCTGCCAACATTTTAGCAGAATTCAGTTCCCTCCTATAATCTTAATCTCATGGTCTTTCACTAGTTTTACAAAGGCAGTCCCTGGGCAAAGTAAGGGTGTTACTTTTACAGAGGAACAATTATCATTCTTGCTTCAAAGTTAAACAATAAACTAAATTCCTCCCAAGGTTAGCCTGGCCTATGCCCAGGAATGAGTGAGGACAGCCAGCCTGAGACTAGATACCAGATGGACTCAGCCATGCTAGTTTGCTGTCACTGTTGTAATCTTAGCACTGACTCACCAGAGTGTCAGAGGCTGGACAGGCCTGCAGTCCCCAAACCCCATGGGCTCATTTCACCCATTTCACTTGTGACTCCATCCTCAACCTGCTATAAAGCTCACATTCTCCGGTCACTTCCTAGAGACTTCTGGCTTCCTGTCAGGCATATAACAAGCTTGAAATTTGTTCCTCGGTTCTAACACTAAGTAAAAAGCTGAACAAACTCAAAAGTCAACAACTCATTAAAATCCCTCAGAGATGGCTGGGCACAGTGGCTCATGCCTATAATCCCAGGACTTTGGGAGGCCGAGGCAGGCACAAGGTCAGGAGATGGAGACCATCCTGGCTAACATGGTGAAACCCCGTCTCTACTAAAAATACAAAAAATTAGCTGGACGTGGTGGCAGGCGCTTGTAGTCCCAGCTATTTGGGAGGCCAAGCCAGGAGAATGGCATGAACCCAGGAGGTGGAGCTTGCAGTGAGATGAGATCATGCCACTGCACTCCAGCCTAGGTGACAGAGCGAGACTCTGTCTCAGAAAAAAAAAAATGTTTTTAGAGACATGAAGAATGCTTTTGATACTTACTGGTAGACTGAACATAGCTGAGGAAAGAATCCCTAGCTTGAGGATATGTCAATAGAAACTTCCAAAACTGAAACAGGAAAGTTCAACAAGAGTGGGGAAAAAAAGTGGAACAACATTTCAACTTCATATTTAATATTTTGATTTGACAATAGCAATTTTTAAATTTTGTAGCTGTGGGACAACTACAAAGGCTATAAGATACACGTAATGGGAATACTGGTGGTTTTGGGGACCAGGTGGAGGTGGCCAGGTGGGTGCTATCTGATGGCTTTACTGCCTGTGCCACATACAACTGTTTCCTCATGATGATGCCGTTTTCATAAGTTGGAGTTCTGCGTGTGGGGAGACACACAAACCATTGGCATCTCACTTAGACTCTTTCTAATTCACACAAACTTAAACACTAGTGGTGTTTCCTGAGCTTAAGAGAAAATGAAGAAAGCATTTCACATACCTGTTTTGGGGTCCTCCCCATTTTTCCTAACTCTGCACAGAAATTAGAAGCAGGTTCTTTCTATATTTACTAACATAACACACATCACTTCTTTTAGTTTGGCATCCTTCCTCCCTTTATGCAATTGACACACTAACCAGTTCTGTCCTTTTAACGGGACTCTCTCTACTTAAGGAGTTGCTAATTTCAAATCACCTTTGGCATCTTTCTTTGAGCATAATGTGATCCTGCTGGAATTCACGGCACACCTAAACCTTATTTTGGTCTCAAGAGAAATACTACTACCAGCAATTGATCTTAGATGTTTGGATCATCAGTAAAAATTTCCACTTATGAAAACATTTCAATGTTTCCTCCAAATTTTTTGCTGTTGTTGTTACTAGAGTCAGAACATAAGGTCTAAACTCCTGACAAATTTTTATGGGAAAATTACAGTATTACAAATTGAGCATCGGAAATCCAGAAATCCACAATCTGAAATGCTCCAAAACTCAACCCTTCTGACCACTGATGTGATGCTAAAAAGAAGTGCTCACTGGCGCATTGTGGATTTTAAATTTTTCAGATTTGGGATGCTAAACCAGTACATGTACTGTAAATATTCCAAAATAAAAAAAATTAGAAATCCAAAACACTTGGTTTTAAGCTTTCTGAATAAGGAGCACTTTATCTGTATGAACTATAGGCATGAAGCTGTACAGGAGATCTCTAGAACCTCCTCATCCTGCATAACTGAAACCGCACACCCACAGAACAACGCCCTATTCCCCTGATCCCAGCTCCTGGAAACTACTATTCTACACTCTGATTCACTCTGGAATCCACTGATATCAGGTACATAGAGTAGTCAAATTCAGAATCAGAGAGTAGAATGTCTAATGAGAGAAAGTATCTGCAAGGCTTCTTCCCAAATATTGGTCTAATATCCACCAAACACATATGGTCCATGAGGGCCAGACTTCCATCATCTGTTCATGTTCGCCCTTTCCACCAGTCGGTTCTGCATTTGCAAACATCCACATGTATTTCCAAAAAGATCCACATGGTCCTCACCTGCCCTCTACAGGGGGAAGGGAGCATCATGGACCCAGAACAGGGAACGTGGTCTTGGTCCAAAGCTATCAGCTCTTGCCTGTCCCCTTCACTCTTTGTAGGTCATTCCTTGGACTCTGCTCTATCTTTAGAGGTCACTGGCTCAAGTCAGCCACTATGAGACACCTGGGAAAACTGCCCCACCTTGTGGCTCCACTGCCTGATGACTGAACTGAACTCCGGACTTGACTCTGTTCTCCCCTGTGTTATTTCTGCTGAAGTACCCAGTCCCAGGTCAGGCTTTCCAGTATCCAAAGGGTTTAAAGACAATTGGAAGTTCCATCACCCATCTCTAGGATGTCCTTGGCAAGGGAAGCTGCAGAGAAAACATACCTCGGGCGGCAAAGTAAGACTGAAACTAAGAAGATTCCAGCACTGCATGCTCCAAGTGAGGACCACAAGGTGGGCCAGGCAGGCACTTCGAGATGGAGGGACTCAGAGAGGCACCAGGGGCTGTGACTGCTGGTCCTGTGTCTTTCCGTGACCCAATGCTGCTGCTCAATTCACAGTTAAGAAAGTCTGTGCTTCTCCCACACGAAGCAGGCAGCCTCACAATCTCTGAGCCCTCAGATTGCCATGCATCTGTCTTGTAACACACACACCTGCCATGGGCTTTTAAGGACTTGGGTGGGCTGAGAGGTGGGAAATGCCAACTCTGATTGAAAAATGCCTTTGGAGGAATCAAAGGTGCCACACAGGGCAATCTTCTCTCTGTTTTCTGCACAGTGGAGACTCCCAAGCCCTCCATCTCCAGCAGCAACTTATACCCCAGGGAGGACATGGAGGCTGTGAGCTTAACCTGTGATCCTGAGACTCCGGACGCAAGCTACCTGTGGTGGATGAATGGTCAGAGCCTCCCTATGACTCACAGCTTGCAGTTGTCCAAAAACAAAAGGACCCTCTTTCTATTTGGTGTCACAAAGTACACTGCAGGACCCTATGAATGTGAAATACGGAACCCAGTGAGTGCCAGCCGCAGTGACCCAGTCACCCTGAATCTCCTCCGTGAGTATCTCCTGTTCCTCTGTGAGCCAGTCTGCCATCCCAAATACACGTGGCCAGAGGCCAGGCCTCTCAGTCCCTCTCAGGTCCAAGTACAGAGACCTTTACCCCTGGACATCAAACCTGGCCATGACTTTCTGCCCCAGGCAAACCAGAGTAGGCCTAGGCTTGATCAACAATAGGAGAAAAGAGGCTGCTCCTGTCATGGGAGACTCAGCGTCCACAGCTTGTGATGGGCAAAACAGGTGACTGTCTCAGGCTCCAGATCAGTGAACACAGCAGGGATTTGGCTGGGACTTCAGTGTTGCAACTTGGCTCACAGGGTCACTGTGGCCCTTCCACAGACCAGGATTTTCCCTTCCCTCTGACAATACCACCTATGACATTATTCTCTTTGCTCCACATGGCCTGGATGCCCCCACCATTTCCTCCTCATACACCTATTACCATACAGGGGAAGCCCCCAAGCTCTCCTGCCTCACAGACTCTCACCCACTGGCAGAGCATTCTTGGCTGATTGATGGGAAGTTCCAGCAATCAGCACAAGTGTTCTTTATCCCCCAAATCACTAAAACATATAGAGGGGTCTATGTCTGTTTCATCCATAACTCAGCCACTGCTGGAACAAATCTCATAATCAAGAGGATCATAGTCCCTGGTAAGTGGATCCCTGGAGCATTGGCACTATGTTTTCCAGTGAAGTCTATCTAGCTATCAGGGAAGAGCCACCTGCCCTCTGCAAAGGGAGAGGGAAAATCAAAAACCCAGGACAGGGAATATGTTTCTGCTCCAAAACCACCAGCTTTTGCCTGTCCCCTTCACTCTTTCTAGATCATTCTTTAGACTATACACTAACAATGAACAATCTGAAAGGAAATTAAGGAAAGAATTTCAGTTCACATTAACATCAAAAGGAATAAAATATTTTGAAATAAGTTTAACCAAAAAGTCAAATGATTATACCCTGAAAACTACAAAAGATTGCTGAAACAAGTTAAAGACGATATCAATATATGGAAACACATTTCATTTTCATGGATTGGAGGAATCAATATTGTTAGAAAGATAATATTCCCAAAGTGAGTTGCGGATTCAATGTAACACCTAACAGAATCCCAGTAACATTTTTTGCAGAATTAGAAAACACTGTCCTAAATCTCACCTGACAGGCTCTTATTAATGACTGCCACAACAGATACACTGAGAAAAAGAGGCAACCATGAAAAGGTGGAAAGTTCTGATGACATAGAAAATAGCAATCAGCCTTTCTCACATCCCAAGGCCTTCAAAAATATACAAGTGCAGCATGGCCAGTATGGAATTCACCGAAAACTAATCACCAAGCTAGAAAAGTGGTGAGAGAAAAAAAAAGGGCAAGAATATCTTTGGCTTATCACCTCCCACTTTTGCCTACTAATCTGATGCTGAAAAGAAATGCTCACTGAAGCATTTTAGATTTTGAGTCTTTCAGATTTGGGATGCTAAACCAGTAAGTATATGACAAATATTTCAGAATCAAAAAATGTCAGAAATCCAAAACACTTTTTGTCCTAAGTCTTATGCATAAGAAATACTCAATCTGTGTGAACTATAGGCATCAAGCTCTACAGCAGATCTCTAGAACCTCCCCACCTTGAATAACTGAAACTGCCCACCCATGAACAACTTCTGATTCTCCCCACTCCCAGCTCCTGGCAACCAGCAGTCTCTTCTCATATTCACTCTGGAATCCACTTACATGAGGTCCCTAGAGTAGTCGAACCCATGGAATCATTGAGTAGAATGTCCAATGAAAGAAAATATTTGCAAAACTTCTCTCCAAATTTGTCTCATATCCATCAAACACATATGGTCCATGAGGACCAGATTTCCAGCAGTTCATTCCCACCCTTTCCACCAGTCAGTGCTGCATTTGCAAATGTCCACATGTATTTCTGGAAAGATCCACATGGTCCTCACCTGCCCTCTGCAGAAGGAGAGGAAACTTAAAGAACCCAAGACAGGGAACATGCTTCTGCTCCAAAGCCACCAGCTCTTGCCTGTCACCTTCACTCTTTCTAGATCATTCCTTGCACTCTGCTCTATCTTTAGAGGTCACTGGTTCAAGTAAGTCATCATGAAACACCTGCAAAAAACTGCCCCACCTTGAGCCTCCACTGCCTGATGACTGAACTGACCTCCAGGCTTGATTCTGGTCTCCCCTGTGTTATTTCTGCTGAAACATCCAGTCCCAGGCCAGGCTGCTCAGTATCTTCAGGGTTTCAGGGCCATGGGAAGTCCCATTATTACTCATCTCTAGAATGTCCTTGGAAATGGAAGTTGCAGAGAAATCACATCTATGGGGGCAAAGTAGGATGGAATTTGGAAGGGGCCCACCAGTTGCACATTCCAGGTAAGGAACCCAGGGTGAGCCAGCCAGTCAACTGATTATGGAGGGACTGGGAGGGGTACCAGGGGCTGTGACTCCCATTGACGTGTCTGTCCATGACCCAACACTGCTGCTCAATTGACACTTGAGAAAGTCTGTGCTTCCCTAAGACAGAGCAGCTGGCCTCACAGTCTTTGAGCCCTTAGATCATCATGCATCTGTCTTGTGACACACGCACCAGCTATTGGCTTTCAAGGACTCGGGTGGGCTGAGAGGTGGGAGATGCCAACTCTGATTGAAGGATGCCAGTGGAGGAATCAAAGGTGCCACACAGGACAATCTTCTCTCTGTTATCCACACAGCGAAGCTGCCCAAGCCCTACATCACCATCAACAACTTAAACCCCAGGGAGAATAAGGATGTCTTAGCCTTCACCTGTGAACCTAAGAGTGAGAACTACACCTACATTTGGTGGCTAAATGGTCAGAGCCTCCCGGTCAGTCCCAGGGTAAAGCGACCCATTGAAAACAGGATCCTCATTCTACCCAGTGTCACGAGAAATGAAACAGGACCCTATCAATGTGAAATACAGGACCGATATGGTGGCATCCGCAGTTACCCAGTCACCCTGAATGTCCTCTGTGAGTATCTTTTGTTCCTCTGTGGGCCAGGACACCAGCTTAAATCAAAACGACCAGAGGCCAGGCCTCTCACTCTCTCTCTGGTCCAAGTATAGATACCATTACTTCTGGACATCCGAGCTGGCCATAACTTCCTGCCCTGGGAAGATCTGGGTAGGCACAGCCTTAACCAAGAATATAAGGGGAGGGGACGCTCTTGTCATGGGAGACTTGGGGCCCACAGCTTGTGATGGGAGAAACAGGGGAATACCTCAGGCTTCAGCTCAGTGAACATAGAGGGGGTTTGGCTGGCACTTGAGGGTGTGTCTTGGCTCAGAGGGTCACTGTGTCCCTTTAAGAGACCAGGAGCATCCCCTTCCCTCGGATGACATCACCTGTGGCTTTATTCTCTTTGCTCCAGATGGTCCAGACCTCCCCAGAATTTACCCTTCATTCACCTATTACCATTCAGGAGAAAACCTCTACTTGTCCTGCTTCGCGGACTCTAACCCACCAGCAGAATATTCTTGGACAATTAATGGGAAGTTTCAGCTATCAGGACAAAAGCTCTTTATCCCCCAGATTACTACAAAGCATAGCGGGCTCTATGCTTGCTCTGTTCGTAACTCAGCCACTGGCATGGAAAGCTCCAAATCCATGACAGTCAAAGTCTCTGGTAAGTGGATCCCAGCATGCTTGGCAATAGAGTTTTAGGTGGAGTCTCTCTGGCTTTCAGAGAAGAGTCAGGAAAACATTTTTATTCCCAGCCTGTGTCCCATGGGCACAAGCAAATCCCAAATTCTCCTCCTGAACCCTCCCAATTTGTCTCTACAGACTCTCTTCTCCTTGTTTTTCTGTTTTCTCATGGCTGACCTTGTGTCTGGCCTGAGAAAGGTACGGAGCGGGCTTTATCAGCCCTGAGCCCTATGTGGTAGAAGAGGATTCAGAGAGGGACAAGAAGGAGAGTCCTCAAGATCAAGTTGCTTCTTGCTGTCACCAACACATCCCCTTCTGCCACGTCTTTGTTTTCTTGTACCTATTCTATGAGCTACAAGGAACATCCGAGGCTTTGAAACAAGCTGACACTTTTCCCCCAGATGAGAGGAGGAAGCCCCTTGGGTGAGGGAGGAGCAGCTCAGACTCTGCTTCCTGCTCTGCTCCAGGCTCCTCTGGTGACTGGCCCTGCCTGACTCCACCTGGGTGGGACCAGCATCTGTGGAGAAAGAGCCCTGGTGGCCTGTCCTGAATTTGGCTAAATCGAGTTGCCAGTTGAAGCCAAGCCTCCCCCGGGCCAGGCTGCAGGGAAACAAAAAGAGAGGGAGCCTCAGGGCAGACTCCTGAGCTGTGTCCTGGCTCTGAAGTCACCGGCTGTATGAGGCTGTGGGCACAGCACCTGGGACACAGCACGGAGGACAGTGACTGATGCAGAGCTGGAGAAATAGGGAGATTCACCCCTAGGGCTCTGCATGGCAGGAAAGGGGCAGTGCCAAAAAGTGTGTAATTATAGAGAGGGTAAGACTACTGGACACTTTATATATATCTAATATAAGACTTACCATTAACTATTTCTAAGTGTGCAATTTAGTGTTGTGTAACCATCACACTATCCATTTCCAGAACTTTTTCCTCTTACCATATTAAACCTCTGTAGCCAATAAACAGTAACTCTCACTCCTTCTCCCCCTAAACCTTAGCACCCACCATTCTACTTTCTGTCTCTATGTAACTGGCTATTCTAACTATCTTTTATAAATGGAATTATATAATAATTATCCTTTTGTGTCTGGCTTATTTCAGTTAGCATAATATCTTCAAGGTTCATCCACTTTGCACTATGTATTGGAATTTTATTCCTTGTTAAGGTTGAACAACATTTCAATGTATAGATACACCTCATTTGCCTACCCACTTATCTTTCAATGGACTTTTCAGTTGTTTCCATTTTTTGGCTAGTGTGAGTAATGCTTCTCTGAACATCAGTTTACAAATATTTGTTCAAATTTCTTTCAATTCTATGGGGATTATGTCCAGAAGTGGAATTGCTGGATCAAATGGTAATTTATTGTTTAATTTTTTGAGAGAGAGCCACACCACTTCTTACAGTGGCTATAACATTTCCCATTCCCATCAGCAATGCACTAGAGCTCCAATTTTTCCATCTACTTGAAAACACCTGTTGTTTTGTGTTGCTGTCATTGTTGTTGTTTATCAAAACCATCCTAAAGTGTGTGAGGTGGTGTAACAATGTGGTTTTGATTTGCATATCTCCAAGTATTCCTGATGCTGAGGAACTTTGCATGGGCTTATTTGATATTTGTATATCTTCCTTGGAGAAAACTCCATTTTAATCCTTTGTTCATTTTTTAATTGGGTTTTTGGATGTTTGCTGTTGTTGACTTGTAGCTTTTCATGTATTCTGGAAATTAATTTCTTATCACACATATAATTTGCAAATATTTTTATCATTTCGTGGGTTGCTTTTTACTTTCTTGATAGTGTTCTTTGATATATAAAAGGTTTTGATTTTTATGAAGTCCGATTTATCCATTTTATTTGTTGCCTATGCTTTTGTTGTTACAACCAGGAAATCATTGTGAAATCCAGTATCATGAAGCTTTTCTTCTAAGAGTTGAATAGTTTTTGCCCTTACATTTAGATCTTTGATCTATTGTGGGTTACTTTTTGTACATGGTGTTAGGTAAAGGTTCCACTGTTCTTGCCCTTGGATATCCACCTTTCCCAATATCATTTGGTGAGAAAACGGTCCCTTCCCCATTGAACGATCTTGGCACACTCGATGAAAATCATTTGGCCATATATGCAAGCATTTCTTTCTGGGTTATTATATTTCATTAATTTCTATGTCCTCCTTTATGCCAGTACCACAGTGTATTGATTACTGGGGCTTTGTAGTAAATGCTGAAATCAGGAAGTGTGAGTCCTCCAGCTTCATTCTTCCTCTTCAAAGCTGTGTGTCTATTTAGAGTCATGAGATGCAATATAAATTTTAGGACAGATTTTTTTTTACTGCAAAAATGTCACTGAGATTCTGATAGGAATTTTATTGAATCTGCAGCTCACGTCAGGTAGCACTGTCCTCCTAACAATATTGAGTCTTCCAATTCATGAAAACAAAATGTCTTTCAATTTATTGATGTCATCTTTCATTTCTTTCAGCCATATTTTGTAGATTTCAGGTATAATCATTTTACCTCTTTGGTTAAACTCATTCCTAAATATTTTATTCTTTTTGATGTTAATATAAATTGAAATTTTTTTTCTTAATTTCCCTTCAGATTGTTCATGGTTAGTGTATTGAAATACAACTGATGTTTGAATGTTGATTTTGTATTGTGCAACATTACTGAATTTATTTATTAATTCTAATAGGTTTGTTCCATCTTTAGGATTTTCTACATATAAGTTCAAGTTATCTGTAAACAGAAATAATTTTACTCCTTCCTTCCAATTTTAACGTCTTTTTTTAAATTCTTGCCTAATTTTTCTGACTAGACCTTTCAATACTATGTTGAATAAAAGTGTCAAAAGCAGGCACCCTTGTCTTGTTCCTGCTCATACAGGGAAAGCTTTCAGTCTTTCTCCGTTGAGTATGATGTTAGCATTGGGTTTTTCACATATTGCCTTTACGTTGAGGTGGTTTCCTTCCCTTCTTAGAAAGTTTTTATTATGAAAAAATATTGAATTTCATCAAATGTTTTATTGATTCAATCTTATTACTGATTATAGTTCCATTCATATTTTTGTGTGTTTCTAGGGGTTTGTCTACTTCATCTAGGTTATCCAATTTATTGGCATACAATTATTTATAGTACTTTCATAATCATTAGTTTATTAGAATTGGTAGTAATCGCTTCATTTTTCTTTTTTCTTTTTTTTTTTTTTTTTTTGGTTGTTGTTGTTGAAGAGAGAGAGACAGGCTCTCACTCTGTAGGCCAGCCCAGGATGGAATACAGTGGTGTGATTATGGCTCACTGCAGCCTCAACCTCCTGGGCTCAAGTAATTCTCCTTCTTCAGCCTCCCAAGATGCTAGGACTACAGGTGCATGTCACCATGCGCAGCTAATTGGCTTTTTTATTTTTTTGTAGAGACAGGGTCTCCCCAGGTTACCTATGCTGGTCCAAACACCTGGTCTCAAGAAATCCTTCTGCTGTGACTTCCCAAAGTGCTAGGATTAAAACATGACCCACCATGCTCAGAGTCCATTTTCATTTCTGATTTTAGGAATTTTAAACTTTTCTCTTTTTTTCTTAGTCAATCTAGTTAATGGTTGTCAATTTTGTTGATTTTATTTTG
Source organism: Homo sapiens (assembly GCF_000001405.40). Taxonomy (NCBI): domain Eukaryota; kingdom Metazoa; phylum Chordata; class Mammalia; order Primates; family Hominidae; genus Homo; species Homo sapiens. The sequence continues at coordinate 42,725,483 of NC_000019.10, read as the reverse complement.
AAGAATCAACTTTTGGTTTCATTAATTTCCTCTATTCTTTTTCCATTCTCCATTTTATTTATATCCACTCTAATCCTTATTTTTCCCTCATTCACTGTGCTTGGGTTTAGTTTGTTCTTCTTTCATATCCTGAAGTATTAAAGTAGGTTGTTGACCTGAGATCTTTCTTCTTTTTTAATGTAAGAGTTTACAGTTATAAATTTCTTGCACAAGACTCAATTTCTCTGAACCTCTGATACCTCACCTGAAAACTGCAATAAGAGTGCTTTCTTCATACCTTTCTTTTAAAGGTTTAATGCAGTCAATAAAACGAGATGCCACACACAGTGGAACCAATGTCAGCTGCTATATGACTACCATCATCATTAGCCTAGAGGTCAAATAGTCCTAGAATCAAATCTCAGATCCACCTGTCACTAGCCATATGACACCAGGAAAGTTTTACACCACTCTAAGCTTCTGTCTTTTCATCGGCAAAATGGAAATAATGTCTACCTCACAGGGTTATTGTGTGGATTAAATGAGATACAGGGAAAGTATTTAGCACAGGGCCTGGCACATAGGAAGTGCCCCTCAACAGTACCTTCCTTTTTCCATATATATATATATGGAAAAAGAGGTAACACATAAAACACTAGGACATGGTTACTGACTACTTGTGGGAGAGAAAGAAAAAAAGCTAAGTGCAAAGAATCAAGCCTGGTATGTTAGTTTTTACTGACTGAGATGCATCCAAGATGGGATTAGACATACAAGATAACTTATCAGGGAAGACACCTGTGAGGGAATGTGGGGCAGGCATGAAGGTAGTACGGGAGAACCCACAGACCACTATGCAGAGCTGATTCCTGTGAAAAAGAAAGAGAAAGAAGTTTTAGGTACCAATTCAATTATAAGAGTTTTTGCAAGGCTGATGGGGAATCCTCCAACCAGTCACCCATTAGAGTTAAAGAGAGCCTCAGAGAACTAGACTTGCTTTCACGCCCTTGCTGGGAGCCTGTAGGAAAGAAGCTTTCTGTGCAAAGGAGGTGGTGAATTTGAAATGCACTGACCTGGGCCTTCTGTCAATCAAGTCTCTGCCATGGAGACCTGGCAGGGTCTCATTCATGACTGCCACAACAGAGACACTGAGAAAAAGATGCAACCATGAAAAGGTGCAAAGGTGGCAAGTTCTAATGACATAGAAAATAGCAATCAGCCTTTCTCACATCTGAAAGCCTTCCAAATATCTGAGCACAGTAGAGAATTGACAGAGGACTGATCACCAACTGAGAAACAGGGTGAGAGGGAAAAAAAAACTGCAAGAATATAATCATCTCCTATCAATTTTCCAACAGAAATAACGTAGTCCTTGAAGAAACAATTATAGAGTACCTCATGTTACATGCTTGTTCCTGAGGCTCCCCCATGTAAAATAACATCATCTTCATTCCTTCTTTTCTTTTTTTTCCATGACAGCTCCTTCAGGAACAGGACATCTTCCTGGCCTTAATCCATTATAGCAGCCGTGATGTCATTTCTGTATTTCAGGAAGACTGGCAGGTATGATGACCTTTCCTCTTATCCTGGTTCCTGCAGGGCTAACTGCCATGCTTGGGAGAGGGAAAAGACTTATTTGCCTGTATCTGGGACTGGATCTCCTCCTTCCTCCACTAACTCCTGCTTCTCAGCACTAATTCCTGCAGTTCCCTTTCTCCCTGGCCTTTATGCTCCCTGTACCCCACTGTCTTTTAGACATAATTATCTCCAGCCTCTCTCTCTGCTCATTTGTTTCTCAGATTCAAATGAAAAACACAATTTCACATGGTGAAACCCTCTTCATTATTTTTAACATCTCTCAATAGTGTAATTCTCTCCATTCCCATAAAGCTCAACCACTTCTCAAAGTATTGCTTGACTTCTTGTCTCCAGACTTTGAAATCTTCCTTGCATATGACTGCCTCATTACCTTTCTAAAATCTAGTTAATTCACTTAATCAAGAATCTCCAGGGGTCTACTCTAGCCACTTTGATAAGTTCACATTTCTTCTATTTACTAAGCCTTCTCACTTCCTTTACCGCTACTTCCTAGTATAATTCCTCCATCCTAATTAGAACTGTCTTCCTACACACCCCTGTCCCTTCACCCATATAGATATAAAATTCTTAGTTCCAATGCTATGTCTGAAAACAGAGTGAAATCCCCTCTACCATCTGCACTGCAGACTTAACCACACCCTTCATCACAAGCAACATCTGACCTCGTGGAGAACTAAGACTTTAGGATTAACATGTGAACCTGAGACTCAGAACACAACCTATGTGTGGTTGAGATCTTTTCCTGATGACCAGTTCATGTGTTTAAAAAAGATACAGAAATGATGAAGGCAAGGTCCCTACGCCAGGAGACATAAAGCCTAAGACAGGAAATGAGACCTGAAAATAATCATGATACCAAAATAGAAAAAATTGAATGCCACAAGAAATCAGAGAAATCTGATGGGAAATAGAGCTACACATTGGAATCACTGGAAAACATTTTTAAAAGTGGATGCTCAAGCCCCACCCATTAGTTCCAGTTTAAAGGTCTGGAGAGGGACCCAGGCATTGGTAATTTTTAAGTCTTCCCTGACACTACTAACATGTAACAAGGATGGAGAACTCTTGTTGTAATAGGTAGAACTTAAAACTAAATCAATGATGTTCAGCTGGAAGTACTGGAATTACCTAAGGACCTTTTTCAACATACATAAGACTATACTTTTTTGGCCCTATTTATGAATGGGCTACACCAAGAACTCAGTAATCCAGTTAACAAACAGAAGCTGAATGGAAAAGCCACTTTATTTGATAAGTTAAATTATATAGAAAGCATTTTCAAATAAGTGATAAGTGATGCTAAACCTCCTCTAAATAATATTTATGGGAATGTTAATAATATGAGTATTCTAGGCTGGGTGCGATGGCTCACGCCTGTCATCCCAGCACTTTGGGAGGCCGAGGTGGGCGGATCACAAGGTCAGGAGATCGAGACCATCCTGGCTAACACGGTGAAACCCCATCTCTACTAAAAATGCAAAAACAAAATTAGCCGGGCTTGGTGGCAGGCACCTGTAGTCCCAGCTACTCAGGAGGCTGAGGCAGGAGAATGGCAGGAACCCGGGAGGCGGAGCTTGCAGTGAACTGGGATCGCACCACTGCACTCCAGCCTGGGTGACAGAGTGAGACTCCGTCTCAAAAAAAAAATTTTTTTAATGAGTATTCTAAAAATTATATGAAATTTCTGGAAATCAAATATGTTATCATAGTGTCATATGCCACAGAAGTAACTAGATTTTGTGAGCTGTGTCTTTACCATAATAAATTCTCATTAGATTTTTAACCATAGTCATTTTAAATCTTTGTCATTCCCAGACAGTTGCTTTCATTCTTCCTCAAAGTATTTACCATCAGCTACAGTCCAAAATTGCTTTTTGTTCAAGGAGATTTATGAAAAGACTCTGACAAGGACTCTTGAATACAAGTTCCTGATAACTTCAAGATCATACCACTGGACTAAGAACTTTCAAAATTTTAATGAACAGGCTGATACTTCATGAAATTCAAGACAAAGAAAAAAACCCAATTTTATTGGACTAAATAGTCAAAACAATGTTTTCATAATTTTCTATTTGAAAATGTGCTGATTCTTTGAATGTTTTATTCTCCAGATTTATGCACTTTTTTTCTTCAGCAATTGGTAAAGTATACTTTTGTAAACAAAAATTGAAACATTTGCTTTTGCTCCCTAAGTGCCCCAGAATTGGGAAACTATTCAGGAGTATTCATATGTTTATGGTAATAAAGTTATCTGCACAAGTTCAGTAAGGATCTGCTCTCTTTATAACAGGACACATTTGAAAACATTGGTTATATTACCAAGGCTTTGACTGGGATGTTATATTTGAGAATATACATAGAATAAACCCATAGGGAATGCAGGCAAAGTCTGAAGTTGGCCTTGGTTTGGCTTCTTAGTCTCAAGAGGTTTTTGGAAGTTTAATCTGAGATTCTTACTAAAAACTTCCAGCAAAGGGGAGTTTAAAAAGAGCCTCTATGGTCCATCGCTACTCTTGCCGCACTTAGGTAAAAAATCTGGGCAAGTTCGGTGAGACTCAACCTATTTTGCAAAAGAGTTCATCCTACTGGAATTATCTTTGGTAAAAATAGAGACTCCTATAAAGAGAAAAACTATGTTGAAAAGAAAAACTGTAGTACACCTGTTACCAGATTGAACCACTGTTCATTATCTTTGAGTACTTATAATCCACTGGTAGACTGGACTGGACCCTGAATTCTTTTAGTTCTTCCAATTTAATTTTCTCCAGTGAAATCATTAAGAACAAGAGCAGCTCTGTTCCTGAAGCCATATAAGATGGAGATGGACAACTCAATGTAAATTTCATGGAGAAACCCTCGTGTCTGAAGTGTGGGCCACTAAGAGCTCACCAAATGTTCAACACCATAACTTAGAGACACTCAAACTGCAAACCACGACAAGTTGATGACTTTACACTGTGGACAGCTTTTCTCAAGATGTTAGAACAAGACTATCAGTCATGATGAGACTGTTACCTCTCTTAATTTGTCCTTGCTTCTGCCTGTCTCCTTTGCTTCCCAGAATAATGCTGTACTTAGGATTTCACAAGAAGTAGCTTCTGAGAGTAAGTTAACAGTGTCCGATATATCATGTCAACCACACTTTTTTTTTTTATAAGATGGAGTTTCGCTCTTGTTGCCCGTGCCAGACTGCAATGGCACAATCTTGGCTCACTGCAACCTCCGCGTCCTGGGTTCAATTGATTCTCCTGCTTCAGCCTCCGGAGTAGCTGGGATTACAGGCATGCGCCACCACGCCCACCTAATTTTGTATTTTCAGTAGAGACAGGGTTTCTCCATGTTGGTCAGGCTGGTCTCGAACTCCCGACCTCAGGTGATCTGCACGCCTCAGCCTCCCAAAGTGCTGGGATTACAGGCGTGAGCCACCGCACCCAGCCCACGCATTTTTACATAAAAAGAGATCCTTTAGTCCACCCAAAGGCTGATGTTAGCTGCCTCTGTAACACAACTTTTTCCTCAAATGTATGGAGTTTTTTTTAGGCTTCCACTTCTATACTTACCTATTCTCACTCCCTGTTTTAATTTATTTTTTAATTTAATTATTATTATTATACTTTAAGTTTTAGGGTACATGCGCACAGTGTGCAGGTTAGTTACATATGTATACATGTGCCATGCTGGTGCGCTGCACCCACCAACTCATCATCTAGCATTAGGTATATCTCCCAATGCTATCCCTCCCACCTCCCCCCACCCCACAACAGACCCCAAAGTGTGATGTTCCCTTTCCTGTGTCCATGTGTTCCCATTGTTCAATTCCCACCTATGAGTGAGAATATGCGGTGTTTGATTTTTTGTTCTTGTGATAGTTTACTCAGAATGATGATTTCCAATTTCATCCATGTCCCTACAAAGGACATGAACTCATCATTTTTTATGGCTGCATAGTATTCCGTGGTGTATATGTACCACATTTTCTTAATCCATTCTATCATTGTTGGACATTTGGGTTGGTTCCAAGTCTTTGCTATTGTGAATAATGCCGCAATAAACATACATGTGCATGTGTCTTAATAGCAGCATGATTTATAGTCCTTTTGGTATATACCCAGTAATGGGATGGCTGGGTCAAATGGTATTTCCAGTTCTAGATCCCTGAGGCATCACCACACTGACTTCCACAATGGTTGAACCAGTTTACAGTCCCACCAAGTGTAAAAGTCTTCCTATTTCTCCACATCCTCTCCAGCACCTGTTGTTTCCTGCCTTTTTAATGATTGCCATTCTAAGTGGTGTGAGATGGTATCTCATTGTGGTTTTGATTTGCATTTCTCTGATGGCCAGTGATGGTGAGCATTTTTTCATGTGTTTTTTGGCTGCATAAATGTCTTCTTTTGAGAAGTGTCTGTTCATGTCCTTCGCCCACTTTTTGATGCAGTTGTTTTTTCCTTGTAAATTTGTTTGAGTTCATTGTAGATTCTGGATATCAGCCCTTTGTCAGATAAGTAGGTTGTGAAAATTTTCTCCCATTTTGTAGGTTGCCTGTTCACTCTGATGGTAGTTTCTTTTGCTGTGCAGAAGCTCTTTAGTTTAATTAGATCCCATTTGTCAATTTTGGCTTTGGTTGCCATTGCTTTTGGTGTTTTAGACATGAAGTCCTTGCCCATGCCTATGTCCTGAATGGTAATGCCTAGGTTTTCTCCTAGGGTTTTTGTGGTTTTAGGTCTAACATTTAAGTCTCTAATCTATCTTGAATTGATTTTTGTATAAGGTGTAAGGAAGGGATCCAGTTTCAGCTTTCTACATATGGCTAGCCAGTTTTCCAAGCACCATTTATTAAATAGGGAATCCTTTCCCCATTGCTTGTTTTTCTCAAGTTTGTCAAAGATCAGATAGTTGTAGATACGCAGCGTTATTTCTGAGGGCTCTGGTCTGTTCCATTGATCTATATCTCCGTTTTGGTACCTGTACCATGCTGTTTTGGTTACTGTAGCCTTGTAGTATAGTTTGAAGTCAGGTAGTGTGATGCCTCCAGCTTTGTTCTTTTGGCTGAGGATTGACTTGGTGATGCAGGCTGTTTTTTGGTTCCATATGAACTTTAAAGTAGTTTTTTCCAATTCTGTGAAGAAAGTCATTGGTAGCTTGATGGGGATGGCATTGAATCTGTAAATTACCTTGGGCAGTATGGCCATTTTCACGATATTGATTCTTCCTACCCGTGAGCATGGAATGTTCTTCCATTTGATTGTATCCTCTTTTATTTCATCGAGCAGTGGTTTGTAGTTCTCCTTGAAGAGGTCCTTCACATCCCTTGTAAGATGGATTCCTAGGTATTTTATTCTCTTTGAAGCAATTGTGAATGGGAATTCACTCATGATTTGGCTCTGTTTGTCTGTTGTTGCTGTATAAGAATGATTGTCATTTTTTGTACATTGACTTTGAATCCTGAGACTTTGCTGAAGTTGCTTATCAGCTTAAGGAGATTTTGGGCTGAGACAATGCGGTTTTCTAGATATACAATCGTGTCGTCTGCAAACAGGGGCAATTTGACTTCCTCTTTTCCTAATTGAATACCCTTTATTTTCTTCTCCGGCCTAATTGCCATGGCCAGAACTTCCAACACTATGTTGAATAGGAGTGGTGAGAGAGGGCAACCCTGTCTTGTGCCAGTTTTCAAAGGGAATGCTTCCAGTTTTTGCCCATTCAGTATGATATTGGCTGTGGGTTTGTCATAGATAGCTCTTATTATTTTGAGATATGTCCCATCAATACCTAATTTATTGAGTTTTTAGCATGAAGCGTTGATGAATTCTGTCAAAGGCCTTTTCTGCATCTATTGAGATAATCATGTGGTTTTTGTCTTTGGTTCTCTTTATATGCTGGATTACATTTATTGATTTGTGTATATTGAACCAGCCATTCATCCCAGCGATGAAGCACACTTGATCATGGTGGATAAGCTTTTTGATGTGCTGCTGGATTTGGTTTGCCAGTATTTTATTGAGGATTTTTGCATCAATGTTGATCAAGGATATTGGTCTAAAATTCTCTTTTTTGGTTGTGTTTCTGCCCGGCTTTGGTATCAGGATGATGCTGGCCTCATAAAATGAGTTAGGGAGGATTCCCTCTTTTTCTATTGATTGGAATAGTTTCAGAAGGAATGGTACCAGCTCCTCCTTGTACCTCTGGTAGAATTCGGCTGTGAATCCATCTGGTCCTGGACTCTTTTTGGTTGGTAAGCTATTGATTATTGCCACAATTTCAGATCCTGTTATTGGTCTATTCACAGATTCAACTTGTTCCTGGTTTAGTCTTGGGAGAGTGTGTGTGTCGAGGAATTTATCCATTTCTTCTAGATTTTCTAGCTTATTTGTGTAGAGGTGTTTGTAGTATTCTCTGATGGTAGTTTGTATTTCTGTGGGATCGGTGGTGATATCCTCTTTGCCATTTTTTATTGCGTCTATTTGATTCTTCTCTCTTTTCTTCTTTATTAGTCTTGCTAGCGGTCTATCAATTTTGTTGATCCTTTCAAAAAACCAGCTCCTGGATTCATTAATTTTTTGAAGGGTTTTTTGTGTCTGTATTTCCTTCAGTTCTGCTCTGATTTTAGTTATTTCTTGCCTTCTGCTAGCTTTTGAATGTGTTTGCTCTTGCTTTTCTAGTTCTTTTAATTGTGTTTTTAGGGTGTCAATTTTGGATCTTTCCTGCTTTCTCTTGTGGGCATTTAGTGCTATAAATTTCCCTCTACACACTGCTTTGAATGCATCCCAGAGATTCTAGTATGTTGTATCTTTGTTCTCGTTGGTTTCAAAGAACATATTTATTTCTGCCTTCATTTGTTGTGTACCCAGTAGTCATTCAGGAGCAGGTTGTTCAGTTTCCATGTAGTTGACCTGTTTTAAGTGAGATTCTTAATCCTGAGTTCTAGTTTGATTGCACTGTGGTCTGAGAGATAGTTTGTTATAATTTCTTTTCTTTTACATTTGCTGAGGAGTGCTTTACTTCCAAGTATGTGGTCAATTTTGGAATAGGTGTGGTGTGGTGCTGAAAAAAATGTATATTCTGTTGATTTTGGTTGGAGAGTTCTGTAGATGTCTATTAGGTCTGCTTGGTGCAGAGCTGAGTTCAATTCCTAGGTATCCTTGTTGACTTTCTGTCTTGTTGATCTGTCTAATGTTGACAGTGGGGTGTTAAAGTCTCCCATTATTAATGTGTGGGAGTCTAAGTCTCTTTGTAGGTCACACAGGGCTTGCTTTATGAATCTGGGTGCTCCTGTATTCGGTGCATATATATTTAGGATAGTTAGCTCTTCTTGTGAATTGATCCCTTTACCATTATGTAATGGCCTTCTTTGTCTCTTTTGATCTTTGTTGGTTTAAAGTCTGTTTCCTCGGAGACTAGGATTGCAACCCCTGCCTTTTTTTGTTTTCCATTTGCTTGGTAGATCTTCCTCCATCCTTTTATTTTGAGCCTATGTGTGTCTCTGCACGTGAGATGCGTTTCTTGAATACAGCACACTGATGGGTCTTGACTCTTTATCCAATTTGCCAGTCTGTGTCTTTTAATTGGAGTATTTAGTCCATTTACATTTAAAGTTAATATTGTTATGTGTGAATTTGATCCTGTCATTATGATGTTAGCTGGTTATTTTGCTCCTTAGTTCATGCAGTTGCTTCCTAGTCTCGATGGTCTTTACATTTTGGCATGATTTTGCAGTGGCTGGTACCAGTTGTTCCTTTCCATGTTTAGTGCTTCCTTCAGGAGGTCTTTTAGGGCAGGTCTGGTGGTGACAAAATCTCTCAGCATTTGCTTGTCTGTGAAGTATTTTATTTCTCCTTCACTTATGAAGCTTAGTTTGGCTGGATATGAAATTCTGGGTTGAAAATTCTTTTCTTTAAGAATGTTGAATATTGGCCCCCACTCTCTTCTGGCTTGTACAGTTTCTGCCGAGAGATCCGCTGTTAGTCTGATGGGCTTCCCTTTGTGGGTAGCCCAAACTTTCTCTCTGGCTGCCCTTAACATTTTTTCCTTCATTTCAACTTTGGTGAATCTGACAATTATGTGTCTTGGAGTTGCTCTTCTCGAGGAGTATCTTTGTGGCGTTCTCTGTATTTCCTGAATCTGAATGTTGGCCTGCCTTGTTAGATTGGGGAAGTTCTCCTGGATAATATCCTGCAGAGTGTTTTCCAACTTGGTTCCATTCTCCTCGTCACTTTCAGGTACACCAATCAGACGTAGATTTGGTCTTTTCACATAGTCCCATATTTCTTGGAGGCTTTGCTCATTTCTTTTTATTCTTTTTTCTCTAAACTTCCCTTCTTGTTTCATTTCATTCATTTCATCTTCCATCGCTGATACTCTTTCTTCCAGTTGATCACATCGGCTCCTGAGGCTTCTGCATTCTTCACATAGTTCACGAGCCTTGGTTTTCAGCTCCATCATCTCCTTTAAGCACTTCTCTGTATTGGTTATTCTAGTTATACATTCTTCTAAACTTTTTTCAAAGTTTTCAACTTCTTTGCCTTTGGTTTGAATTTCCTCCTGTAGCTCGGAGTTATTTGATTGTCTGAAGCCTTCTTCTCTCAGCTCGTCAAAGTCACTCTCCATCCAGTTTTGTTCTGTTGCTGGTGAGGAACTGCGTTCCTTTGGAGGAGGAGAGGCGCTCTGCTTTTTAGAGTTTCCAGTTTTTCTGCTCTGTTTTTTCCCCATCTTTGTGGTTTTATCTACTTTTGGTCTTTGATGATGGTGATGTACAGATGGGTTTTTGGTGTGGATGTCCTTTCTGTTTGTTAGTTTTCCTTCTAACAGACAGGACCCTCAGCTGCAGGTCTGTTGGAGTACCCTGCCGTGTGAGGTGTCAGTCTGCCCCTGCTGGGGTGTGCCTCCCAGTTAGGCTGCTCGGGGATCAGGGGTCAGGGACCCACTTGAGGAGGCAGTCTGCCTGTTCTCAGATCTCCAGCTGCGTGCTGGGAGAACCACTGCTCTCTTCAATGCTGTCAGACAGGGACATTTAAGTCTGCAGAGGTTACTGCTGTCTTTTTGTTTGTCTGTGCCCTGCCCCCAGACGTGGAGCCTACAGAGGCAGGCAGGCCTCCTTGAGCTGTGGTGGGTTCCTGCCGCCTTGCAGTTTGATCTCAGACTGCTGTGCTAGCAATCTGCAAGACTCCGTGGGCATAGGACCCTCCAAGCCTGGTGACGGATATAATCTCCTGGTGCACCGTTTTTTAAGCCCGTCGGAAAAGGGCAGTATTCGGGTGGGAGTGACCCGATTTTCCAGGTGTCATCTGTCACCCCTTTCTTTGACTAGGAAAGGGAACTCCTTGACCCCTTGGGCTTCCCGAGTGAGGCAATGCCTCGCCCTGCTTCGGCTCGTGCAAGGTGTGCGCACCCACTGACCTGCGCCCACTGTCTGGCACTCCCTAGCAAGATGAACCCGGTACCTCAGATGGAAATGCAGAAATCACCCGTCTTCTGCGTCACTCACGCTGGGAGCTGTAGACCGGAGCTGTTCCTATTTGGCCATCTTGGCACCTCCCCTTTTTTAATTTAACATAGACATGCAATAATAGATAATAGAATTGCTCTCTACCAGCTGAACAGTGGGGAGCCTGTGCAGTTTCTGACACTTCTTGTTGCACATGGATAAATACATTGGGTATTATAAAGACTTGGTTGTAAAAATCAATAAATTTGCTGACTGGTTAAAATGACTAGACTCTTCTGGCTTCTTCTTTGATCTATCCTATTGTAGTTGGTTTGCATCTTTCCTAAGGTGCATATTCCAAACTCTTGATATTTTCCTCCTGATAGTCATACTGGTAGTCTCCCTCGTGTGGTGCAATCTACAGATGTTTTTATTTGTGTGAAAATATTTGTGTGCAGCCATTCTTGAAATATCAAATGGTTTCTCTTGGGCTGGAATTACAAAAACTCAAAGAAATGTGTGATTTATGGGCTGGGCGCAGTGGCTCACATCTGTAATCCCAGCACTTTGGGAGGCCAAGGCAGGCAGATCACCAGGTCAGGAGTTCGAGATCAGCCCGTTCAATATGGTGAAACCCTGTCTCTACTAAAAATACAAAAATTAGCCAGGCATGGTGGTGCACACCTGTAGTCCTGTAGGGAGAACCCCTGAAACTATTGTTACAGAATAAAAGATGAAATGCTCCTGATTATTGTCAATACAAAGTTGAATGCAGGATTGTGTAAAGACAATGCCAGATTGGCTGCCAGAATGAGCCTACAGCGCTTGATGTGCTTCTGTTATATGGATGGGAGATAGAATTATGAGTTTAGAACATAGATTACAAATTTAGTGTGATAGGAATACTTCTGATTTTTGTATAACTCAGTTCCAATATAATGAGTCTGTTCATAATTGGGAATCAGTAAAATCCCATTTACAAGGAAGTGAAGATAATTTAAGTTTAGACATAAGCAAGCTAAAAGAACAGATTTTTGAAGCCTCTCAAGCACACTTAACTGCTTTACCCAGTGCTGAAGTTTTAGACAGTATCTCTGAGGGGTTATCTAATCTCAACCCCATTCAATAGGTAATATCTTTGGGAGGATCCACTATCGTTAATTTTGTTCTGTGTATAATTTGTGCTATTGGTTTATTGTTCATATGTAAAATTGGAAAAAAATATTCTTCAATCCAATCGTGATCAGTGCCAAGCTATGATTGCTATGGTTCATTTAAATCAGAGAAAAGGGGGAGATGTAGGGAGACCCCCTGAAACTATTGCTATGGAATAAAAGATGAAATGCTCCTGATTATTGTAAATACAAAATTGCATGCAGGATTGTGTAAAGACAAATGCCAGGTTGGACTGCCAGAATGAGCCAACAGCACGTGATGTGCTTCCCCCGGCAGAGAGCCTATGAACAGACGTGCAGTCAGGGAGGTTTCACATTACCAAGATTCCTATCCCAGAAAAGCAGATGTCCATAGCTCTGGGAATGGAATGCAACGCTTGTGGAGAGCCTATAAATGACCCTAAATCCCTCACTAACCTAACCCCGCTCTCACTAAACTTAATAATAAATGCTGGTATATCCAGTGCATTGGCAGCATTGCAGGACAAGAAGGCGGTGACCCCTCTGGACCCAGCTTTCACTATCTTGTGTGTGTCTTTTATTTCTCAACCTGCTGATCTGCCTGGGAACAAAGAAAGAGCCCCGTTGCATTGCAGGCTGCTGGCCAGATCCCGCAATATAGTCCCAGCTACTTGGGATGCTGAGGCATCTGTAGAGGGAGAGCTGCCCCAAATCATAAATCACAAATAAAAGCCAATTACATCTGTAACTAAATTAGTTGTAATTTTGTCTTATCACACATGTTCACAGGAAGCAATGGCCAGTGGAGTCTCTCAGGCTGCATCTTTCTCACCCTGACCCTCCTGCCTTTCTCTTTCACTTACAAGGACACTTATGATGAAACTGGGAGCCACCCAGATAAGCCAGAATAAGCTTTCCATCTCAAGATACTCAACTTCATTAACTTTGAACAGTGTTTTTGCCAAGAAAAGTAAATGCATGTGTTCCAAGAGTTAGGATGTGGATTTTTTTTTTTTTTTTTTGAGACAGAGTTTCACTCATGTTGCCCTGGCTGGAGTGCAGTGGCACAATCTCAGCTCACTGCAATCTCCGCCTCCCAGGTTCAAATGATTCTCCTGCCTCGGCCTCCCAAGTAGCTGGCATTACAGGCGCCCGCCACCACGCCCAGCTAATTTTTGCATTTTTAGTAGAAACGGGGTTTCACCATGTTGGCCAAGCTGGTCTCGAACTCCTGACCTCGTGATCCACCGTCTCAGCCTCCCAAAGTGCTGGGATTACAGGTGTGAGCCCCTGCGCCCGGCCCGGATGTGGACATTTTTAAGAGGCCATTATTCTGCCTCATACGGGTCACTTTCATAAACATCACCCACAACAAAAATGTTTTGCCTTCCTTCTATGTCTCACTTTTCTGTCTGCACAAACCACAGTGAAACACACTAGCTCTGCTATGAAGTGGCTGGATGACCCTGGGCCACTCATTTGACCTCCCTCAGCCTCTTTCCTCACCTGTAGTGTAAGACTGACTCTTACTGCATCAGAAAATGACAGTGGAAGAGTAAATTAACATGTGTAAGACATTAGTCACAGAGCCTGGTACCTGATGAGCCCTTGGTAAACATTCCTTTCAGTCCTTTCCTTTCACCTTCCCATTTTTCTTGCCCTCACCCATCTTCTCCTTCAACTCCTTTCTCTTCAGTAACTTACTCAGTCTAACCTGCCAATTAAAGAAGCCACACTACCCATTCTCTCATGACTCTGCTGGAATGTTCTTGTGATGCGGTCTGCCATCCATTCAAGGCAATGGGTATTATTTATATAGAGAGGTCAGTTTGCAACAAGAAATCCTTTTTCTGTTCACAAAAATTTATACACAATTTCTCTTAACTTACACGTACCAGTCTCAATTCTACCCTGTTATTTCATACAGGTACTTCATTATTTTATTCTTTGGTCTTTCTCCTTACACCTTAAAAATTAGGATAGTACAAAAGCAAAAATAATGGCCTGGACCAGAAGAGGGGATTCCTTTAGCAAGATGAATGCTTTCCTTTTTCAAGATGAATGAATGCTATGTGCAAGGCAGCCCTGAAGCCCATTTCCAGGTTTGGCTTACATCAAAGCCACTTGACTCTAGGACACATTCTTAGATTCCCAGGAGATAATGATTGCCATGGAAGCCACACCCACTCTGAGTATTCCTACTGTTGGGTAAAGGCATGTTTACAGAATGTTGTGCATTCTGTTTACTCCTCCTAAATTCTTCCGCTCCTGGAAGTTAAGCTTCCCCACTAATCAGCTTCATCTCCAGCTGGCCTGCCTGGACCCTGACCAGAAAATACCTCTCCACTCTGGATGGCCAGGGTGGCACCTTTGCCTATTCCCATAATTATAATAGCTCACACTGATGCAGCACTCACTATGCACCGGGCACTATCCTAAGGGCTTTCCAGGTAACTACAGTCCTCACCAAAAAATCCTGAGTGTTATCATCCCCATTTTTACAGATTTAAAAAAAAAACTGAGGCAGAGAAGTATGTGCCCACTGTCACCTAACTCCCTAATTCAACCTCATCCTCCACTTCATCTGGTAAGAGGACACTCTAAGATGTACAAGGTCTCCTGAATGACATCCTCCTTCAAAAATGATTTCAGCCCCCCTACTTTCAGGATTTGACAAACAGCCAGCATTTTGTTTTCTGTCTCACCCTTCACTTATGCACCTGTTCCCTAAAACTACACTCACAACTACACAGCCCTGCATAAAAGCTAGTTTTTATGGAAACCTCAATCTCTTTTGGAAAAAAGAAAGGCCAGCTTCCAAGTCTCATAAAAAGTCATTTTTTATTCTATTGTCAACTATTTGCATGGCCATTCTCTGGACATAAATGAGTGCACTAGAAACAGAAAGTGTACTGAGAAGAAAGTAGGAAGAAGGTGAGTTTCTAGACAGACACACAGGAAAAAGATTCCGAATCCAGAAAAATTCACAAAATGCACCCAGGGTGTGTGGCTTTGAGCAATGACAGCCCCACCTGCCACTTTCCATGGCTGTTGGCCTCTTACTTCCTTCTCAACCTGCCCCTCCTGGTCTTGCTTTCTTAGACCAATACAAACAACCTGGGAGCTGGGGTCAGATCAGAGCACACAGCACTGAGTGGTAGGGTTGGGAAAGACAGAAAAGGAAGACGAGTGTTTGACTCATGAAGACCTGACTCACCTGGGTACACATCACCTAGGCAGGCAATAGATTACTGAAGGGCTTTGCAGGACTCATGGTGGTTATCCAGAATGACTGACTGAGGCAAGGGTCTTGACCAATTGAGTTTTATCGAGCCAGAGCTTGATGGTGCACCCTGGGAAAACATGAGTTGCAAAAAACCTCTGTGGCTTGTGTTTTCTCTGAAGAGGTTTCAGGAGGCTTAGTGTTTATACATTTGATTAAAGGGGAGAAGGCAGGTTGGAAGAGATGGAGTGGGCATAAAAACAATTGACCTAATCTTGTCTTTCTTCTGTGCCTCAGAAAATAAATTATCAGAATGAGAGTTAAAATACTTCAGTTTTAGGAGCTAGATTTTGATTGCTCACTTAAAGTTACAATTGGCATGTCTTTCTTTTACAAAGTAATATACATCTTGAAAGGTTTGGAAGCCAAGAAAAAACAATTTGTTCAGGCAATCATCTGGAGATGCTCGAGATCTTTGGCTTTCCTGTTTACCCCTTTCTTTTTCTTTTCTTTTTTTTTTTTTTTTTTTTTTTTTTTCTTTTAGAGACACAACCTTGCTCTGTCACCCAGACTGGAGTGCACTCACTACAGCCTTGAACTCCTGGGCTGAAGCGGTCCTCCCACCTTAGCCTCCCAAGTATCTGAGACTATAGGCATGCACCACTGCACCTGGCTAATTTGATTTATTTTATGTTTTGTAGAGACGTGGTCTCCCTTTGTTGCTCAGGCTGGTCTTAAACTCCTGGTTTCAAGTGATCCTCCTGCCTTAGACCCTCAAAGTGCTGGGATTACAGGCCTGTGCCAGCACACCTGGCCCCCCGATTCTTCAAAAGCTTTCAGAGAAAGCATTGTAGAAGACATGACTTTGTGACTGTATGTTTCATCTCATCCTACATCACTAGGAAGGCTCATTCTTAAGAAGTCATGCCCCATGGAAAAGGGGATGAAGACAAATCAGAAAAGGGCAAAGGGAAGTCACAGCAAAAAAGGGACAGTATAATCCTGGAACCTTATTAAAGTCACACAACTGCTGCTTCAATTAGAGCAATTCGTTTGGCAAACACCGCTTGAACCCTTTCAGTTGTATGTTGGCTCACCTGTAATGTCTGGAGCAGTCTATAGACTAGGTTTTCTAGAGTTTCTGAAGCATCTTCCAATTACAACGGCAATCTGACACATTTCTGAATTGCAGTCTGAATCCAGTGTTCATGTGAACCTTTTGTGTAGTCCACATCAGCAGGCACAAAAGTTGTTTATATATAAGTTGCTATGATTTCTCCAGAAGTTTACATAAGTCGTCTAGTTTCAGCTTGCAAGGTTTAATCTATCCATCTTACAAAAGACTAATATCCAGAATCTACAAGAAACTTAAACAAATTTACAAGAAAAAAACAAACAACTCCATCAAAAAGTGTGCAAAGCACAGGAACAGACACTTCTCAAAATAAGACATTTATGTGACCAACAAACATATGAAAAAAAGCCCATCATCACTGGTCATTAGAGAAATGCAAATCAAAACCACAATGAGATATCATCTCATGCCAGTTAGAATGGTGATCATTAAAAGGTCAGGAAACAACAGATGCTGGAGAGGATGTGGAGAAATAGGAATGCTTTTACACTGTTGGTGGGAGTGTAAATTAGTTCAACCATTGTGGAAGACAGTGTGGCGATTCCTCAAGGATCTAGAACAAGAAATATCATTTGACCCAGTAATCCCATTACTGGGTATATACCCAAAGGATTATAGATCATTCTACTATAAAGACACATGCACACATATGTTTATTGCAGCACTATTCACAATAGCAAAGACTTGGAATCAACTCAAATGCCTATCAATGATAGACTGGATAAAGATAATGTGGTACATGTACACCACAGAATTCGATGCAGCCATAAAAAACGATGAGTTCATATCCTTTGCAGGGACATGGATGAAGCTGGAAACCACCATTCTCAGCAATCTAACACAGGAACGGAAAACCAAACACCACATGTTCTCACTCATAAGTGGGAGTTGAACAATGAGAACACATGGACACAGGGAGGGGAACATCACACACTGGGGCCTGTTGAGGGGTGGGGGACTAGGGGAGGGATAGCAGTAGGAGAAATACCTAAGGTAGATGATGGGTTAATGGGTGCAGCAAAACACCATGGCACGTGTATACCTATGTAACAGACCTGCAGGTTCTGCACATGTATCCCAGAACTTAAAAGTGTAATAAAAAAAGATAAAAATTTAAAAATCACAGTTTTAATTTACAATATACCAAAATGGAAGAAAAATGGAAGAAAATTCTGAAACCATTAGTTTTGAAATTTGTAGCCAGGAAAAAATTTAGGATTCAGTCCAAATTGTAGGTAAATAACAAAGTTCAAGAAAAAAAGAACAGATCTAAAATTCAATAACCATTGTTCTGTTGTTTTCTTCTGAAAAATAATTTTCCCCCTCCTGTCTCCCATTTTTATGAAATAGAAATCATATGGGACCAATGTATTTCCAAAATAAGTTTTAGTCTTATACCTGGATTGTTTACATAAAGTGGAGCAAGAATGTAGATTCAAGGCCTCTATGAATACATATATTATATATCTATGTATAAATATAAGAATATATATATATTCTATCATGTAGAATGGCACTAAAGTATATTAGTGGCAGCAAATCTGTAGAAGTCTGCAGCAGCCTCAATTCTTGCTTCTTCAGAAGAAAGAATTCAACCAAGAGTCATAAAGCAGAAGAAAAGACTGAGACAAGTTTTAGAGCAAGAGTGAAAGTTTATTTAAAAGCTTTAGAGCAGAAATTAAAGAAAGTAAAGTACACTTAAAACAGGGCCAAACAGGCGATGAGATTTCAAGTGTGTGGTTTGACCTTTGACTTAGGCTTTCGTATGTTGGCATAATTCTGGGGTCTGCATCTCTTCTCCCCCGATTCTTCCCTTAAAGTGGGCTGTCTGCATGTGCAGTGGCCCACCAGCACTTAAGGGAGCCTGTGTAGTGTGTTCCCTGGAGTACAGTTGGAAAATAGAGACCAAAATAAAAGCTATGTATGGAAATAAAATTGGTCTCCTTATAAAATCCTGTTATAAATTTCTATCATTTTTGTGTTACCTTGCCATCTATTTTTAATCTTCCTTGAACACACCCAAATTCCTTCTCTCTCTCTCTCTCTCTGTGCTTTGAGATGTAAATTTACTACCTACTTTCTCTAAAACTCAGCAAGGGCTTCCTCAGATAAATGTTAACTTTTTCTATTTACAAAAGCACAATTTAAATCCAACTTTTTTTTAATAGTGAGTTTTATGGGTTCTATGCATAGTTTTAAAATCAAAAATCTAAAGTATTTCTGTCTCCTTCTATCTTTATGTGCACATGTATATGTTCTATGTTGTATCACATATATGTATATGTCCATACCTATGTTTATATATTGTTTATACATGGTATCAAATTAATGCAAAAATAAATGAGTACTCATCAATTAAGTAAATAATCCCAAATGCTTTTCAACACATGTGATTTTAGCAATCTTTAATAAGGGAAGAACACCTCAAATGAGCATGCATACCTATCTGCAGCCTCCTTAAAAAAAATTATCAGCCAAGAATTTTGTATCCAGCAAAACTAAAGTTCATAAATAAAGGAAAGATAACAGTCTTTTTCAGACAAACAAATGCTCAGAGAATTTGCCACTACCAAGCCTGCACTACAATAACTGCTAAAAGGAGCTCCAAATCTTGAAACAAATCCTGGAAACACATCAGAACAGAACCTCTTTAAGCATGAATCTCACAGGACCTATAAAACAAAAATACAATAAATAAATATATAAAACCAAGGTATTCAGGCAACAAATAGCAGGATGAATGGAACAGTACTTCATGTCTCAATACTAACATTGAATGTAAGTGGTCTAAATGCTTCACTTAAAAGATACAGAATTGCAGAATTGATAATAATTCACCAAGCAAGTATCTGCAGCCCTCAAGAGACTCCCCTAACCACAAAGTGTCATGTAAACTTAAGGTAAAAGGGTAGAAAAAGACACCCCATGCAAATGGCCACAAAGTGAGCAGGAGTAACCATTCCTATATCAAAAAAACTAACTTTAAAGCAACAGCAGTTAAAAAAGACAAAGAGGGACATTATACAATAATAACAGGACTTGTCCAACAGGAAAATATCACAATCCTAAACATATATACACCTAACACCAGAGCTCCCAAATTTATATAGCTATTACTACTAGACCTAAGAAATGAGATAGACAGTAACACAATAATAGTGAGGGACTTCATTAGTCCACTGACAGCACTAGACAGGTCATCAAGACAGAAAGTCAAGAAAGAAACAATAGATTTAAACTATGCCCTCGAGCAAATAGACTTAAGAGATATTTACAGAATATTCTACCCAACAACCACAGAATATACATTCTATTCATCAGCACATGGAACTTTCTTTAAGATAGGCCATACTATAGGCCACAAAACAAGTCTCAATAAATTTAAGAAAATTGAAATTATATGAAGTACTCTCTCAGACAACAGTAGAATAAAACTGGAAATCAACTCCAAAAGGAACCTTCAAAACCAACCACATGGAAATTAAATAACTTGCTCCTGAATGATCATTGGGTCAAATATGAAATCAAAATGAAAATTTAAAAATTCTTTGAACTGAACAATAGTGATGCATCCTATCAAAACATCTAGAATACAGCAAAGACCATGCTAAAAGTTCATAGCCTTTAATGCCTACATCAAAAAGACTGAAAGAGCACAAATAGACAATCTAAGGTTACATTTCTAGAAACTCAAGAAACAAGAACACACCAAACCCAAACCCAGTAGAAGAAAGAAAATAACCAAGATCAGAGCAGAACTAAATGAAACTGAAACAAAATAATACAAAATATAAATAAAATGTAAAGCTGGTTTCTTGGAAAAATAAATAAAATTGATAGACCATTGGCAAGATTAACCAAGAAAAGAAGAGAGAAGAGCCAAATAAGCTCAATCAGAAATGAAATGGGAGCTATTACAACGAATGCCACAGAAATACAAAAGATCATTCAAAGGTACTATGAACACGTTTATGTGCATAAACTAGAAAACCTAGAGGGGATGAATAAGTTCCTGGAAATGTAAAACTCTCCTAGATTAAATCAGAAAGAATTAGAAACCCTGAGCAGACCAACAAAAAGCAGCAAGATTGAAAAGATAATTAAAAAATTAACAACAAAACAAATTCCAGGACCAGACAGATTCACAGCTGAATTCTACCAGACATTCAAAGAAGAGGTGGTACCAATTTAATTGACACTATTCCACAAGCTAGAAAGAGAGAGAATTCTCTCTAAATCATACTATGAATCCAGTATCACCCTAATACCAAAACCAGGAAAGGACATAACAAAGAAAACTTCAGACCAATATCCCTGGTGCACACAGATGCAGAAATTCTTAACAAAATACTAGCTAACTGAATCCAATAGTACATCAAAAACATAATCCACCATGATCAAGTAGGTTTCATACTAGGGATGCAGGAATGGTTCCACATACACAAGTCAATAATGTGGTACACCACATAAACATAATTTAAAAATCACATGATCCTCTCAATAGACACTGAAAACGCACTTGACAACATCCAGCATCATTTTATGATTAAAACTCTCAGCAAAATTGGCACACAAACCCACAGCCAACACGATACTGAATGAGAAAAAGTTGAAAGCATTCACTCTGAGCAGGGGAACAAGAAAAGGATGCCTGCTCTCACCACTTTTATTCAACAGAGTACTGAAAGCCCTAGCCAAATCAATCAAACAAGGGAAATAAATAAAGGGCATCCAAATCGGTAAAGACGAAGTAAAACTGTCTCTGTTTGCTGACGATATAATCGTATACCTAGAATACCCTAAAGACTCCTCCAAAAAGCTCCTAGAACTGACAAATGAATTCAGCAAAGTTTCTGTATACAAAATTAATGCGCACAAATCAGTAGCTCTGCTACACACCAACAGCAACCAAGCAGAGAATCAAATCAAGAACTGAACCCCTTTTATGACAGCAGTTATAAAAAAATAATAACTAGGAATGTATCTAAACAAGGAGGTGAAAGACCTCTACAAGAAAAACTACAAAACACTGCTGAAAGAAATCACAGATGACGCAAAAAATGAAAATGCACCCCATGCTCATAGATGAATAGAATCATTATTGTGAAAATGACCATGCTGACAAAAGCAATCTACAAATTCAATGCAAGTCCTATTAAAATGCCACCACCATTCTTCACAGAACTAGAAAAAACAATTCTAAAATTCATATGGAACCAAACAAGAGCCCACATAGCCAAAGCAAGACTAAGCAAAAAGAACAAATGCGGTGGTGTCATATCACCTGACTTCAAACAATACTCTAAGTCCATAGTCACCAAAACAGCATGGTGCTGGTATAAAAATAGACACATAGACCAACGGAACAGAATACAGATCCCAGAAATAAACCTAAATACTTACAGCCAACTTATCTTTGACAAAGCACACAAAAACATAAAATGGGTAAGGGACACCCTATTCAACAAATGGTGCTGAAATAATTGGCAAGCCGAATGTAGGAGAATAAAACTGGATCCCCATCTCTCACCTTATACAAAAATCAACTCAAAATGAATCTAGGACTTAAATCTAAGACCTGAAACTATAAAAATTCTAGAAGATAACATTGGAAAAACCCTTCTAGACATTGGCTTAGGCGAAAAGTTCATGACCAAGAACCCAAAAGCAAATGCAACAAAAGCAAAAATAAATAGGTGAGACTTAAACTAAAGAGCTTCTGCACAGCAAAGCAACAGTCAGCAGACTAAACATATAACCCACAGAATGAAAGAAAATCTTTGCAATCTATATATCTGAAAGATAACCAATATCCAGAATCTACAAGAAACTCAGATTAGCAAACAAACAAACAATCCCATCAAAAAGTGAGCTAAGAATGTGAATAAACAATTCTCAAAAGAAGACATAGAAATGGCTAACAAACATAAGAAAAAATGCTCAATATCACTAATGATCAGGGAAATGCAAATCAAAACCACAATGTGATACCACCTTACTCCTGCAAGAATGTTCATAATCAAAAAATGAAAAAATAATAGTTGTTGGCCAGGCGCGGTAGCTCACACCTGTAATCCCAACACTTTGGGAGGCCGAGGTGGGTGGATCACCTAAGGTCAGGGGTTTGACACCAGTGTGTACAACATGGTAAAACCCTGTCTCTACTAAAAATACAAAAAAATTACCCGGGTGAGGTGGCACATGCCTGTAATCCCAGCTACTCCAGAGGCTGAGGCAGAAGAATGGCTTGAACCTGGGAGGCAGAAGTTACAGCGAGCCAAGATCATGCCACTGCACTCCAGCCTGGGCGACAGAGCAAGACTCCATCCATCTCAAAAATAAATAAATAAAAATAATAGATGTTGGTGTGGAAGCAGTGAAAAGGGAACACATCTACACTGCTGGTGCGAATGTAAACTATAAATGAGTGGATAAAGAAATTGTAGTATATATATATGATTGAATACTACTCAGCCATAAAAGGAATTAATTAATGGCATTCGCAGCAACCTGGAAGAAACTGGAGACTATTATTCTAAGTAACTCAGGAATGGAAAACCAAACACTATGTTCTCACTCGTAAGTGGGAGCTAAGCTCTGTATCATCTAAGAATGATACGATGGACTTGGGGAAAATGGTGGGAAGGGGGTGAGGGATAAAAGACTACAAATTGAATTCAGTGTATACTGCTCAGGTGATGGGTGCACCAAAATCTCACAAATCACCCCTAGAGAACTTATGTAATTAAATACCAAATCCCTAAAAACCTATGGAAATAAAAGATTTACAGATTTAAAAATAAAATAAAATAATAAAAAATTTAAAAACATAGTTCCTAAAAAATGATGCTTCTAAAATGTAAAAAAAAAAAAAAAAAAGTCCCTAGAAGGTCATATACCAGAAACTCTATTATGTTGCCTCTTAATGTGTATATTTGAGCCCACTTGCTCAACTTCTGAGAACTTATTGGGAAGCTGCTGATCACCTGTTTCAGGTGTTTTCTATCTATTGTGAGACTATATCTCCCTGGCACTACCTGCAACCAATTATTACTTTAGAGACAGTTAACAACCACCTGACTTGACCATCACCTGGTGATGATCACTTGACATTTCTAGTGTGTGGGGGTGGAAAGCTCTCTCCTGCCCTGCTCATGTCTAACCAGCTACCTACTGTGACACTTTCAGATTTTCTTTTTTTTTTTTTTTTTTTTTTTTGAGATGGAGTCTCGCTCTGTCACCCAGGCTGGAGTGCAGTGGCACGATCTCGGCTCACTGCAACCTCTGCCTCCTGGGTTTATGCCATTCTCCTGCCTCAGCCTCCTGAGCCGTTGGGATTACAGGTGCCCGCCACCATGCCAGGCTAATTTTTTGTATTTTTAGTAGAGACGGGATTTCACCGTGTTAGACAGGATGGTCTCGATCTCCTAACCTCCTGATCCGCCTGTCTCAGCCTCCTAAAGTGCTGGGATTACAGGTGTGAGCCACCGTGCCCAGCCTCAGACTTCTTCATATCAGATTTTAGGTAGGACAAACAGCTGATATTTCTGGCTTTTGATTTTTTTTTTTAACCAAAAGTATCCTCCCAAATGAAACTAATAAGCCTTAACCAAGATTATGGCTTAGCCAAGGATGTATGAGGCATCTCCAAAGAGGTCAAGGAGCACCTCAAAAACTCAAAAATCACACAAATATCAGAACAAGTAAGGCTGGTTCCCTGACCCAAAATTAAATCCAGGCTGCAGCAGTAAAAGCATAAGATTTTAACTATTCAATGACAAGGTAAAGTGGCTTCTATTCTTATTTTCTCAGATGATCTAAGTCAAGCAGTTTGAGCTTACAAAAAAATAACTTTGTTTTAGGTGAGATTTTTTGCTCTGTAATTTAGTCAAAAGAAATTTTAAGGCTAGCCATAACACTATCAGGTGTCTTTCTTTGAAATTCAATCCTCTGATCAACTGTTTGGAATAAGAGATCTCTAAAATATTTTTTAACTTAGATGTCCCAATTTAAAGAATCCATCTTCTGGCCATGGACAATTAGAATTTCCAGTGGTGTATTGATTCTAAGTGACTCAATCCAACAGCCTCTTCAGTGAAAAGCCAATCCCAATGATCTTTTCCCCCACCACAAAATAAAATATGTACTCTCAGGAATAGGCTTAGGAAAGCAAAAGACTCTTGTTGCCACAGCCCTATCCAAGCAACAAGACTTGGGAATGACAAAAGTCCCTGATGGATGGGACTTTTTTATTTTTTTTTTTTTTATTTTATTTTTTTTTTGAGAGGGAGTCTCACTCTGTCGCCCAGGCTGTAGTGCAGTGATGCAATCTCGGCTCACTGTAAGCTCCGCCTCTCAGGTCCACGCCATTCTCCTGCCTCAGCCTCCCGAGTAGCTGGGACTACAGGCACCCTCTACCATGCCCGGCTAATTTTTTTGTATTTTTAGTAGAGACGGGGTTTCACCGTGTTAGCCAGGATGGTCTCAATCTCCTGACCTCGTGATCCGCCCACCTCGGCCTCCCAAAGTGCTGGGATTACAGGTGTGAGCCACCGCACCCAGCCTGGATGGGACTTCTTATGACAAGCCCTCCTGGGAGCTTAACACATTTGGAAAACAAAACAAATAAAAAACCTCAGGGTCTCAGCCATGTTACAGCTGGTCACCTAATGTGACTCAAAAATGACTCCTCCCCCTGATGGTGGAGACCAAGAGTGAGTGCTCTGACTTGGTCACAAATCAAGCCCTCAAGGACATATCACAAGATGAGAGAAAACTTTATCCAGTACCTCCCTTTATGAGCAACACAGAATGAAAGAGATAAAGGAAAAGACTACTTCTGGGAGGAAATGGATTAAACAATCAAAATACTCATACCCCAACATTACTAAAAAGTACACCAGAATTACTACACCAAGACTAGTCCAACACAAATCTCCCATTAATCAAAATTTGGTGGAGGAAACAGTGATTTTTACCATCCAATTGGAAAGAATGCACAGAGGGAAGCCAGGAAACTTGAGACTAATACATTTTTACCCTTTAGCTGGCTGATTACTTTTCTGCATTTCTGCATGTCCAAAACGAGGTTATGGAGGTAAATCAGGTTTTAGTGGTAATACAGGTAATGGGAGAAAGAAAGGAAGTTCAGTTAGCAAAGCTGGTCTTGTGTCAGTAAAACCTTGCAGGTAGCAGCCCTCAGAGAAAAATCAATGCTAAACTTGTTTATCTTTAAGGTATCAGATTCAGTCCATTTTTCCCAGATCCAGATAAGGGAAGACATGCCTGCATTAATAATGATTCTCTATGATGTAGATTTTTTCCACAAAAGGCAACTGTGCAGGGCCACTTCTATTTGCTGGCCCTCTGACAGACATGTCAAAATTTGTCAAAGAAATATATTGCGGGTTAAAATATTGTTATTTTCTTCAACAAACAGGTGTTTCTAGAGGTGGAGTTGGATGTTCTGCCATTACAGAATTTTAGCCAGTTTAAAGGCCTGCTTCACCATAATTTAGAGCTCCTGTTAGATTTGGATTTGACCAAGTGAAAGGTGTTCTGGACATTAGACAAGGTGAAGAGTTGGTCAAATCCAAAGGAAGAATGATAAAAACCAAAAACACAAATAGCGACTGCACTATTTACATACTGTTGAACACTCTAAGCATAAGGAGAGGTTAGAATGAAGTAGTAATAAGCCTTATCCTGCAGCTACCAAATTCTAAAAACCCCAAACCAGCTCCTTAGTTGAGCAGGGACCAAGCTGTAGTCGGCTCTCCATTGTCACAGGAGCAGGAAACTCATGTTCCTTTTAGGAAGTGAGCAAAGCTCCATGAGGAGAGGAGTTCCATGAAGAAACAAAACTCAGATCTCAAACAAAAAAATCGGAGAGAGCAGGGACCTCAAGAGAAAGTAGGATCCAATTCTCAGAAAGTCACATGACTGGTCACAACTAAAGCTCTATAGTTGGTACTGAGCATGAACAAAAGAAGCACTGCAGGTCAAAGGTTCTAAACTCCATTAAGAGGACCCCCTTCATGGTTGGCAAAATGTTAACCAAATTGAGTGCCTGATTCAAGTGTCTGAATCAGTTGAGGTTTGTGTCTGAATCAATTGAGGTTTATTGGACCAGAGCTTGAGGGCATACCCTGGAAAAACACAAGTTGTAGAAACCCTCTATGGCTTGTTGTGTCCTTGAGGTGGTTTTCAGGAGGCCTGGCACTTACACATCTTCTTAAAGGAGGGAAAGCAGGTAGGAAGAGACAAGTAGGGGGAAGAATATTTGGTCTCATCTTGTCTTTATTCTGCACATAAAAAGAAAAAGCATTATCAGTGTAAAATCTGACAGACTTTAATAGCTGGTAATGTAGACGCAAATTTTTCTCTGTTCTGCGAGAGGAATAGTATAAAAACAGTCTTTTAAGTCAATAACAATTATAGACCAATCTTGAGGAATCGCCGCGGGGGAAGGGGTCCCATAGGCTGTAGATTAGCATTAATAACACGTAAGTCATGCAAAAGTTTCCATTTGCCAGACTTTTGGGAATGACGAAATGGGCGAATTCCAAGGGCTGTTAGATGGTTCTATATGGCCGGCTTTTAATCGTTCCTCAACTAATTTATGGGCTCTTTGTAATTTTTCTCCCTTCAGAGGTCACTCTTACCCAATTAAGATTTTGAGAGAGCCATATCAGGGGTAGCAGAGGAAAAACAGTGGCCATAATTATAATTTAAATTTAACTTAAATTTTAACAGAGAATTATAATTTGGGATGTTCCTTGTATACAAAGAACACATGCGATTTTACCATGGGCCCCATGTGGAGCCGGAGGGCAGCCGGGCGGGTCCTGGGCGGCCGCCGCACTGTGCTTGTTTAGGCGCCACTTTTTGTCTGTGCGGCTTTTTGTCTGCACCGCTCCCTCCTCCCACCGCGGTGCGGATGCTGCTGGCCTGGCCGAACCCTGTCAGCTTGGGCGCTGCGAGCTTTTTTGCAGCTGAGGCTTTCCTTTCGCCCTCCGCCCGCTTGGCTGCGCAGCTTCGGCTTCTAATGCCTTTTCTCCCTTTTTCATTATACTTTAAGTTATAGGGTACATGTGCACAACGTACAGGTTTGTTACATATATATACATGTGCCATGTTGGTGTGCTGCACCCCATTAATGCCTTTCCTTATCTCTTTATAAACATACACCTGATTACCTTAGTGATTTTGCATCACCGGGCAGGCTAAAAGCTCCCCTTCTAATGCCGCTTGCTTAAGACAGGGTCCCATAGCTGTAGTGTATCCCTTGTCTTTTTTCTTATTTATTGGAGGAGGGGTCTCAGGCAAAACCTTCGTTTCCTCTTTGTTATTTTGGCCCGGTGATAGTGGGGCTGAGGGACTCAGGGGTGGTAAAATAGGTGACGGTTCTTTCTCCTTCCCCTTTTTAGGATCTTCTGTGTATAATGGGACCAGAGTCGCCCTCACTAAAGCCCACAGCGTTAAAGATTATACTGGGACCCATTGCTCTTGCGCACGAGGTCAGGAGATCGAGACCATCCTGGCTAACACGGTGAAAACCTGTCTCTACTAAAAATACAAAAAAATTAGTCGGGCGTGGTAGCCGGCACCTGTAGTCCCAGCTACTCAGGGGGCTGAGGCAGGAGAATGGCGTGAACCCAGGAGGCAGAGCTTGCAGTGAGCCGAGATCGCGCTGCTGCACTCCAGCCTGGGCGACAGAGGGAGACTCTGTCTCCAAAAAAAAAAAAAAAATTCGGCCGGGCGCGGTGGCTCACGCCTGTAATCCCAGCACTCTGGGAGGCCGAGGCGGGCGGATCACAAGGTCAGGAGATCAAGACCATCCTGGCTAACACAGTGAAACCCCGTCTCTACTAAAAATACAAAAATTAGCCAGGCGTGGTGGCTGGCGCCTGTAGTCCCTGCTACTCAGGAGGCTGAGGCAGGAGAATGGCATGAACCCAGGAGGCGGAGCTTGCAGTGAGCCGAGATCGCGCCACTGCACTCCAGCCTGGGCGAAGAAGGGAGACTCGGTCTCAAAAAAAAAAAAAAATTTCTTCCCACTTGTTCCCAAAGCTCTATGTCTAGTGTACCTTCTTCTGGGAACCATGGGTTAAGTGATACAATTTGCATTAGGTCCCTTAATTGAGCCTGCAAAACCGAGGCTCCAGTGGCTTTAAGCAGCTGTTTGAATACTTTTATATACTGCTTCTGTTGTGCAGATAACTGTTGTCCCATGATCAAACCCTAGCCGCAACAATTCCCTCGAACTTGGAGATCCCAAGCGGGCACCAATGACCTACTGACTTACTGACTTACTGGCTTACCAAGGGCACAGTCTTCTTCGTTTTCGAGGGTTCCCGATTCTTTGCAGCTATACCTCAGACCTGGGCACCAACATGCCAGGTCCTCACACAGGGCACTAACTGTCTGGGTCCAACCAGCAGACCCTGACCCAGCAACGGATGAACAAATACACTCAGACACAAATATCTGGCGAAAGAGCAGGCTAGGCGGCCGAGTCACTACTCACCGATACCAAGAAGGGGCCAGACCCTTCGGGTAAAGAGTTAGCAGCTGCAGCCCTGATCAGCCAGCGAGGTTCACATTTATTTAGTACAGATTAAATGACAAAGGTCTTGAGTAAACACCACTAGAAGGTAATTGACATTGCCGACCTCCCGAGTAGTTCCCCGAGCATAGGATTAAATGTTGGTTTTAGGTCCGCCTGAGTAAACAAGCTATTTAGATAAACTCCTCTACATTCCTATGTATCTACACCCTAAGCTTTTAAGATAATTCAGCTGCCTTCAGCCAAACCTTTTACTAAAGCTATGCAAACCACCCGGCCTTCCAAGAAGGTTTGTGACTATTTCCTATAACTATCTTTATAATTTTTCTTCTAAAATCTTTCCCACCACCTTGACTGAACTCCCACAGTTGAGAAGTCAGGGAAGGGCATTACATAAGCAAGAAAAAATTCGAACAGTTTTGGACATAAGAAAGTAAAATGTTGGTCAGGTCTTTCAACACAGATCAGAAAAAAGGGAGATCAGGGCTATGCTATGAGGGCACTGAATGGCAGCCTACATAATGGGAACTTCATCCTACAGATAAGAGAAGTCACTGGAAAGCTTTGAGGTCACAAACATGACAAACAGCATTTCCAGGAAGATTACTCTGACAGTATTAGGCAAGATAAGCTGGGAAATGGTCTTCAACTTTGGCAACTTAATAGAAATATCTAAAAGATCTATATTTCTTTTCTTTTTATGTTTAATTTTGAAATAATTTCAGACTTTCAAAAATGTTCCAAAAATAGGCAAAGTCCTCATATGCTTTTCATTCAACTTCCCCAAATATTAACATTATAGATATGCACGTAATCATCAAAATCAATAAATGATTATTAACACTGTAAAATGAATGCCTGTACAGACCTTATTCAAATCCCCTCTATCTTCTAACTAATGTCCTTTTTCTGGGCCAGGATCCAATCTGGTATCACATATTGCATTTCATTGTACTGTTCTCTCAGTCTCCTTTAATCTGGGAAAGTTAATCAGGATTTC